>NC_000015.10:83939002-84270066 GCF_000001405.40 Homo sapiens | reverse complement strand
GAATTCAGTCCAAAAATGTTTGCTCGAGCCCATTAAAATGAATGTATAAGAAAATTCACCTCTGGGGTGGCAGTGATTAACTTAATATACATCCAGCTATTAAAAATGATGATGCCAGGATATATTTACTGCCACAGAAATATGCCCAAAATATAGTAAGTGACAAAAGACTACATATTGTGATTCTACTTTTTAAAAGGTTTATGTGCAGAAAAACATATAAAAAGCAACAAACCAGAATGTTTTGAGTGGCAAATTTAAGATTTTTCTTAATATTTGTCATCTAAATTATTACAAAAAGAATGATTTCCTTTATAATGAGGGAGAACTGTTATTTTCATTTTTTAATTTAAATCTCTTTTCTTTTTCTGATTTTTTTCTCCTGTATGTATCCCATGTAGGCTAGAATCCCTGCCTCTTGAGGTAAATCAGCCCATTTTTGGGAAGTGCGCTACAGAAAGCTGCCCCAGCTTCCTTTTAAGAGACCTGGAGACATTTTTGTTTCAAATTGTTTTATTGTTCTCAGATTAGCCTAACTGGGAGGCACCCCCCAGTAGGGGCAGACTGACACCTCATACTGCCAGGTACTCCTCTGAGACAAAACTTCCAGAGGAACAATCAGGCAGCAGCATTTGCAGTTCACCAATATCCGCTGTTCTGCAGCCAACGCTGCTGACACCCAGGCAAACAGGGTCTGAAGTGGACCTCCAGTAAACTCCAACAGACCTGCAGCTGAGGGTCCTGACTGTTAGAAGGAAAACTAACAAACAGAAAAGGACATCTACACCAAAAACCCATCTGTACGTCACCATCATCAAAGACCAAAGGTAGATAAAACCACAAAGATGGGGAAAAAACAGAGCAGAAAAACCGGAAACTCCAAAAATCAGAGCGCCTCTTCTCCTCCAAAGGAATGTAGCTCCTCACCAGCAATGGAACAAAGCTGGGTGGAGAATGACTTTGACGAGGTGAGAGAGGAAGGCTTCAGAAGATCAAACTACTCCGAGCTAAAGGAGGAAGTTCGAACCAATGGCAAAGAAGTTAAAAACTTTGAAAAAAAATTAGACAAACGGATAACTAGAATAACCAATGTAGAGAAGTCCTTAAAGGACCTGATGCAGCTGAAAACCCTGGCATGAGAACTACGTGATGAATGCACAAGCCTCAGTAGCCAATTCAATCAACTGGAAGAAAAGGTATCAGTGACTGAAGATCAAATGAATGAAATGAAGTGAGAAGAGAAGTTTAGGGAAAAAAGAATAAAAAGAAATGAACAAAGCCTCCAAGAAATATGGGACTATGTGAAAAGACCAAATCTACATCTGATTGGTGTACCTGAAAGTGACGGTGAGAATGGAGGCAAGTTGGAAAACACTCTGCAGGATATTATCCAGGAGAACTTCCCCAATCTAGCAAGGCAGGCTAACATTCAAATTCAGGAAATACAGAGGATGCCACAAAGATACTCCTCAAGAAGAGCAATTCCAAGACACATAATTGTCAGATTCACCAAAGTTAAAATGAAGGAAAAAATGTTAAGGGCAGTCAGAGAGAAAGGTTGGGTTACCCACAAAGGGAAGCCCATCAGACTAACAGCTGATCTCTCTGCAGAAACTCTACAAGCCAGAAGAGAGTGGGGGCCAATATTCAACATTCTTAAAGAAAAGAATTTTCAACCCAGAATTTCATATCCAGCCAAATTAAGCTTCATACATGAAGGAGAAATAAAATACTTTACAGACAAGCAAATGCTGAGAGATTCTGTCACCACCAGGCCTGCCCTAAAAGAGCTCCTGAAGGAAGCACTAAACATAGAAAGGAACAACTGGTACCAGCCAATGCAAAAACATGCCAAATTGTAAAGACCATCGAGGCTAGGAAGAAACTGCATCAACTAATGGGCAAAATAACCAGCTAACATCATAATGACAGGATCAAATTCACACATAACAATATTAACCTTAAATGTAAATGGGCTAAATGCCCCAATTAAAAGACACAGACTGGCAAATTGGATAAAGAGTCAAGACCCATCAGTGTGCTGCATTCAGGAAACCCATCTAACATGCAGAGACACACATACGCTCAAAATAAAGGGATGGAGGAAGATCTACCAAACAAATGGAAAACAAAAAAAAGGCAGGAGTTGCAATCCTAGTCTCTGATAAAACAGACTTTAAACCAACAAAGATCAAAAGAGACAAAGAAGGCCACTACATAATGGTAAAGGAATCAATTCAACAAGAAGAGCTAACTATCCTAAATATATATGCACCCAATACAGGAACACCCAGATTCATAAAGCAAGTCCTTAGAGACCTACAAAGAGACTTAGACCCCCATACAATAATAATGGGAGACTTTAACACCCCACTGTCAACATTAGACAGATCAATGAGACAGAAAGTTAACAAGGATATCCAGGAACTGAACTCAGCTCTGCACCAAGTGG
Organism: Homo sapiens; assembly: GCF_000001405.40. Taxonomy (NCBI): domain Eukaryota; kingdom Metazoa; phylum Chordata; class Mammalia; order Primates; family Hominidae; genus Homo; species Homo sapiens. Next base: position 84,267,614 of record NC_000015.10, on the reverse strand, counting down.
ACCTAATAGACATCTACAGAACTCTCCACCCCAAATCAACAGAATATACATTCTTTTCAGCACCACACGTACTCCAAAGTTGACCACATAGTTGGAAGTAAAGCACTCCTCAGCAAATGTAAAGGAATAGAAATTGTAACAAACTGTCTCTCAGACCACAGTGCAATCAAACTAGAACTCAGGATTAAGAAACTCACTCAAAACCACTCAACTACATGGAAACTAAACAACCTGCTCCTGAATGACTACTGGGTACATAACGAAATGAAGGCAGAAATAAAGATGTTCTTTGAAACCAACAAGAACAAAGACAAAACATACCAGAATCTCTGGGACACATTCAAAGCAGTGTGTAGAGGGAAATTTATAGCACTAAATGCCCACAAGAGAAAGCAGGAAAGATCTAAAATTGACACCCTCACATCACAATTAAAAGAACTAGAGAAGCAAGAGCAAACACATTCAAAAGCTAGCAGAAGTCAAGAAATAAGTAAGATCAGAGCAGAACTGAAGGAAATAGAGACACAAAAAAACCCTTCAAAAAATCAATGAATCCAGGAGCTGGTTTTTGGAAAAGATCAACAAAATTGATAGACTGCTAGCAAGACTAATAAAGAAGAAAAGAGAGAAGAATCAAATAGACGCAATAAAAAATGATAAAGGGGATATCACCACCGATCCCACAGAAATACAAACTACCATCAGAGAATACTATAAACATCTCTATGCAAATAAACTAGAAAACCTAGAAGAAATGGATAAATTCCTGGACACATACACCCTCCCAAGACTAAACCAGGAAGAAGTTGAATCTCAGAATAGACCAATAACAGGCTCTGAAATTGAGGCAATAATTAATAGCTTACCAACCAAAAAAAGTCCAGGACCAGACGGATTCAAAGCCGAATTCTACCTGAGGTACAAGAAGGAGCTGGTACCATTCCTTCTGAAACTATTCCAATCAACAGAAAAAGAGGGAATCCTCCTTAACTCATTTTATGAGGCCAGCATCATTCTGATATCAAAGCCTGGCAGAGACACAACAAAAAAAGAGAATTTTAGACCAATATCCTTGATGAATATTGATGCAAAAATCCTCAATAAAATACTGGCAAACTGAGTCCAGCAGCACATCAAAAAGCTTATCCACCATGATCAAGTGGCCTTAATCCCTGGGATGCAAGGCTGGTTCAACATACGCAAATCAATAAACGTAATCCAGCATATAAACAGAACCAATGACAAAAACAACATGATTATCTCAATAGATGCAGAAAAAGCCTTCGACACAATTCAACAACCCTTCATGCTAAAAACTCTCAATAAATTAGGTATTGATGGGACGTATTTCAAAATAATAAGAGCTATCTATGACAAACCCACAGCCAATATCATACTGAATGGGCAAAAACGGGAAGTATTCCCTGTGAAAACTGGCACAAGACAGGGATGCCCTCTCTCACCACTCCTATTCAACATAGTGTTGGAAGTTCTGGCCAGGGCAATCAGGCAGGAGAAGGAAATAAAGGGTATTCAATTAGGAAAAGAGGAAGTCAAATTGTCCCTGTTTGCAGATGACATGATTGTATATTTAGAAAACCCCATTGTCTCAGCCCAAAATCTCCTTAAGCTGATAGGCAACTTCAGCAAACTCTCAGGATACAAAACCAATGTGCAAAAAACACAAGCATTCTTTTACACCAATAAAAGACAAACAGAGAGCCAAATCATGAGTGAACTCCCATTCACAATTGCTTCAAAGAGTATAAAATACCCAGGAATCCAACTTACAAGGGATGTGAAGGACCTCTTCAAGGAGAACTACAAACCACTGCTCAATGAAATAAAAGAGGATACAAACAAATGGAAGAACATTCCATGCTCATGGGTAAGAAGAATCAATATCATGAAAATGGCTATACTGCCCAAGGTAATTTATAGATTCAATGCCATCCCCATCAAGCTACCAATGACTTTCTTCACAGAATTGGAAAAAACTACTTTAAAGTTCATATGGAACCAAAAAAGAGCCTGCATCGCCAAGTCAATCCTAAGCCAAAAGAACAAAGCTGGAGGCATCACACTATGTGACTTCAAACTATACTACAAGGCTACAGTAACCAAAACAGCATGGTACTGGTACCAAAACAGAGATATAGACCAATGGAACAGAATGGAGCCCTCAGAAATAATGCCACTTATCTACAACTATCTGATCTTTGACAAACTTGACAAAAACAAGAAATGGGGAAAGGATTCCCTATTTAAGAAATGGTGCTGGGAAAACTGGCTAGCCATATGTAGAAAGCTGAAACTGGATCCCTTCCTTATACCTTAGACAAAAATTAGTTCAAGTTGGATTAAAGACTTAAATGTTAGACCTAAAACCATAAAAACCCTAGAAGAAAACCTAGGCAATACCATTCAGGACATAGGCATGGGCAAGGACTTCATGTCTAAAACACCAAAAGCAATGGCAACAAAAGCCAAAATTGACACATGGGATCTAATTAAACTAAAGAGCTTCTGCACAGCACAAGAAACTACCATCAGAGTGAACAGGCAACCTACAGAATGGGAGAAAATTTTTGCAATCTACTCATCTGACAAAGGGCTAATATCCAGAATCTACAAAGAACTCAAACAAATGTACAAGAAACAAACAAACAACCCCATCAACAAGTGGGCAAAGGATTTGAACAGACACTTCTCAAAAGAAGACATTTATGCAGCCAAAAGACACATGAAAAAATGCTCATCATCATTGGCCATCAGAGAAATGCAAATGAAAACCACAATGAGATACAATCTCACACCAGTTAGAATGGCAATCATTAAAAAGTCAGGAAACAACAGGTGCTGGAGAGGATTTGGAGAAATAGGAATGCTTTTACATTGTTGGTGGGGCTGTAAACTAGTTCAACCATTGTGGAAGTCAGTGTGGTGATTCCTCAGGGATCTAGAACTAGAAATACCATTTGACCCAGCCATCCCATTACTGGGTATATACCTAGAGGATTATAAAACATGCTGCTATAAAGACACATGCACACGTATGTTTATTGCAGCGCTATTCGTGATAGCAAAGACTTGGAGCCAACCCAAATGTCCAACAATGATAGAGTGGATTAAGAAAATGTGGCACATACACACCATGGAATACTATGCAGCCATAAAAAATGATGAGTTCATGTCCTTTGTAGGGACATGGATGAAGTTAGAAAGCATCATTCTCAGCAAACTATCGCAAGGACAAAAAACCAAACACCGCATATTCTCACTCATAGGTGGGAATTGAACAATGAGAACACATGGACACAGGAAAGGGAACATCACACACTGGGGCCTGTTGTGGGGTGGGGGGAGTGGGGAGGGATAGCATTAGGAGATATACCTAATTTTAAATGAAGAGTTAATGGGTGCAGCACATCAAAATGACACACGTATACATAAGTAACAAACCTGCACGTTGTGCATATGTACCCTAAAACTTAAAGTATAATAAAAAATAAATTTAAAAAACTTGTGCAATAAAGTCAAACAGCACCCAAAGAAAATGTATACCATTACAGGTTTGTTTAAAAAGCAATTTAAATTACATTGATCCACTAAACTAGAAAAAGCAAAATAAACAAAAAGGGGAAATAATTAAGACATAAGGAAAATGTGAGAAAAAAACTCACTAAATTTAAAAAATAAAACTAAAGGAGGATTCTTTCAAAAGCCTAAGATAATGAAACAGTCACGCCTCTGATAAGTGATCAAGATAAAGAAACCTTTGAAGAGAAAAGGGCATATAGCCACATGTGAATATGATGCAAAAAGTGAAAACTTTACACATCTTTACAACACCTTAGAAGTATGGGAGAAGTGTTCATTTCTTTTAAGAATCTACAGTTACGAAAACTAACTGAAGAAATGGAAAATCTGGAGACCAATACGCAGAAGAAGGAAAAAGACAGACTCATCCTCCAAATTGGACATTTATTTAAACCAGGGTTTGTCAGCCTCAGCAATATTGATATCTTGGGCCAGACAATTCTTTGTGAGGGTTCTCCTGGTGTGTTGTGGGACATTTAGTAACATCCCCTCTACCCACGGAATGCCAATAAGACCTCCCGACCGTGACCAGTTGTGACCACAAAAATGTCTCCAGATATTTCCAAATGTCCCATGGGAGGCAAAATATTCCTGCAGTTGAAAACTACTGTGTAAACTAGATCTACATCCTAGGTCTTAGGAAAAAGATGTAAAGCTTCCCGAGTTAGCCCTGCACACCGTTGATACTGAAATGAAATACGAAACTGAAAGGAAACAAACAAAACTATAATCTTATTTAATACAGAAATAAAAATGCAAAAATAAAATATTACCATAGCCATTCTAACAGTGTTTATTATAGGAATGCAAGGATGATTCGAAATTAGGAAAATTTCATCAGGTAATTCACAAATTATATTTCTCCATAGAATTGTAGGCACAATCATGAAAAACAAGGTAGCTCTATATGCATTAAGTCCACGTGATATTCAGTGAAAAACACAAGTTGCAGATGTCTTACAGAAAAAAACTGAACACTGAACACATATTTCCACCATCTGCTCTTTGTCCTGAGGCTCCACTAGAAATACAGTGAAGAATAAACAATATATAAACACACAATTACAAAAAAAAGAAATGGGGTTACCCACAGAAGAGAATTCACCTCCATTAGAAAATGACAGTAAATGGAAAATGGTTAATTAATGGAGCAAAGCAAAGCAAAGTGGAGGTCAGGGGGACACCGATAACAAGGAAGCTAATTTGTCCCACAGCAACCTGGAAAGGTTCTAGACTCAGACACCAGGTACCCCCGAGAGTGGGACTGACAGGCAAGACTGAAAACAGAGATTAACCAAAAGCCTATATAGAGAACACATTTTCCAGGCCCTGAAACACACTGCTCTCCCCCATCTCCTTAAGCAGAACCCAAGCAAACATATCTACCTCAGACAAGAGAATGTAGATTTCACCTCCAGAGAAATGGAGTAGTTCCAGCCATCATTTATGATTGCACTGGGAGATAAGATAGGGGGGTAGAGGATGACAATTAGGAATCAGCATACATTCCCCCTAAAAGCTATCAGTTGGCAAGTCTTGGCCATGAAGAACTCCCAATTTTTTATTTCTATTTTTATTTATTTTTTTATATATTTATTTATTTATTTATGTTTTTGAGACAGGGTCTTGCTCTTTCACCCAGGCTGGAATGCAGGAATGCAGCAGGATGATCACAGCCCACTTCAGCCTCAACATCCCAGGCTCAAGTGATCCTCCTGCCTCAGCCTGCCAAGTGCTGGGACTACGGGTTGGTGTCACCAGACCTGGCTATTTTTTAAATTTATTTTTTGTGAAGGTGGGGTCTCACTATGTTGCCCCAACTAGTCTTAAGCTCCTGGGCTCAAGTGATCCTCCCACGTCAGTCTCCCAAAGCACTGAAATTGTAGGTATGAGCCACCACGTCCAGCCTCCCAGTCTTTTAGTACCTCTCTCAAATATGAATGAACAAAAAAGGGAATTAAAAAGAACATACAGGCTGGGCACGGTGGCTCATGCCTTTAATCCCAGCACTTTAGAAGGCCAAGGTGGGTGGATCACCTGAGGTCAGGAATTCAAAACCAGCCTGACTAACATGGAGAAACCCTGTCTCTACTAAAAATACAAAAATTAGCCGGGCATGGTGGCACATGCCTGTAAACCCAGCTACTCAGGAGGCTGAGGCAGGAGGATCACTTGAACCCAGGAGGTTGTGGTGAGCCGAGATCACACCACTGCACTCCATCCTGGGTAACAAGTGCAAAACTCCGTCTCAAAAAAAAAAAAAAAAAAAAAGACTACAAATGATAAGCAACATAGAATAGATATTTAAGGAAAGGTTTTAAAAAGAAAAATAAGACCAAAATAAACTAAGAAAAAAATTTATTAAAGAACAAAGAGATGCTAGGGAGAAGACAAAAGAGTATCCAAATCACTTCATAAAGACACTTGTGAATATATTACATGAATAAAACAAAAATAGAATATGAATAAGGAATAATCAGAGAAGAAAAAGTTCTTAGAACTCAGGGTTCATCTTGGGAGTTGGTCCCCAGTGAGCCACACCTCCCAGCATCATGTCCTTGGACAGTCCCATCCCACAGTGAATCTGGGTTGGCCCCAAGATTCACTTTAACCTACAGAATTAGGTAGAAATGACACTGGACCTGTTCCAGGTCTAAGCCTTAAGAACACCTGGCAGCTCCACATCTGCGCTTCTAGTAGCCAAAATAAGTACTGACTAATCTCTCGGGGAAAGAGAAGCCATATGATGAGGCCAGAGAGGAAGGCCACATGAAGAAACACCAAAGCAGGTGACCTGTGGGTGAAGAAGCCGTCTCAGACATTCCACTGCAGCTGAGCATCCAGATGACCAGTGCCTGACACCATCTAACCGCACAGTGAGAGATGCCAAACGAGACCAGCAGAAAAACTGTCCAGCTATCCTCAGTTAACCCATACAGTAGTGACAGGTAGACAAATGTATAGTTTTATGCCATTAAGTTTTGGGAAAATTGGTTAAGCAACAATAAATAACCAAAACAAAACTTAACGTTGATTGTCCAAATAAAATTTCCTAAAAGTCAAAATATAAGAAAAATATTCCAGAACTTAAAATTTTTTTAAAAATTAGAAATAATGTGACATACAAGTCTCAAGACAAGAGGACTAAAATCCAATTAACAGACACTTCAGAATGAACAAATAAAGTGGAAAAGAGAAAGTTAACAAAAATATGACAAGATTCAAGATTCCAACTTTGAAAGAGCCGATCCATAGGCCTATCCATTCGGTATACCCAGCACAGTGAATGAAAAAAGACACACACTAAGTACAATGTTGTGCTATTTCAGCTCACCAAGGAAAAGACAAACTCCTAAAAGCTTCCAGAGAGAAAGTCATGCATGAATGAGTGAAACTCAGGATGGCATGAGGCTTCACCACCATGACTGGTTAGAAGACAACAGCACAGACTTTGAAATTCTAAGGTAAAATTATCCTCAACCTAGAAATACATAATCAACCAAACTATCAATCAAGTGTGAGGGTAGACTATGACAAAAGTGAATAGTGATGGGGATGGGCTAAGCACCAGGCACTGTTCTAAATGGTTTACATGTACCAACTCATTTAATCCTCATAGCTCCCTAGAAACATAGGTACTAATACTATTACCGGTTCCCCCATTTTGCAAATGGAAATTGATGCATAGAGCAATTAGGGAATCTGCCCAAGGGCATACAGCTAATAAGTAGTAGAACCAAGATTCAAATCTATCTCAGACTGGCTCCAAAACCCAAACACTGGATTGTATTTTTTCAGAAGCCAGAGATCAGAAAATATACCACTCCATGCTTTCTCAGGGTTTTACTTGAGGACATAGTCAGGTAAAATGACAAAGGGAAAAGCCAAGAAAGATGACATGGGATCCAGGAAACAATGGATGTACTCTAGGCGAGCAGATGAGAAAAACCTCAAGATGACATGTGCACAGCCAACCCGAAGAACAACCTGCCAAAATGGGCACAGAGGAGCCAAAGGCTTTGGAAGAGAAGGAGATCTCACAGAAAGGGCTACAACAGAATTTTTTAAATTAAAAATTACTATTATGAGGAAGACACTGCAAAACAAAAAGTTTGAGGGATGGGAGGAAGAAACTGAGATCACAGGGAAAATTGTAAGAGACATTCAGAAGGACAGGTCTTAGAAATTTACTAGTTTGGGGGGGCGGTCAGAGAACAGTTGTATATAAAAGAATATTAAGACAGTTCCCAGGTTTAGGCATATGTGACTAGATAGAGTGCTAGGAGATGGATACGTGAAAATTTAAATATCATCATTTTGAACACCCATGTCACTCCAAGCGAGATTCCCTAACATATATGATATGCAGACAGATATATGGGTTTGAAACTCCGGAGATGAATACAAATTTAGGAGTCCCTGGAACACAGGTCATGACTTAAGTAATGGGAGTCAAAGATTACTCAGAGAAAGCACAGAATGAGAAGAGAAGAAAGAAGTAGGACAAGGAAGAAGAGATCGGAGGAGACCAAGGCAGGGTGATAAGATCAAAACAGGAGAAAAGAATCCGATAGAAGTCTCATTCGATTATCATGTCCCTTCCCAGAGGACAGAGACATGCCTTTTTTGTCTTTTATACCCAATTATCACAGGTCCTGGTGCAGCAGACACACAGTTTTTTTTTTAATTGTGTTGTACTATTCACAGTTTCCTTTATCCACCAGGGGAGAAAAAAGTAAGTATAAAGAAGCACAGACACAGATGTTTTTACACTGTGTACTAAAGGGGTCAGATTATACACAATATTTTATGCCTTACTTTTTTACTTAATATATCTTAGAAGTTTGCACATGCTCTTATGGAAAGACTGGCTGCATTTTTTGGTCCACAACAGAACAACAGAATATTCTATTATAAAATTGTACACTATAATTTTTATTTAACCAACTCTTTATTGGTGGACATTAAGAATGGAGGAATGTTTCAACAAAGGAACAATCAACAGTATCAAAATACTGCAGAGGGGTCAATTTGGGGACTAAGAGGGGAGCCACTGGATTTGACAACTAGGAGATAAATTTTAGTGCAACGATGAAGGCAGAATCCAGATTATAATGAGCTCAGTGAAAAAAGGTGAAGACATGTAGCTTATTCTCTCAAGAAACTAGGCTATGATAAACTGGCAGAGGCTCTAAGAGTGGGAGGTGAGTTGTTTTCTCCTTCATGTAAATATATTTACTTTTTTAAACACTAGGCCCAGTTTTATATCCTACTTCATTTAACTTTATGAACATACTTATGTATGTATGCATGTATGTATGTCATGTAATGTTTTAGACACTGAAAAATAACTCATTTCTGCTATTATAAAACTGGTATCTTTAGATGTTCAGATGCAACTTCCTAAAAGGAGGTAGCAGTAATGGAGCTATGTCTATCAGTCTTTCCCATCAACCCCCTTGCTGGAGATGTAAACATGTGTCCATCAAGCCTTTAATTTTTACCTCTTATCTTCATGGCTCTCCACACAAAACTTAACTCTTTTTTTTTCTATTTGTATATGTATATTTACATGTATATGTATATTTATATGTATATGTATATCGAGAGAGAGAGAGAGAGAGAAAGAGTCTTGCTATGTTTCCCAGGCTGATCTCAAACTCCTGGGCTCAAGCAATCCTCCCACCTTGGCCTCGCAAAGTGCTGGGATTACAGGCATGAACCACTGTGCCCAGCTGCAGCCTGAACTCTTAAAATATCTTCAAACCAATATTCTTCTGTTCTAATTTTTAAGAATAGATGTGTTTAAACCAACTGTAACTTATTTTGACAAAAATTGGAGTTAAGACTCAGACTTCCTCAAATAGTTCTCCTAAAACCATTTACAGAATAATTTCTCTTTTCAGTATTAAGTTAAAATACCACCTCTTCCTTACACTAAATTCTCATTTGCATGACTCTGGTTCTAAACTTCCATTGACTTTATCTGTCTGGCCCAGGGCTAGTCCACAATATTTTATTTAATATCTGGTTGAAAGAGTCTATACTTTATTAATTTTTATTATTTATTCTTCTAAACTAACTTTAGAGTCGTTTTTGTCAAGTGTCAAAAATAAATCTGCTGGAATTTGTGCTGAAATTTGTGTATATATATATACACACTATATATGATATAAAATGTATATATACAATTTATATATATATATAATATGAAATGTATATATACAATTTATATATAAATATATATATAATATGAAATGTATATACATATATATATATATACACACACACACACACACACACACACTTTTTTTCTGCTTTTTTTTTTTTTTTTTTTTTTGAGACAGGGTCTCACTCTGTCACCTAGGCTGGAGTTCACAGGCATGATCTCGGCTCACTGCAACCTCTGCCTCCCAGGCTCAAGTGATCCTCCCACCTCAGCCTCATAAGTAGTTGGAACTACAAGTGTGTGCCACAGACACCCAGCTAATTGTCATCTACCTGCCTCAGCTTTCCAAACTTTTGGGATTACAGGTATGAGCCACTGTGCCCAGCAGAAATTACATTTACAAATTAATATGAAGACATGGTGATAACTAACATATTTATAACATGAAATCTGCTCATCCAGGAACATAGAATGCAAATCTTTCATTCCACTCAGCAAAATTTTGTCCTGTCCTTGATAAAAGTCCTGCACATCTAAGTTTATTCCTAGGTATTTAATTTTTGCTGAAATACCTGAAAAAATACTTCATCACTATATCTTCTATGTGATTATAAATAACATTTAGGAAGGCTATTGATTTTTATATAAAAGAGCTTTTAACCAGTAATCTTAAAAATTGTTTTTTTCAGTTGGTTCCTTTGGATATTTTTAGGTAAACAATCATGTCAACTGAAAATAATGATTGTTATTTTTCTATATAGACTACGACATCATGGGAAAATACAGTAAATACTTTTTAAAAGAATATAAAAGGGCTGGGCACAGTGGCTCACGCCTGTAATCCCAACACTTTGGGAGGCTGAGGCGGGAGGATCACGAGGTCAGGAGATTGAGACCATCGTGGCTAACATGGTGAAACCCCATCTCTACTAAAAAATACAAAAAATTAGCCAGGCATGGTGGTGGGCACCTGTAGTCCCAGCTACTGGGGAGGCTGAGGCAGTAGAATGGTGTGAACCTGGGAGGGGGAGCTTACAGTGAGCCGAGATTATGCCACTGCACTCCAGTCTGGGTGACAGAGCAAGACTGTCTCAAAAAAAAAAAAAAAGAAAAGAATATAAAACTATAGAGAATACGACCTCAACTATTTAAACATATGTATAAGGGTTATGTATTTTACTAGCAAAGAAAAAATATATACTGGTAGAAAATGGCCATCATGTCAACTGTCAATAGTGGTTATATTAGGTAGAGAATTTATGGGAGACTAATTTTTTTCTTTTTGCTTTTCTGTACTTTACTAATTTTCTCAACAATGGTTGCTTGTGAGTTTTATAATAAAAAAAGTTTTAAAAATTTTTCCAACATGGAAAGTTATATTTCTTTATAAACTAAGAACAAAAACAAAACTTCCTATTTGAATACCTTTGACTTTTACTGCAGACTTACAGACCCTTGAAAGAAAAGGCAATTCCCTCCCAGTAGTTTTGGTGTCATTCTCCCCATCTCTCCCTTCACTTCCACCTTGGTCTTCTTTCTACTTCCCACCTTGGCTAGTGGTCTCCACCCAAAATGCTTGCTTGGCTTAATGGTTAGAATTCAGGGAAAAAGAGATCCCAAATTGCTAATCTAAACTAAGGTTATACATGTGGGAAATAATAAAGAGAAACCAGGTAGTAAATAAGATTTGGAGGACTTAAAATACCCAGACTTTAATTCCTCTAAGTTTATAGTTATTAATCATGTTTTTTATCATATTATCTCTTAACATTTAATTTCTAAATATAATGTTTATAAGGAAAAGAGAAAACAGCTTGGCTTCTTTCCTCACCGAATTGTTGTTCTTAGCATCTTCTAGACATTCCAAAACTGATGTCAGATTTGGCTCATCAGAGTCCACAAACCATATCGGTGAAGAAGATGAATAGGATTCCTGTTTAACCCAGAGACACCTATGTTAAATGTTTACATACAGACTAACCCAAATATGCAATTAAACCACACCACTAAATGGCAAGATGACCATGGATTTAAACAAAATGTATGGGGGAAAAGGCAACACGTTTAAACCCATGTGAGGAGCTGGACTTCTGAGACAGCCATTCTCCTTGCATAGCACTGTCTGCTGCTACAGCTCATAGAAGTCAACAATTTTCTTCAACACTGGTAGGCAGCCTCTAAACGGCCCTGATCACCCTCACCTCCTGCCATTCACACCCTTGTAAAATTCCACCCCTGGACCTAGTGACTCACTTCTAACAAAGAGAATACAGCAAAAGTAATAACATCACTTCTGAGGTGAGGCTACAAGGAGACTACGATGCCTGCCTTGGTCACCCTTCTCCTGCTCTTTCCATTGCTCCCTCTGATGGAAGCCAGTTGCCATGTGATGAGGTGCCCTATGGAGAGGCCCACGTGACAAGGTATTGTAAAAGGCCTCTGACCAATAGCCATCTAGAAACGGAGGCCCAGTCCAGCAGCCTCTGAGATGAATCCTGCCAACCTGAGCTTGGAGACAGATTCTCTCCCTATCCTGCCTTGGGATGATCACAGCCACCACCAACACCTTCACTGCCTGGTGAGAGGCCAAGCCAGTGAACCCAAGGTAAACTGGACAGAATCCTGACCCACAGAAACTGTGAGATAATGTTTGTTGTTTTAAGCTGCTCAATTTGTTACAGAGCAATAGATAACTAATTCAAACACCATAAAATTCGTACATTTTATTCTATCACACAAACCAAGTAATACGAATAAATGCATTATACATATATTTTTGGGACACAATTACATGTGATTTTTTAAAAAGCTAATGAACTAAGCATTATGCACTTTCACCCACTAATAGACATTTACTCTGTTGCATTGTACTGTCTTCTATTAGAAATTGGCGAAAAGCAATTGTTATTATATATTAGCTTCAGAAGAACTAGGTTCAAGTCAAGGAAAACCAAGAAAACCAGAAAACCATGAAAACCACGGAAAACCAGAAAAACAAGTTGGCCGGGTGCGGTGGCTCACGCCTGCAATCTGGGCACTTTGGGAGACTAAGGTGGGTGGATCACGAGGCAGGAGATTGAGACATCCTGGCTAACATGGTGAAACCCTGTCTCTACCAAAATAAAAACAACTAGCCAGGCATGGTGGCTCATGCCTATAGTCCCAGCCACTCAAGAGGCTGAGGCAGCGGAATCGCTTGAACCCGGGAGGCAGAGGTTTCAGTGAGCTGAGATGCGCCACTGCACTCCAGCCTGGTGACAGAGCAAGACTCCATCTCAAAAAAAAAAAAATAAGTAAATAAAATAAAAAGGAAAAGAAAAACAAGTTGTATTGAAGGAGGACATCATTAACAGTCTATCTCTTCAATAATGATTTATTTCACTATTCTCATTCTTCTCATTCCTCTCTTACAGTGTCCCAAATCTTTTTACAGGCTAAAAGAAACTCTTCAGAATGAATCCTATTCTTTTTGTTTCGTTTTGTTTTTGAGACAGAGTCTCGCTCTGTCACCCAGGCTGGATGCAGTGGCACGATCTCAGATCACGGCAAGCTCCACCTCCTGGGTTCATGCCATTCTCCTGCATTAGCCTCCAGAGTAGCTGGGACTATAGGCACCTGCCACCACGTCCGGCTTATTTTTTGTTTTTTAGTAGAGACGGGGTTTCACTGTGTTAGCCAGGGTGGTCTCGATCTCCTGATCTCCTGATCCACCTGCCTCAGCCTCCCAAAGTGCTGGGATTACAGGTGTGAGCCACCGTGCCTGGCCCAATGCTATTCTTAAAGAATACCACTTACTGACTATTGCATTTTCTTCTTCAAATTCTTCAGCATACATTGGGAATACACCATATGGACCATTTTTAAATTTTTAGTTTGGGTTTTTTTTTTGGCTAAAGAAAATGCAACTAGATTTACGACCTCATTCTATTAGGTTAGTATTTGTCTAGTAAACTTCAGCATAAGCAAAGTAGAATACATGTTGCTGCTCTGGACTGAAACCCCTCAAAACCATATTTTAAAAACTACAAAAACATTAACTGAAATCAAGTTTTTAAAAATCTTGTAGATGAAAAGATATGATATATAGTAGGTTTAAGTACCTATTTCAGTGGTTCCCAAAGTGCAGCCCTCAGACCCCCAGGTCCAAACTGTTTTGACAGGAATACTAACATGGTGACATTTGCTGTAAGGGTGCAGATGCAATGGTGGGTAAAAATGCTGGTACTTTAGCATAAATAAAGGCAGTAACACCAAACTACTAGTAGTCATGGTATGACTACTGTGCACGGGAAAGGTTTAAAGGTGTAAAAAGGAAGGGAGGGCTGGGCACGGTGTCTCACGCCTGTAATCCCAGCACTTTGGAAGGCCAAGGCGGGCAGATCACCTGAGGTCAAGAGTTTGAGAGCAGCCTGGCCAACACGGTGAAAGCCCGTCTCTACTAAAAATACAAAAATTAGCTGGACATGGTGGTTGCATGACTGCAGTCCCAGCTACTTGGCAGGCTGAGGCAGGAGGATTGATTGAGCCCAGAAGGTTGAGGCTACAGTGAGCTGTGATCATGCTACTGCACTCCAGCCTGGGTGACAGAACAAGGCCGTCTCAAAAATAAAAACAATGTCTATGATGAAGCAGTGAAAAATTTACATCTTAATCCTTGAATATATCTTTTTAATATTTCAAGTGATGAAATGGGAAGTATACATGAGCACACCTACAGACTGTCAGAGAAAAAACCCTCATGAGACTAAGTCATGAAGTGAATTAACCACTTTAATGGAATATCATTTTTATTCCAAAAGATGGCTGACAAAAAATGTTATTTCAGCTTGGGTTTTGGGAGACATTTTCTCAAAAAAGGAGATTCTGTTATTTCAAGGAAAACAACAGACAGGCCATAATAAATTTCAACAATAAAATTGCTAATACTAAAACTCAAGCTTTTGAACAAAAAATTAGAATTTTAGAAAACTTATATCCACCATCGCTTTCCAAAAGTATTCTGATGAGACTGATGGTGATATTGATGAGTGTATTTTGATATTGTACAATCAAATGTATCAACATATAGAAGATCTCAGTGAACCATTATTTTTGAACTGAACTGAACAATGCATGATGTTATAATACCATGCAAGGGTAAAAGATCCAAAGTTCAAGAAAAATCAATTTTTGATGGAGTATCAAAAAAGAAGCCAAGGCAACATGGCAAAACTCTGTCTCTACAAAAAATACAAACAATTAGCTAGGTGGGGTAGTACACATCTGTAGTCCCAGCTACTCTGGAGGCTGAGGTGGGAGGATCACCTGAGTCCCCAGACACTGAGGCTCCAGTGAGCCGTGATCATACTACTGCATTCCAGCCTGGGAGACAAAGACCCAATCTCAAAAAAAAAAAAAAAAAAAAAAAGAAATATCCATAATGATCTAAAATGGCTATCTGTATCAGATTGGCCTTTGTTCACATTTTTTCAAGCAAATATCACACAATAAATTGAATGGAAATGCAAATGACGTATCAAACATCAACGAAATTTGCAAAAGGTGTAAGATTGTACTACTTTGGGTTTAGAAATTTTCTTTTCATAAAAGCATTTATAACAAAATTTGGTGAGCTTTTAAAGAATATTCTAAATATTTCTGATTTAATTTCTAGTGATAAATACCAATAGATATAACCTATATACAGAAAAGCTCCTTGGGCCCTCAATATACTTTTAAGAGTGTAAAGGAATCCTGACCCCAAAACTTTGAGAACTGCTGCCTTCCCCTCCACTTTCTTCCTTCCCTAGAATTTCTTCCTTGGAAGAAACATTCCTTTGCCATTCTATGTTAACTTACACAGTTCTATTGAGGCCAGTTTTGCTACCTCTCTCCCATCTTTCCACATCCCGCTCTTGACACAAAACCTGACCAAAGGACTCTACCCGCCCACCTCATTTCCAGTGATTAGCTCTCAGGTGGGCTAAGCCAAGAAAATCTGGGTTTTCCCTGAGACTAGACCTCTCTTTCTGGGAGATATGGAATCACAGGGACAAGATTGGCCACCTAGGGATAGTCAGAATTCATCTTGCCTAAATGGGAAGAGGTTAGGCAAGTTTCTAGAATGCCAGACTGCTTTCTAGAAAGTCAAAGTTAATTATACTTTCTGCCATGACTGTGAGAATGCCCATTTCATTGCACACTTTCTGACATTTTTACCAATCTGATAAATAAAAGCTGGTACCTAGAAGAAAAAAAGGCTGGGTGTGGTGGCTCATGCCTGCAATCCCAGCACTTTGGGAGGCCAAGGTGAGTGGATCACCCGAGGTCAGGAGTTCCAGAACAGCCTGGCCAACATGGTGAAACCCCATCTCTACTAAAAATAGAACAATTAGCCAGGCATGGTGGCAGCCACCTGTAATCCCAACTACTCAGGAGGCTGAGGCAGGAGAATCACTTGAACCTGGGAGGCGGAGGTTTTAGTGAGCCAAGATCATGCCATTGCACTCCAGCCTGGGTGACAAGAGTGAGACTTCGTCTCAAAAAAATGTTTTTTTCCATACAATATAATTTGTTCCATCTCTAGAAACCAATTCAGCAATGAGAACTGAAAGCGACCACAGGGAAGGTTTCAAAGATTTAGCTCTACCTATTGATGTCTAAAGCATTAGTTAAGGTAGAAAACACACACACACACACACACACACACAAACACAAACACTCACTCACTCACTCCTATGTATTCAGTACCAGAAAACGCGAATGACTAGATGGTATAGTCATCCAACACAAAGCACACAATAACTGAAGGCACTGTAGATGAGTAACTTATGACACGGATCTACAATATTGTTGAGTGAAAAAGCAGGTTACAAAAAAAATCTGATTTTTTAAGGGAGAGGGAACACACACAAGCAAAGGAGAAAAGAGATGAGCAGATGATGGGAAAGATACAAAATTCTGACAGTGGTACATTCTGAGTGGTAGAATTATTGGTATTATGTTCTAGTTTTGCCTAAAAATTTTCTAAATTTCTTAAGAAGTTTTTGTTATCCATATTATAAAATATCCATCACCCCAGGAAACTTAACCTTGAGCACAAACTCTACAACATGTTCAATGTTTTCAGTTTAATATTTAAGAAACAATCTATTTTGAAAGACATCTAAAATGATGACCAATATTTAAACCTATGCATTAATATTTTTCAATAGTATGCTTTATATTTTGTAATTTTGATAAGTTTAAGTTTTAGATCCATCTTGAAAAGATAAGTTTTCTATTTGTCTTTAAAATATTACCTATAATATGCCTGTTTTTAAACAGTGAATGATGCTCAAAAATCACAATATAAATTCAGGCAGTGTTCCTTCCATGGAATGTTTAAGTGTTCCTAACACTGTTCTTCTTCACCGATTATGAAAACACAGAACAATTATCTAAGCATCTGATTATTCAGGTCCTTTGTTTCTCCTCCATTCTGTTAGTTTTATACTAATTTCAAGGCCCGTGAGGATGAAGTTGTCTGTGACAGCTACCACAAAGGTTACCATCAGCAGACAAATTTCCAGCAAGTTTATCACCACTACCATCCCCACCATAAAACTGTCTCAATCAAGGGCAACACAATTCAAGGTTAGCCAAGACAACCTCTTTACCTGTCACTGCTTAAGAAAAGGATGTTTTGGTCTTATTTAGAAATAACTTTCTGTATCTATTTTTCTCCATAATTCCACTGAGACCAATGTGTGCCCCTATCTCAAGCACCAGCAAGCAAAACTGCCTGCTAGTATGTTCAGTTTTTGTATCTTTCCAAATGTAGGGCACAGCTATCTTTTGATATCATAATTTTTTGAAAACTGACGCACAAACTTCTTATTGAAAGTTCAGCCGGGCGCGGTAGCTCACGCCTGTAATCCCAGCACTTTGGGAGGCCGATGCAGGCAGATCACGAGGTCAGGAATTCAAGACCAGCCTGGCCAACATGGTGAAACCTGTCCCTACTAAAACTGCAAAAATTAGCCAGGTGCGGTGGCAGGTGCCTGTAATCCCAGCTACTCAGGAGGCTGAGGCAGGAGAATTGCTTGAACCTGGGCAGCAGAGGTTCCAGTGAGGCAAGATCGCACCACTGTACTCTGGCCTGGGTGATAGAGTGAGACTCCATCTCAAAATAAAAAATAAAAAAAAGAATTTCAGATATACAGCAGTTGTAATTCTTCTGAAGGCTGCTTATGGGACACATTACTTTCATACTTTGCTGTTCGATAAATGTGGGGTGGAGAATAAAGTAAATTGACAGAATTACCATATAAAATAAAATTCGAAGTCCTCTGACAACAAAAGAAACTTAAAATACACACACACACACACACACACACACACACACACACACACACACACACACAGACACACACGGTTTTCCCTGCTAATCATTTTACAACAACCACGTAGCTAACCCAGAGCCCACAAAAGCAGAGTCAAAATTCTAACACTTGGTAAAATAAAAATGCACATATATCCCTGTCATCTAAAAAAAATGCTTAAGTATTCAAAGACAGACAGCAGTTATAGCTACTGAGAACATCATTGTAAGCAAACTGAGGCAGAGAAAACAAACGTGCTGATGAGGATTTGAAACACCTAAGCTGCAGAAACCCACTAGGTGGTTTCCTAGGTTCCGAGTTGGCATTATCTTTCAGAACGATCTTCTAGAAGAGATCACATAACACTGTTACAAAGGATCTGGAGAAAGGGACCCTGGCTTCATCACTCTGGCTCTCCAGTCATGCTTTACATTTTCACTTCTTACACTCTCTTTCATAGGAAGTCAATTTACAGGCCTCCATCAAGCCCTTAGAGACCTTTTTGTACTATCCATGACAAGTTCTTGATGTTATGTCTGCACTTCTGACAAATTCTTAGCAGTTAACTTACAAGGCAGTTAAGATTTTTGTTCAAGCACAATATAGCTAGAATAGGCTCATACGTTCAATAAAACAAATATTTACCAAGCATTTATTGAGTGGAAGATAAAAAGCACAAAGCATAATTATATTCTCCCCTGCCACCATAAAAAAATTTTTTAAAGCCTTATAGAATAAGGCATAACATGACCAAAGCAAAAATAGTGAGGACTAAAGAGGGGAGGAAGGGGAAATATCAGCATGAATTAAATATGACCCAGAAGAGCCTTGATGGTCAGACACGTAAAGACAAATTGGGTAGGGTTAGGGGGTGGCTGTCAGGGGCACATTCTACAGGGGAAAAATAGATGATACAGAAGCCTGAAAGGAAAAGCGGGCAGAGCACCTGGACAGGACTCTTACCTGCCGCATCCAGGGTACAATGCGCCTTTCCAGAACACAGCAGCGACCCGGGGTAGAGGGATCGCTCAAACAGCACCAGAGGCTGCATTCCAACTTTTCCTCCATCAACGAGTCCGTTTTCATTGTTAGTTTCTCCTTAAACACGATTGGCTGAACATGCGGGAACAAGGAAAACCTGACTGAAGAACGAGGCATTTAAGCTTAAGGGCCTTGGATCCGGGCGCGGTGGCTCAGGCCTGTAATCCCAGAACTTTGGGAGGCAGAGATGGGTCATTTGAGGTCAGGAGTTTGAGACCAGCCTGGCCACCATGGTGAAACCCACTCTCTACTAAACAACACAAAAGTTAGCCTTCCTCTTCTGCTTTTCCCAGCAGGAAAGGCCCAGCCTCACCTATGCAACCTGCAGCCCCCCGCCAACCAGTTGAGGCTCCCCTCTTAGACTTATATGTCTATGGCCAGTGCCATCTGGCTACCTGCCCTCCCTGCCTTCCCTAGGGTCCCTCAGAGGACCCTGGGTTTTCTGATGGCCCAGAGGGGCCTCTGGCGACCACTCCAGCCAGCCATCCCTTATAGCTCCACCATTTTGGTTCAGGCAGTGTTCCTTCTCTATCAGGCCTGGTGGCTGTTGGATGGGGCTCTCCAAGCAAGAGGTGGCCCTGGGCCAGTGGGTTGGAAGACATGGGGACCACAGAAGAGGGAAGCCCGAGGGAGCTGGCATTGGTCTGAACTGTGGGTGGATGGGTGGATTGCCTGGGTTCCATGAGACAGGCCAGCGTGTGTGGGGTAGGGAGGGCCGCCGCAGTCCCCAGGCACTACCTATGAAGCTCCAGCTTCTCCCTCCATCTCCCTCCCCTTTTCCTTCCAGCCCCTCTTTTCCAGGAACCTTGCCACGCCCACACGTACGCCCTCCCCTCCCCGGCCCTCCACAGCTGCTGCAGCGCACCCATACTCTGCACTTGCCTCACCAGCTCTGGCTTTTCTCTAACCCGTTTTCTCTCTGCTTTCTCTCCAACTGCCAGCTGATCGGGTCAGGCAAGTCCATCCCATCCAGGGAGCCCCAGGCCCCACTTCGACGTCTAAACAGATCCCTCTTCCCAGAGACCTCCCTTTCCAAGCCTGCCTGGGCGGGTGTCCTGTGACTTGACAGTGGCTCCCCCAGCCCCAAAGCCAGCCCCCTTCATCTGTGACTTAGTCTGTTGTAGTGGTGAGCTGACACGTCCAGGTGTGACCGTTGCTGAAAACTTGTGCCTCCTCTGTGGTATGCCCCTGCCCTGTTCTATAGCTATAAATTCTCACACACACATACACAAACACACACACACACACACACACACACACATATATACATATATACACGTGGCCAACTGCCTCACCTCTAGCACTGGGAATCAGTCCCCGTGCTGTGCTTGTGGAGTCTTGTAGCCCAGCAAGAGGAAGCTGTCTCCTGACATCGCCCCTCCAAAGTGCACCACCTCCAGTGAGCTTCCGGGACATGCGCGGCCTGTGGAGAGCCAGCCCCCGCCATCCCTCCCGCCCTTCTGGCCAAGCATGGCGGTGCTGTGCAGGCAGCTGTGTGGCCTGACAGTCTCTACCAGTCCTGCTGTCCCTCGGCTGAGAAACCCATTTCTGGATGACAGAGAATGTGTCCTCTGCTGGCTGTGTTCTCTATGGAGCTCAGGGGATGGAAAAGGCCAAGCCATTTTTAGGGTGTTGTTGGGAACAGTGAAAAGGTCACACCCTTTTCAAGGGACACTTTTCCTGGAAAGTCCCTGGAGCTCAGCTGGCTCTTATCCTGTGAAGCCGGCTCTGGCCACTAGGGGACAGGGCCCTGAACTCAGCCTGGAAGGAGCCTGTGGGGCAGCCGGCACTCTGGAGGGACAGACAGGCCACCTGGTGCAGACAGGAACGGGAGGAGGGGGATGGAACGGAAGACACCTGGGGTGGATGGAAGTCAGTGCCCTTGGGCACTGGTATCTGTCTTCCCTGCCACAGCTAGATCAGGCTTCTCAACCTGTTGACTGTCAGGGCCGGACTGTACTCCGTAGGTGCCATGGCAGTCCCCGTGAAATCCACCAGGTGTCACCAGGCAGCATACAGGTAACAGGCCTGGAAGATTCCCCACAGCCCAGCTGGACATGCTGAAACACTCTGGGGCTCCTCGTTGAGTGGGACAAACTGCAGGACCCAGTGAGGGAAACGGGAACATAACAGGCCGAGCAGTATGGCTAAATCCATTTATTCCAAAATCAAAAGCAAAACAACAACAAACCAAAAACAGGAGTCCCATCACCAGGGAGCCATGACCCCATCCCCGCCTCCTTCCTCGCTCCTATGCTAGCAATAAATAAGTTTCCCAGCCGCGAATAATTATAAGAACCTCTTCCTCATATGCCAGCTGCAACCTCCGCTAGGTACGATACAGAATGTTACACAGCTACAGTATGTACACGGGGGAAGGGGGGCCACCCCCAGCAGCCTGTGCCCTGGCCTGGTCTACAGTTAACTCCACTGTCCCGCCTCAGCTGCCTCTCTGAGTAAGAAGATGGGAGCCCCCCTGAGGGAAAAGTTGCTTTGGTGAGAGTAAGAAGGCCGTCAGACCTCCTCCAAACAAACCAACTCCACCAACCTCTGGCTCTTAAATAACAAACATCATCATCCAGAAATGTAAGGACTCAGCCTTGGTCAAGGTGGTAAAGGGTCTGTTTGTCTCCCTCCATTAGACAAGGGTCTTGTCTTGCTACCCTAATGGTAAAGGGCTGACTGGGGAGGGGTTGTAGGGACATGGTGGGGGTGAAGACTCCAGACCCACTTCTCCAGGCTTATGCTGACAGGGGCCTGCTTTTATTTATTTTTATTTTTATCCCATGACTTTTTTTAAATCCTGTAACTAATTTTTCATAACTTTTTAAAATAACTTTTCATAAAACTTTTTTTTTACTTTTTTTCCACAACTTTTTTTTGCCACTTTTCCACAGTATTTTTTTATCCTGTAACTTTTTCATCCCACAACTTTAATTTCTGTTAACTTTTTTAGTTTGTGTTCTTTTAATAAACACACTTACATAGTTACAATTTTGTAAGAATAAAAACCGATTACCTCATGCCAAGCATGCCGAGAATTTGCAGAGTCTCAATACCCAATACTATAGTTTTCAAGACACACAAAATTTTTAGGCAAAACAGCACCTTGAAACAATTTAATAATGTATTACATTACAGTAGCATCACAGAAGCAGTCAATAATGCCACTTTAGACAAAAATCAGTATTTCCATTATGCATTCTGTGTATAAGAATTCATAAATCGGTAAAAGTCATTCTAAGAAAACTTGGCAAATACAGCTTTGGACTGGAATTGGCATTTCTTTGTCTACTTTTCCTTCCCCTAGATTCTTTGTTTTAAACTACAGTATTCATATTTTAAAATGTTTTAAATTATTTTAAGACGTTAATATAGCAGTTACATTTTTGAATAGTTATTTGAAAGTGACTGTAAGATAAAGTTTTAGAGAATCTATTATGGATAGGGTTGATTTACATTTTCACATTTTCTAAAAATCAGCTTTGGTTTTAGAACTGATTGTTTTTCATTTTGGGAAAACCTACCAGGTTTAATCAATTACTTTAAAAATAATTATCATATTTTGCAGTCTTTAAATAGGTGTTTTGATTCTTTACTCCCTAGAGAAATTCAAATTTATTCAGTTGAAGTCACATTTTAAAATTCTATGTTCCTGCTGAACTCTAACCTTCTAATGTTGCCTTCTAAGCAAATTAAAGGCTGCCTTATACTGAATGAGGTAGAGAACAAATACTTGGCTGAATGAGGTACTGCAAAAGACTGCATGCACTTTGAAGAAAGACTTGAGTTATTGTCATAGGATTTCCATTCTCTTTAGCTTTTTCTTAAACATATGACAAAATACCTACACAAAGAGTCGTATTTGAATTAATATAGTATATTTATTTTTCAGACTGACATTCATCTTAAATATGCCAGTATGTGATTTAATCCACAGGTACCTGATGAACACATTATTGTCAGATTGGTTACAGTTGCTAAACGCTATCTGAAGGTCATTCCTATTCATTTATACGTGTCAGGGTAAAAGTGAAGCGATTTGAACTATAAAAATACCTTTGAAATAATTTATCAATGTATTAGATAAGCTCAGTTTCAGAATGATAAACAAAAACTGTTAGACCAAATAACGTGGCTAATTAACAGTGGTACGATTTCTAGCCCGAGGGTTTAAAATGGAGTTAAAGTAAGTGTCTTTAAACTGAACTCAAAGAATGCAAAAGCGGCAAGTTCAGACAAGGCAAGAACAGGACCTTTAGTCCATTTTAAGCCATAAATATTACACAAAATATGCCTCTAACTGAAACTGAGAGGTATAAAAACATATTTCACTCTTCGTAAAGAACTTTGTGAGGAAATATAACTCTGTGATTGTATAGACACTTTCCTCATGACACTTTGACAGTCACAAACAGTAGATTGCGCTGCAGTTTGTAAACATTTTACGTTGCATAAACTGCTCCTTGATTTTCAAATGTAGTATAATACTGTCTACTAAAACTCCTTTTTGTTTCAACTAAGTACTCTCACATATATTAGTTTATAATAATGTTTGTTATTATTTTTAAAGTGTTCTCCATTCAAGGAAAAGAAGTAAATTCCTATGTCAGATGGTTGAAGACTAGCTATTAGCCAGAGAGGTCTAGATGGTAAAATCCATCTTCTAGCCTCAAATAAGCTCCATGAACACAGAGGAATGCCAGGTGTCACACAGCTTTCCTTCACTCGAATTCATTCTTGACTAGAGCCTGTATATGCCTGTTCCAGGGGCATTTAAACTCTTAAAGGATTTCTTCTGATCTTTACTAAATACATTAAGGAGAACGCCAACCAGTGCCCTTTTGTGTACTGGGACATGTAGTCATGTGATTAAAACAGGGAACATGAACGCTGACTTTAAAATGTATTGTAGATATAAATGCTCTCAGCTAGAAAAGGTTTTCCACATCCACAGTCATGATGGGAGCCTTTCATTCCTCAGAAATAATCCCTTTTCAGGTCATCAAAAAAGAGTACAACTGCCACAGCTCATGAGGCAGTATCTTCATGAGCCCAGAGCACATACAAATCCTAAGGGAACTACCGTAGTACAGCGCTCATTCTTGGCACCGGAACAAATGAAACATATTCTATCCTGCACACACCTGCCAAAGCAGGCCACTTTCCTCTTCTGGGAGATTTAAAAACCTCCCCAAAATGTTATTACTCCCATCCCCAATACACAGAAAAAGGGGGAAAGGCTGTTTCCAGTGCTCCACCTTTAAACAACTGTAAATGTCAGTACTCACAGTGGCATATTACAAAGTAATAGACCGCGCACTTGAGGGCAAACTGCATATTGAGCTAATGAAGAGCTCACTGTGATTAGGATTCGATCAAACATAACAGCAGAACATAAGGAAATTTTATCTGAATTCCGTAATGAATATACAGGCTGTACTAACATTCAAAAAGCATGGCAGCCTATCCCAAACCAGCAAGAACAGTTGTGTGCATACAGTGGGTCTTTGTGTGTTTGAACTCCCACCACATAAGGGCAAACTCGATATGCATGCTAACGTCCTATAATTATCAAATTAAAAAAATGCTAAAAGATGCCAGAGTGAACATGAGAGAAACACCCACTCTCATTTAACTTTTTACAAATAAATTTAAATTATAAATTAGAAACACAAATAAATTTAAACTATAAATTAGAAACACAAATAAATTTAAACTATAAATTAGAAACACAAATAAATTTAAACTATAAATTAGAAACACAAATAAACATAAGTGGCTCTAACATTCAAATGAAGTAAATGAATTGTGTAGGATATTAACCCCTTAAATGTTTTGTTTTTTTTTTTCAATTCCTTGACCCGCTCTTAGATGATGGTGATGTTTAGCTCCCTGTTCTCCGCAGCCCGAAAAGAATGGCATGCAGCCTCTCCTGCTCCTCCTGCCGCCTCTCCTGTACCAACAGCTTCTCCACTCAAGCCTGGGTGCTCCTGGGGAGTCCTGCATTAGAGGAAGCAGCTGCTGGATCTGCTGTGCAGTGGGGTTGTCATGGGGGAGAACCCTCCCTGTCCTCTCCCGGTGCAGCCTCCATGCTATCAGTGAGGCTCAGCCCACTAAGATCTTCAGAGAGAGGGAGGGGGGTGGGAATCTGGGCACAGTGCGAGCCTCCCCTGCTCCTGCCTGCCCACCCCGCCTGAGGGCTCTACTCACCACCCTGCTTGTCCGCACATCCAAGCTCCTTGTGGGACTGGGGCTCCAGCTACTGGTCTGGCTGCTGCTGCAGACTCGGAGCCTCTTGGCTCTTCAGCTCCACCTGCCGGAAGACCCTGGGCATGAGGACATGTGGTGGCTGGCTTCCAGATTCCTGGCCCATTAATAGGGTAGCGAGGACACTGTGGGGCTCTGTGGCCTGCCCAGGCCCCTGGCCCCTTGCTCCAGGCCTAAGAGACTGTCTCCCTTGCCTAGAACCCCATGCCTCCTTCCCTAGCATCAAATCTCACGCCCTTTTTCCCAGCATTTAAACTGTAGGCCACAGACTGGTGGAAAAGCAGGCGGAGCCAACCACCATCTGCTAAGTGTGCTACATGCCTAATGTTTCCACGTATTATCTCATTTAATCCTCAGCACCTCTGCAAGGAAAAGGCTAACTTCCTTTTGAAGTTAAAGAAACAGAGACTTAGAGATGCAAAGTAGTTGAATTATGACCAGTGGAACCGAGGCCGGAATCCAGTTTGAATCTAAGGAGTCTTTTTTGTTTGTCTGTTTTGTTTTGTTTTGAGAGAGTGTCACTCTGTGTCCCAGGCTGCAGTGCAGTGGTGCAATCTCAGCTCACTGCAACCTTCATCTCCCGGGCTCAAGTGATTCTCGTGTCTCAGCCTCCTGAGTAGCTGGGATTACAGGCATGCACCACCAGGCCCGGCTAATTATTATTATTTTTTTTAATTTTAGTAGAGATGAGCTTTCACCATGTTGGCCATGTTGGTCTCAAACTCCTGACCTCAAGTGATTGTCCTGCCTCAGCCTCCCAAAGTGCTGGGATTGCAGGCGTGAGCCACCACACCCGACATAAGGAGCCTCTTATACCACTGTCTCTTCCTCTGTGATTGGGGGGCTCCATGCCTCTAGCTGGGATGATGATGTCCAGACCTGGGAGGACCCCAGGGCTACCCACCTCTAAAAGTCAGAGGGCAGGAAGCAAGAAACAGTCATAGGACTGCCCCGGAGGGTGCTGGGGTCACCTGTCCCCAGGCTGCAGCTGCCTGTGGCCTGGCACCTCCCCTCCCCAGAGGCTGGTGCCCGCCTCCCACATCTTCTTGGATGGGTCGGAGGTTACAGTCTCTTTCAGCTCACCCGACTTCTTCAGCTCCTTTACTTGCTGCTCCAACTGCAGTGTGCTCTTGTTCTCGTTGTTCTGGACAGAGAGAAGCAATCAGTGGCCACCCACTAAAACTGGAGACCCCAGAACTTAGTGTCTGCCTCCCATGGCACCGGGAAGGGTGGAGGCAGGTTAGAAAAATATCCCCTCTCTCCCACAGCCATCAGAGCAGGGCTCTGGCTCACAGATGCCTTTAGAAGTACCATTTCATGTGAAGGCTACAATGCCCCATTTTACAGGTGGGGAAACAAAGGCCTTGAGGGCTAGGGAAGAGGGCAGCCTCCCCAGGTGGGGCAACGCACCAGCTCCTCGAAGCCGCTGCGTGGCTCGGCCCGCTGCTCGTACAGGGCTTCCCACCCCAGCTCCAGCATCCTCTCCAGCTCCCGCAGCCTCTCCAGCTCCCGCAGCCTCTCCAGCTCCTGCAGAGTCTCCTGCTGCCACAGCCTCTCATCCTGTTGCCGAAGCCTCTCCTGCTCCAGGAGCTCCTCCACCTCATCCAGGAGCTCCTCCACCTCGTCCAGCAGCCTCTCCCTCTCCAGCAGCCTCTCCTGCTCCTCCTGCCGCCTCTCCTGTTCTAACAGCTTCTCCACCTCTTCCAGCAGCCTCTCCCTCTCCAGCAGCCTCTCCTGCTCCTCCTGCTGCCTCTCCTGTTCTAACAGCTTCTCCACCTCTTCCAGCAGCCTCTCCCTCTCCAGCAGCCTCTCCTGCTCCTCCTGCCGCCTCTCCTGTTCTAACAGCTTCTCCACCTCTTCCAGCAGCCTCTCCTGCCCTGGCAGCTTCTCCTGTTCACACAGCCTCTCCTCCTGTTCACGTAGCCTCTCCTCCTGTTCACACAGCCTCTCCTCCTGTTCACGTAGCCTCTCCTCCTGTTCACACAGCCTCTCCTCCTGTTCACGTAGCCTCTCCTCCTGTTCATGTAGCCTCTCCTCCTGTTCACGTAGCCTCTCCTCCTGTTCACATAGCCTCTCCTCCTGTTCACACAGCCTCTCCTCATGTTCACGTAGCCTCTCCTCCTGTTCACACAGCCTCTCCTCCTGTTCACGTAGCCTCTCCTCCTGTTCATGTAGCCTATCCTCCTGTTCACGTAGCCTCTCCTCCTGTTCACGTAGCCTCTCCTCCTGTTCACGTAGCCTCTCCTCCTGTCTCCTGTTCAGGAGACTCAACATCTGATTGTTTTCCACCTCAGCCTGGAGCTGTCTTCCCACACTCTCTAGCTCCTTCCTTAGGTGGTTGGTCTCATCTTGTAGCTGCTCTACCTTAGATGGCCCTGCTGGGGGCTCTGGGGCCAGGGGTTCAGCTGAGAAAGGAAGCAGACAATAAGGGCCTCTGGATTCTCAAAAAAAAAAAAAAAATCCTCCCTTCGGTGCACAGCTCCTCCTCTCAGGCTTCCCAAACTTGGCCTCACTGCTAATGACTCCTCACACCCGGATGGTAGCCAGTCTTCCAAGTCACTTTCAGATAGAGAGCACTGTGGGTGGTTGACAATGGGCACTCCTCCCTCTTTACTGATGGGGACACTGAGGCTCATGGAGATGACAAGACTTGTCCTCCCCTGGCACAGACCTCTTTCCCTCTGCCTCAAAGCCCTTCCATCCACCCACCTCCCTGGGGCATTCTAAGTCACCCCCACAGCCCTCTAATGCCAGTCCAGCTGCCAGGTCATGCCAGCCCCATCTTACCCGTCTGGTTTTTGAGTTTGAACAAGCTCCTCCCAAGCTTCTGTACCAGATGTATCTCATGCTTCTTCTCCTCCTTAGATGTGCGAACCTGCCCAAAGCAAAGGGGGAAAAGGGCCCTGGAGGGAGGGGCTGGTGAACCTCCAGAGACAGAGTTTGAGAAGGGCCCACCCCCCTTCTGCCAGTTTGTGATTTAGAAACGTGCATTCATTCAATAAACATTTACTGAGCATGTACAGGCCAGGTACAGTTCTTCATAGCAGAGATATAAAACAGCAAAGGACAGACAGGAGCCCTTGGCCCTGAGGTTTCCATTCTAGGGGCCTTTAAATCTCTGACTTTCAGAGCTAACCGAGACCTTTGATACTCTCTACCTCCTCCAGAAACACGAGCATAAAGAGGAGAGATGGCTTGTCCAGACTCAAAAAGCAAATTAGGGACTGAGGCAGGGCAGAAATATGGACCCCTGACAACCAGTCAGGCTAGTGCTTCCCAGAGAGGTGACAACCCCAGGGCATGTGTGGCAAGGACTAGAGCAGGGGTGTCTGGAGAAGAGAGAGTCAGCAAAGAGGGCAGTGCAGAAGACCCATGCTGCATGTTCTGTGCTCTGGGGTCCCTCCAGGTGAGACCTGGGTGCCCAGCTCCCCATTTGCCCTTGGCATCAGGGGCCCCTAGCTCCTTTCTTCAGGGCCCCAAGAGGAAACTGGAGTCCAGGATTGACCAGCTGTAATCAGGGGACCCCACTGGACTCTTACCAGTGAATTGATGTTTTCAGTGAGTTGACTGATTATTGCGGAGCTTGAATCCAGGGCCACTGCTAGTTCTTGGTACTGGCTCTGAGGTGCATGCAGAGAGAAGGAGTTGGAGGAAGATTGTGGGGAGGGGTAGAGAGAATAATCATTAGGGCTGGTGGGGGTGTGTGGGCTGCCTCAGCTGGCAGAGGGGCAACAAGCCCCTGCTGTGGGAGGAGGTTGGAGGGCTGGCCTGCAGGGTCACTGCACCTCGGCCCAGGGCCTCTTACCTCCAGATCCTCCAGGGTAGTAGAGGATGCACGGCCCTCCCCGTAGATACCTGTTGCTGACTGCAAGAGATGAGAGTGCACATGGAGATGTTCTGTCCCCCCTCACTGTCTAAGCCCTCTGACTTCCTTTCTTCCCCCATCAACTGGCAAAAGCTTCTTTTCTGCCTATCTTGGACCCTTTTTCCCATAACTCCTTTGTGCCAACTTCTCTCGTGGTTCTTATCTCCCCACCATCCCACCCTGGGGCCCTTTCAGTGACTCCTAAAGGGACAGCCTGATGGCAAGTGGCTCTTCTCATTGGCCTGGCTTCCCCTTGAGACTGGGGATGAGGAAAATCAAACAGCAACGACCATTTCCTCGGTGTCCTGGGTGTTTGCAGCAGGCCATGTACTAAGGATTCACATAAAAGCAACAATAACGAATCTCATTTAAACTTCACAAATGGAAGTCAAAAAATACCACCTCTATTATACAGATGTGAAAAGAGAGGCCCAAAGACCTCAAGCAACTTGCCCTAAATCATATGCTAATCAATCCCTAATCAATTCTTAGCAGATGGAGAGGCAGGATTCAAATCCAGAATTCTTAACCAGTACCCAACAGTCCATCTACAATCTTAACAATTACCCTCTACTGCCCCTTGGGCCCCCTGTCCCCAGGACCCTGGCCCGCCGAGACTCACATCCCCAGGTGAGTGGTAACCACCAGAAGTGGCTGTGTCAGGGCTACTGCCATTGATTTTCTTTTTCCTGTTAGCTCCTGCTGGAATGCCAGGGCTCTTCCTCTGCCAATATGCTTTTAACTGTGGGAAAGAAGAGCGGTAACACTCATGAGAATGATCAGCCCCTACAGCCACATCCTCCTTTACAGTTTTGACAAAATACCCTTATATACCATCTGATGTAATGCCACCAACAACTGTACAAGGTGTTGTCACAATCACTTAGTGACTGAGAGGGATTGATATCATGGATAGAAAAAAAAAAAAAAGAAAGATCAAAAAAGGCAATACTGGAACTTAAACTCAGTCCTCTGACTCCAAGCTCTGGGGTTTTGCCATGAATCAGCAGCTTCCAGGGACCAAAACCAGGGGCAGAGGTAGAAAAGTAAACATTAAGCAGGCAGGAACTGTAGGCCGTGTGGTTTAGAGTCATACATCCTCACAGGTCTGCTAGCGTGAAGAAGCGTACCAGTACCTCTCACACTTTCATATCAATGTGTCCTCATGGCAGAAGGCAGCTTTTCTATTAAATCTGGGAATTTATCAGAAAGAGGACAACCCAAGCCTCATTTCAGAGCGAAGTCTGGTATACGCTTGGAAACCTATGTGTCTGTCATCCCTAAGTACATTAATGCATTTTCTCAAGAGAATCAAGGGAAAATGATGCTTCAGAAAGATGTCCCACATTTATCCTGTGGCACTCAAAGTACCCCAGGTTGAGACGATATGAGGAAGATTCAAGCTGTCAAGTTCAGTTTCCCAAGATCTATTCCACAGAAGATGAGCAAATCTCACTTCAGAGGCCACTGACTGAAGGGCAGTCTGGTCCCAGAACCGTGGAGAACTCAGAAAAAAATGTTAAAGTCTCTCTGGAAAGTAGAAGCCTGGGAAAAAACCAAACCAAACCCATTCTCCCATTGCCACCCAGAGATACTGTGAACATTTTGAGCTCACAGGGGAAGTGTAGGCTTTTCCCACTGTCAATGTCTATGTTAAGGGAGTAAGGCAGCCTGAAACCTCTTGCTCCTAGGTCCCATAGTCTCCACTCCCCTTCCAGCTGGAAATTTGTGCTGCAACCAGAGGAACCAGAAATGGGGTGAGAAAACTTAGGGGACTGGGTTGTAAGATCAAAGGCCGGTCTTGCAGCAGTAATGACAGTTCCTAGGGGCACTGTGACATCATTGCATTCCACTCCTCCCAGGGGAGGGGACCACATCAGCGCGATGCCCGAGTCGCTGCTCCACGATGGGGGAGGGAAACACACGGTTTCGACCCAGGTCCTCAGAGACGCCAGCCCAAGAAGCCTAGGGAGGTCGAGCTTGGGGCAGCAGGAGGGGAGGGCAGAGTCTGCAGTAGGGAGCCCCGGGAGTCACCAGCCCAAAGCCACCCAGGGATGACTGGTGAGGGCAGGGCCTGGGGCTGGGGGACCCAGGTCCTGGGAGACGCAAGCCCAAAGAGCCCAGGGAGGTTGGGCTTGGGGTGGCAGGAGGTGAGGGCTGATTATGGAGCAGGGAGCCCCAGGAGTCACCTGCCCAAAGTCACCCTGGGGTGATTGGCAAGGGCAGGGACTGGGCTGCTTGCTGAAGGGGTGGGGCTGACTGACTAGGCTTTGGTTGGGGGAGCCCAGAGGGGCTGGGGTTGGGGGGCCCCATCTGGTATGCCTCAGGAGTGGTATGGACTCTGGCACAGGTCTTGTCATCGGAGGGGATCTGTGGCTGGGTTGGGG
The DNA here is from genome assembly GCF_000001405.40 of Homo sapiens. Taxonomy (NCBI): domain Eukaryota; kingdom Metazoa; phylum Chordata; class Mammalia; order Primates; family Hominidae; genus Homo; species Homo sapiens. Next base: position 84,235,940 of record NC_000015.10, on the reverse strand, counting down.
GCCATGACCTGGTGTGTTTTACCTTTTTCTTGGCTGCGGCCAATTTCCCCTGTTGTGTTTTTTCTGACATCGCGGGGTGGGGAGGGAAGCGGGGTTGGGGCCACATCAGCGAAATACCAGTGAGCACTGCTCAATGCCTCCAGTCACCTACCAGGCAGCTGTGCAACTGAGCCACAGGTGGCGTAACCAGGGCACCAATGGAACGCAGAATAGGGGCGCGGCCTTAAGGCTCCAAGCCCATTGGTCAGTGAGAAAGATGAAAGGGAAAGGAGGCGTGGCCAGGCAGCAGCATGTCCAGAGGGACCTGTGGCATCATAAGGAAAGCTGCCCATGCAACCGCTGTCCCCGCCCACTCAGAGAAAGGGGAGGGGCCGCCCACTCTGGGAGAGGGGAAGGGCTGGGTTTTGCTTTAAAACTTTTAAAACTGTAAAAAATAAACTTTAAAAAATATATGTGTATATACTTTATATATATGTGTGTCTGTGTGTGTGTATCTATGTGTTCCTCCAGAGCTGTCTTCATTATGCAGCTTCTGTGCAAAGTCTGTGATTTTGGCCTATATTTTTCATCTTCAAATGGAGTACAAGAATTACCAGTATTACCTTAACTGAGATATAGATCCTATAAAAATGGAAAATCCATAGCATGCTTGATGATTAATGAAGCCGACTATAGTATCCGACATTCCAATAAGACAAAATAATCACAACAATTTCTCTTTTTTGGAAAAATGTTTGTCTTACTCTCCTACATTATTGTTAAGATTTCTTTTAAAAACAAGAAACATGTCTAATATCTTTAAAAACACAAAGCTTTTGGGCCGGGTGCAGTGGCTCACGCCTGTAATGCCATCACTTTGGGAGGCCGAGGTGGGTGGATTGCCTGAGGTCAGGAGTTCGAGACCAGCCTGGCCAACATGATGAAACCCTGTCTCTACTAAAAATACAAAAACTAGCCAGGCGTGGTTGCGGGTGCCTGTAATCCCAGCTATTTGGGAGGCTGAGGCAGGAGAATCACTGGAACCCAGGAGATGGAGGTTGCAGTGAGCCAAGCTCACGCCACTGCACTCCAGCCTGGGCGACAGAGCAAGACTCCATCTCAAAAGAAATAAAATAAAATACAAAATAAGTAAGAACACAAAGCTTTCAATTTAATAACCACTTAAAGCTCTTTACTGGTTTAAGAGAATTACAAGGCCCATTTTTCTAGAATCACCTGGCCTCTCTAAGCCTTGCAAATGAAGCTGAATTTCTCACTTGATACTTGGCTCTCACTTGCAGTCATGAAAACCAAGAATTTGTTATGTCACTGTGTATTGCTTGTTACCTGAAATCCACACTAGGCTGGGATCAAGGGTTGAATCTTTCATGATTTTCTCCATAACCTGTGTGCTTCTTATCCCACACCAAACTAAGCTTTTTTTCTAGAGCTCTGCAACTTACAGTTAGTATATGAGAGCAGTTCTCAAAAATGTAGTCTCTGGACTAGCAGCTCCAGCAGCACCTGGGAACTTCTTATAAATACACATCCTCCGGCCCCACCCTGGACCTGATGAATCAGAAACTCTGGAGTAGGGCTCAGCAATCTGTGCTGCAGTAATCCCTCCAGGTGTTCAAGAACCTCTGGCATACAGCAGGTAGAAAAATGTGTTTCCTTCTGTAGGTCCAAAACCAGGGATACTATATGTTTTCTCTATATGAAACAATGACGTGCAATTAAAAGACATAAATCTCCTTCCTGCTCCCACCTTCCAGCCAATGTGTTTTATTTTTATGAGTTAAATAAGAAAACAATCAGAGATTTCGTCTAAATCGCATATTTACAGGTATCAGTTCTCATCCAGCCTGATCTTATCCAATATCATTTATATTCTCTTACATGTGAAGTTTTAGAGAAGGATCTTCACAATGTAAGACTCAGGCACACTAGCAGTTCTGTAATAAAACACCAAGTAGATCAGAATGTCCAAACTTACTGGAGAAGAAAAGTGGAATCATTGGCTATATTTTCAAATTGCAATAAACAGGATATTAAAGTTTTGAATTTTTTTCACCTTCATCCTTCCACGTTAATAGAATTAAGCCAAAATACTTGTCTTCCAAAGCCTCTAGCCAGGCAAAATTTTACTATATTACTTCTTGCTTTTCAATGGCTATAAAGCAGACTCCTGGTAGGCACATTTGGTATACCTGCAAAGATGAAGAACTAAACAGTTCCATCTGTTCAATACTGAAACAAAAGTCCTGCAAACCTCGGATGGTGAGTGTAATACTTCAGCACTAGCACCAAAGCCTCAAATATGAAAAGATACCAAGAACACCACTAGCAAACAAAACTAAACTCTCGGCTGGGAGCTCTAGTTCATGCCGTAATCCCAGCACTTTGGCAAGCAAAGGTGGGAGGATTACTTGAAGCCAGGAATTCAAGACCAGCCTTGGCAGCATAGTGAATTCACACCTCTACAGAAAGTTTTTAAAATTAGCTGGGTGTGGCAGCACACTTCCTGGGGCAGATGTGCCATTGCTGGAAACTTCTCTATGGAGAGTACCAAGTACTTCTACCTGTAGCATTTTCCCTGGCTGGAATCCTGCAATTATCACAGTAGCCCGAGATCCAAGAAGGCAGAGCAGGAGCATCCTGTCCCCTCCCCAGCAGGTGCAAGGGAGGCTGGGGGGTGAGGCACAAGCCCGTGGGAGGGTGAGGAGCAGGAGGGATGCATGGTGAGCCTCTGTTGACTGCTTGCTGCCTCAGCTGGAAGGTCAGGACCAAATGTCTATTACAGGTTAAATTACAGAAGTATTTCAGATTTTGGATTTTTTTCAGATTTTGGAATTCGAAAATCTGAAATCCAAAATGCTCCAATGAGCATTTCCTTTGAATCTGGCCTTCGAACATCATGTCGGCACTCAAACAGTTTTGGATTTTGAAGCATTTCAGATTTTGGATTTTCGGATGAGGGATGCTGTATTATCTTCTGAATGAGGCCACTCATTCAGGAAAGCCCAGAGCTTGGGGACGTGGAGCTGCAGACCAAAGAGGTGATTTCTGTAGTGGCTTTCAGTGCGGAAGGGCCTACAAAGTGGTTTAAAGCAAGCCACAAAATAGGAAACCCAATATTTAGCTAATGGAACTCTGATAAAACCTGCTCAAGCTGTCTGTCTCTACTAATTCAGATGGAGCCAAGCCAAAGCATCATTATTATTTTAAAAAGGCACCAATCCCTCTGCAAAAGCACTGAATTATATCATGATACAATCATCAATTGTACCATGAATCACCATCAGCGGTGGTCTTTTAGGGATATGAAGAAGGGGTTTTCACAATACATCGCATGACACACCATCTTCCAAATCTCTAAACATTTCTCTCCACAGCCCAGTCCTCTCCATAGTTGTCCAAATCCCTCCCTCTTTTCTCTTGTTGTCTCCAAAACTCAAAACCATGCTCTGACTTTCTATATCCTGCCCTCCCCTTCTTGGACCATCTGGGAAGCCCCCTGCTTCCCCAGGGTGTCCCCTCCTCCCCTTCTGGGATCAGTCATCTTTCCTCAAATGGACCAGTTCGGCCTCTCTTAGTTTCTCCAACTCTGCATCTCAACCTTTCTCCCTTCACTACACAATAATGTCCAGGAGGCAAAGAGCCCACAAACCTGGGAACCTCCCTTTCCAGAAGGGAGGTTCTGGAATGACTACAAATATTTGGTTATGATTTTCTTCCCTGCCACGCCTGTTTTCATGGGCAGTGCTGAGCCCCGGTCCTGGCAGAGCTCAGAACCAGGCTCTCATGAGCTGGGGCAAGTGGGGCCTAGGGAACCTCTGGGTTGAGGACCTTGCACCCCACTCTGCAGCTGCCCTGCTGATTTGGCTCATGCAACCTCTCCTCCTGGGCTCAAGTGATCCTTCTACATCGGTCTCCCAAGTAGCTGGGATTTGGGCTACCACGTTTGGCTAATTTTTGTATCTTTTATACAGATGGGGTTTCACCTGTAGCCCAGGCTGGTCTCGAACTCCTGGGCTCTAGTGATCTACCCTCCTCAGCCTCCCAAAGTGCTGGGATTACAGGTGTGAGCCACTGCGCCCGGCCTTGTGCCAGCTTTTAAATATCAACAAGGACAAATTAGAGAACAGTGGAAGAGGGTGAGCAGCATGATGAGGTGATACAGAAATAATTTCACATGAAGAACTGGGCATGCCTGGCTTTTTTTTTTTTTTAAGCTATTCTGGGTTGGATGCTGAGGCTCACACCTGTAAGCCTGTAATCCCAGCACTTTGGGAGGCCGAGGTGGGTGGATCACCTGAAGTCAGGAGTTTGAGACCAGCCTGGCCAACATGGTGAAACCCTGTCTCTACTAAAAATACAAAAAATTAGCTGGAATTGGTGGCATGTGCCTGTAATTCCAGCTACTCGGGCAGCTGAGGCAGGAGAATCGCTTGAACCTGGGAGGCGGAGGTTGCAGTGAGCTGATATCGTGCCATTGCACTCCAGCCTGGGCAACAAGAGTGAAACTCTGCCTCAAAAAAAAAAAAAAAAAAAAGAAAGAAAGAAAAGAAAATATATCTATGCACCAGAGCTCAACACTAGGTTAGGAGCATTTCTGAGATTTGGAGCTATTCAACCATGGAAGTTCCTGGCACATACATCAGGTATTCACAATACCCTTTCTCAGGTGTTTGGTCACTGCTAGTGAGCCTGCCTGGATCAGTGTTTCCCAAATGGCAGTCATTTGCATCTTTGCATTTTTTTGGGGGGGGGGTTGTGGGGGTATATACCATACCAGATTTTTTAAAAATTGACATTAAAAATACATGTATAAAATGTGTAAAGTGCACTAATCTAAAGTGCACTGGATGTATTTTTTATTGATGTACATACTTTTGTTATCCATCACCCAGGTCAAAATACAGAATCAGCACCACAGAGGGTTCCCTCCTCCTCCTTCCCAGCCAATAATCTTCTCCTCCTACCTAACCAACTGTTCTTACTTCAATCACTGTCAACTAGTATTTTACATTCTTGAACTGCATATAAAGTGTCTCAAGTTTCACTTAACACTTTTCTTGAAATACACTTGTTTTTTGCCACTTTTTATTTGACCTAAGAAGTAACATTAATGAAACAATGATTTGACGTGATAGGCATTTCCCTCCTAATGAGCACTAAAACACTTAACTATTTGAAAAAAGAAGTTTCTCCGTGTACCAGCTAATATATTCTCCTCGGCCGCCGTTGGTACACGGACCACATTTTGTTTCTCAAAGCAATCCGATGATTTCTGAGGTCCTTTGCAGCTTGAACACGGAACGACTGTGGTGATCGAGTAGCCAAAAGTTCACGGAATGCACTGTCACAATTGTGATTCCGCCATAGCGCCGTGCATCCATCCAACACTTGTTTAATACCTATATTTAATACCTAATACCTTAGACTGTCCTAGGCTGTGGACACAGAAGACTAAACCCCACTTCCTGAGTTGAAGTGGGGGAAATAGAGGAGTAAATCATTTCACGATGTGTGGTTAAATGCTACAGCTCAGGTAACCACGAGCACACAGAGAAAGGGCAGTTTCTAGAAACAGGGCGGAGAGGAGACCGTGAGTGGGCATTTCCCAGAGCAGTCTCTGCCAGCCACCCTGCTGTGATCACTTTGCCACAGAGCAGCCCCGGCGGTCAACCTCAGCCTCCCTTAGCAACCTGAGCGCCCCGCCCAGGTGCCTTACTATTGGTCTCGTGGAGCGGGATGGGCAGCTCTGCCGTGCAATCCCAGCTCGCAGCCCTTGCTCCGCGTGTACTCACGGGAGGACTCGCAGACGTTACTGCCCTCTTGCGTGCCCCGGCCACCCCCGGGCGGCTTGTAGCCGGTGCGCGGGGTGGCTGGGGCTACGTGCAGAGCTGTCGCGGAGCCGGAACAGCAGCGGTGAAGCCCCTCGGCTCGGCCGAGACCGCCGTGCCCATTGCTCGCCTCGGTTGCCGCCGCTTTAGCCGCAGCCGCTGCTGCCGCCGCCGGGGGAGAGGCAGCCTATTGTCTTTCTCCGCGGCGAAGGTGAGGAGCTGTCTCGGCTCGGCCCGCGGGGGAGCCCCGGGAGCCGCACGGTGAGAGCGCAACTTAGTTGGCGGAGTTGGGGGAAGTTTTGTGATTTGAGGAGGGGTCGGGGTGCGGAGCGCGGCCCGTCCCCTGCGGCCGCTCGGTGGGGCGGGCCCCAGAGGAGGGTCGGGGGCTGCGCGGGGCTTCAGGGGCGGGCGGCACGGATGGGTAGCCGGGCGGCGCGGGGACCTCAGCTTTGCGGACCCCTCCTCCCTGCGCATCACCCTTCTCCCGCATTGTCTGCTTGGGGCTCGGCGCGCCTCCCACTCCGCAGCCCAACTTGGGGGCCGTCGCCGCTTTCCGGATGGGGGGCGCGCCCGGCGGCGGATGGCCCCGAACCCTTGCCCCGGGTCCCCGGGTTGGCGCCGCTGGGGCGGACTCACTCCTCCCCTGGGGCGGGCGGCCGCGGTGTGGAGTCCGCGCCGCGAACAAGTGCTGCGGGCGCGAGGGAGCGGTTCCCCGGGGCCGACGCGGACGGTAAACCTGTCCGGCGGCGCCCGCCTGCTGGGGCCTCTCCGCTGTTTCTCGCGGGCGCGGCCCGGCTGAAACTGCGACCGTCGGAGGCGAGCGGCCCTCTGGGACCCGTGCAGCCGGTCCACCTTGCAGCTATACTTTGAGACTAAACATTTTTTTTTTTTTTTTTTGCAAAGGCAAACCGGTATGTGAAGTTGAAAAAAGCAAAAACCCTCAAATTTTCCTTCTTTCTTCTTTTTTTTTTTTTTTAAATCAAGAAAGGGGGTAGATAGGTTTGTTTTGTTTTGGAAATAGTTTTTATAGCAGAGTGATACCGTCACATTTAATGATCCTACTGTGAATTCAAGAATTCACGATGAAAGTTGGATTGAGCGGTATTTTGGTGTTCATTCTTTGCTGATACTCATTAATGAAGTTAGTTGGAGAATTTATTGCTTCAGTACAGTAAAAACCAGTGTGCCTTTTTTTTTGTTACTACTCCCCCCTCCCCGCATTGTTTTATTTTTCGAAGAAGCACTTTATTCAGTTTTTCTAAGCCACGGGATTGCCCAGATGAGGACCAACGGTGCAGTTCTTGAAAGGTCATTATTGGCAAGTTTGTGAGGGAGCTAAGATGAGTTGAGATAAACCAGTGTTACTGTTCTTGTATTCTGTCGTGGACTCTTGGGGATTTGCAGGCTGCATTAAGTACAAGTCTGGTCCAGTTTTGGGTGCACGTATTCCACTGAATTTGGTTCGTCTGGCTTATTATATGAACATGATTCTGTTTCACTTCCCCAGATGGAACTAGCTTAAATGTCTATCATTTATAGTGACAAATGATCAAAATGGCTAGAGTGTCATTTATTAACTTCAGTTGTAGTCCTTTACCTTACCTTCTGCTAAATGAAAAAGAAAAATTTGACAAATACTGTGTGCGTCAGTTTGCTCTGAGTGATTTCTCGTGCTAAGTGAGTCCTTTGGAGAAGCGTTCCTGGGCTTTTCTGGTTTGGTGGGCCTTGTGTTATAAAACCAATTTTCTTCACCTGATGAAGCTAAAGACAAATTTTCTTCAGGCACAGGCATTGCCCTTTTAAACTACAGAGCCACTTGTAGGATTCACAATACTCACTCAATGGCTTCCCTTCCTGGCAGTGTGGTTTTGTGTGTGTGTGTGATTGTGGGGAAGGAGGCTGACAGAGGTTGGAAGGGATTGTCAGGGAGGGACATCATGTAAGCAAGTACTAACAACATAACGTGACGAGGGCACCAGTTGCTTTCCTTCTGTGGGCGGTGATGGCATGTTATACTGTAGGTACTATTGTTGTAGGATTTCTCACAGTTCGTTTGCCTTGACTAAATGGTAACTGCACACATACTATACTATAAATGGACTCCTCCTCTAGTCCTTTAACTCCTTGAGGGCTGTGATAGACCTTATTTAACTTTGTACCCTCTTTGCCAGTGGTTTTAACATAGTGCAGGCACGGTATGTGTTTGAATTGGGTAAATTACTTTTACTGCCTAGTGGTAGCTGGTGTACACAGGAGAGGGCCACCAACTCTGGGGACTTGTCCAAAATGACAATTCACTTGCAGATCTCTGATGAAATTTACTTTAAAAGGACTTCTAACCTTTTTTTTAATCTGTCGGTTATTTTTTGAAAAGAAGTGGGGCTTAACTAGTGCTCTAAGGATTTTAACAAGAGATTCCGATTTAGAAATCTGTTCCCCCTTTTGGTGAAATTCTTATTTTTTTTAGAGTCAGAATCTTCACTGTTGCCCAGTTGTCTTCCTGGGACCCAAGCCGTCCTCCCACCTCAGCCTCCCACAGTACTGGAATTACAGGCGTGAGCCACCCCACCCAGCTGGTGAAATTATTAAAATTGTAGTGAAAACTCTGCCTCCATTGTGAAATTGGAAAAAAATTAGAAATTTTAGAAAAAAGTACGCCCTTTGGAGCTAGGTAGAGTTCAGATCCCCACATTTCCATTGAGTAGTTGCATAGCCTCTCAGAGCTTCAGCTTCCTACTCCTTAAGGGTTAGTAACATGCTTTGCAGTGTTGTTAGGAATCAGTGAAACTGTGTGAGATACTTAACTGCAGTATCTAACATGGAGTAGGTAGCTATTTCCTGGTAGCTGTAATGATAATAATTTTGATACGTTTTTACATGACTTAAGCATTCTGAAAAGTCTGATGCTTCTGAGTATGGAGGCTTAGCTATTTCTTTCATAAAGAAGGGGCCCTGAGACTTGTGAGTCTTATCCAAATGCGTTTCTTCAAAGGTGTCAGATGAACTGAAGGATAATGGAAACAATAGCAAATTTATCTTCTCAGTCACCTGTGAGTCTTCCTTTGAGAGTGGGACTTGCAGAGTACTTGGTAGGGTAGAGCTCTTTGTGACTATGCTATTTAGGAAATGGTGAGAGATGGATTGTTTTCAGTACATCAGTCATAAGAGGATATGAGTGAGTTCCAACTTTCCTTATTTTACCTTAGTCTTGACAAATAACAAGTATGGATTATGTCTGTATTTCTCAGACTTGTTTAAGGTAGAACTGGACTGGGTGTTAACAGTGTTAGTTCAGCAGAGACATGAGCAAATCACTCACTTCCCCTTCAAGATAACACTTTAAAGGTGCCACCATTTGCAGAAGAAAGCAGTGATTTAAAGCAGCTATACTAGCACAGTTTAGAATACTTACACTAGCTGATGGAGTAGATACATTCTAGAAATATTTACCTGTAGTGGGAGTTGAACAGTGAGAACACACGGACACAGGGAGTGGGGAACATCACACACTGGGGCCTGTTGGGGGTTGGGGGGCTAGGGGAGGGATAGCATTAGGAGAAATACCTAGTGTAGATGACGAGTTGATGGGTGCAGCAAACCACCATGGCACGTGTGTACCTATGCAACAAACCTGCACGTTCTGCACATATACCCCAGAACTTAAAGTATAATAATAAGAAAGAAAAATAAATATTTACCTGTTAAGGACATTTCTGTGTATTTTATTCCATCTTTCCAATAGTTTTCTTATGAAGAGATTATAGTTAACCTTTGAACTTAACAGATTGAGAGGGTAAACCTTTAAAAAATATATTTGGTCACACTTACAGACTGAGGGTAAAAACATTCCTGACAAAGCTAGGCGAAGACACTTGGACTTTTTTTTTTTTTTGAGACGGAGTCTCGCTCTGTCACCCAGGCTGGAGTGCAGTAGCACGATCTTGGCTCACTGCAACCTCTGCTTCCCCGGTTGAAGCGAATCTTCTGCCTCTCCCGAGTAGCTGGGACTACAGGCACACGCCACCATGCCTGACTAATTTTTGTATTTTTAGTAGAGACGGGGTTTCACCATATTGACCAGGCTGGTCTTGAACTCCTGACCTCGTGATCCACCCACCTCAGCCTCCTAAAGTGCTGGGATTACAGGCATGAGCCACTGCACCCGGCTGAAACTTGGACTTTTGATGTTTCCTTCTTTTAAAGTTAACATCTAGCACTTGAATAGACTTGGTTATTACTGATGGGGACAGGCATCCATTTGGAAGTAGCTTCCCTCTCTCTCTCTTTCCCAGGTTAGGCTGTCTTATTGCTGTAAATGGGGAGAGAAGAGAAAGCCGTGGGTGGAAGAAAGTGTTTCATGGCCTGGTGCGGTGGCTCATGCCTGTAATCCCAGCACTTTGGGAGGCCGAGGCGGGTGGATCACTTGAGTTCAGGAGTTCAAGACCAGCCTGGCCAACATGGTGAAACCCCGTTTCTACTAAAAACAGAAAAATTAGCTGGGCATGGTGGCGGGCACCTGTAATCCCAGCTACTTGGGAGGCTGAGGCAGGAGAATCACTTGAACCCAGGAGATGGAGGTTGCAGTGAGCCGAGATTGCACCACTTCACTCCAGCCTGGTCGACAGAGCGAGACCTTGTCTCAAAAAAAAAAAAAAAAGTGTCCCACTCAGTTGCCCAGGCTGAAACGCAGTGGCAGGATCACTGCTCACTGCAGCCTTGAACCAAGCGATTATCCCACCTCAGCCTCCCAAGTAGCTGGGATCACATGCATGCACCGCCATGCCTGGCTAATTTTTTTATTTTTGTAGAGACAGGGTCTCTCTATGTTGCCCAGCCTGGTCTCAAACTCCCGGGATGAAGCAATCCTCCCACCATGGTCTCCCAAAGTGTAGGGCTTACAGGCGTGAGAGCCTGCTGGGGTTTTTGATTGACATTGCATTGAAACTGGAAATCAGTTAGGAGGCAACTGACATTTTAATAATGAGCCATGAACATGGTATATCTATTTATTTAGACCTTCTTAGATTTTTCGTCAGTGTTTTGTAGTTTTTAGCAGTTGGATCTTGCTTGTATTTTGTAATCTTACACATTTATTTCATGTTTGTGGTACTGTTGTGAATGATACTTCTCAATTTCCAGTTGGTGATTGCTAGTATATAGGAAGGTGATTTTATGTTATATGCTGACCTTGGATTCTACAACCTTGCTAAACTCATTTTTAGTACTAGAAGCTTTTTTGTAGATTTTTGGAATTTTGTGCATAGACAGTAATGTCACTGGCAAATAAGGGCAGTTTAATTTCTTTGTTTTCACTTTGTATGCTTTTATTTCCTTTTTTTTTTTTGAGACGGAGTTTCTCTCTTGTTGCCCAGTAAATTAGCCCATGTAAATATTTCTGTTTGTATCTCTTGAAAGTAAAGACTCTTTTAACCATGGATGAGTGTCTTGATCAAATCAACATGGCTTGTTCATGTCGATACCATTTGCTCAGAGGGGAAAGATTAAGGGAAAAATGGGGTTGGATTTGAAATGCCAGGACCTGTCTACTGGGTTTGTGATTTGTTATTCTCTAAAGTTGTAGCTCTTAAAACAAAGAAAGGAGTGAGTTTGGCCTATTCATTAACTTTTACTCTTTAGACAGTTCAAATGTTTATTGAGTTCTTCTACAGGGCGAGCCCTGCCTTCTTCATGCTTACCAAGAAGCATTTTTACGCGGTTTCTCTAATGTTTGGGTGAACGGTACCTCACTAAGTTGTTTTTCACGCACGTGCGTGCTCGTTCCTGAAGAGTCCTGTCCAGGTGCTCTGCCCGCTTTTCCTTTCAGGCTTCTGTATCAGCTGCCGTTTCCCTATAGAACGTGCCCTGACCTCCACCCCTTAACCCTAACCAATTTGCCTTTACATGTCTGACCATCCATCAAGGCTCTTTTGGGTCATATTCAGTCCATGTTGATATTTCCCCTTCCTCCCTTCTTTAGTCCTTACTATTTTTGCTTTGGTCATGTTTTCTTACACTGTATTCTGTAAGCCTGTTTAATTTTTTTATGGTGGCAGGGGAAAATATTTTATAATTATGCTTTGTGCTTTTTATCTTCCACTCAATAAATGCTTGGTAAATATTTGTTTTATTGAATGTATGAGCCTATTCTAGCTATATTGTGCTTGAACAAAAATCTTAACTGCCTTGTAAGTTAACTGCTAAGAATTTGTCAAAAGTGCAGAGATAACATCAAGAGCTTGTCATGGATAGTACAAAAAGGTCTCTAAGGGCTTGATGGAAGTCTGTAAATTGACTTCCTATGAAAGAGAGTGTAAGAAGTGAAAAAAAGCAAAACAGAGTAGATGTTTTACTCTGTTTGCCAAGGGATTTGTGCTATTTTTTTCCTGTTTTATAAATTTGTCCTAATCTTAAATAATGAAGGGAAAAGAGCACTCTTTTTCAACCAAGGAATCCTTTTTATACTTCTTTTCTGTGAAGCCATGTTATGAAAGATTGTTATACAAACTTAAGTATAGTTTTTCCATCTTCAGTAACAGACCTGATTGCCATCTAGTTACTGGTTCTGATCACACAAGAATGCAAAGCAGCTTGTTCTAATAACTTGTGCAGGCCTATTGGGAACTAGTATATGGCTTTGAGTCCTTTTGAAGTATTTAACATAATTTGGCAATTCCATTACGCCTTTTATGGACTTCTTGGCATCTATGAACTCTTGGTAGGGAATCACTGTTTTAGAATGAAAAATGTCTCCCAGAAGTAAATTAGCCGGTAAACAAATGAAACTTCATTTTTTATATGACTTGTAGAGCATAAATTATTACTCTTTCTGCATAAGTGGCTGCTTTCTAGGCTGCTTTTAGCGAGATTGTTAGAAACAAATGATTGGTGCTGTGAGGAAGAAGCAGCACTCAGGCAAAAAAGTTTTCTCAGCAAGACAATTTGCTTCTGCAAGTATGCTGCTTGCATTAGTCATGATTGCAAGAGCACACCAAACGGGGTGGAGCAGGGGTTCTTATCCCTAATGCACTCCCTACCTCTGTGTCATTCCAACATGGGCTGGGGTAGGACTGCACAATCTTAGCTGACTCAGCTGGATATTGTGAATATTTTCTCTAATAAGAAAGGGAGGGGGAATGTGAGTTACAGATTGGGGCTGGTAGGAAGAGTTGTTTACAAGGCAGGTTACTAAGCAGGTAACTAAGCTGGTAAGTAGGGTCGAGAAGGTACAGGGAAATTGTTCTTAGGAACAGAGAACAAGGAAGTTGAACAAGTTAAACCTTTGAAGAGGAACTTACTGTACCTAACAATTCCCCCCTCTTAATTTTTGTAATTCTTCCTCTTCAAACTTTTTTAGCATGTCTTTGCTTTGCTGTTCTGCTTGGTTTTCTAGAAGGAAAAGCTTATCTGAATAGGGTGGAGGAGAGCTAAGAGAGGTTTTGGTAAGTTCTGTGTCTATGAGTCTTTGCAGTAGTCCACAAATGTATGGTATGATACAGCATCCAACAAGAATAAGCACACCTATAACGATTGCAAGAGAAGTAAATATTGAGGACATTAAGCCTTTCCATTTTCCAGACCATTTCTCCATTAAACTTGTAAAGGGATCATTTATTCCAGAATTGCTTGCTAACTCATTGGATAAGGAGGTTAGGTCCTGCAAAGCTTTTGTTACTGTTCCGTCAGGGGCTGTGTTATTAGGAATAAAAGTACATCATTGGACTCCAATCATGACACAGACACCACCTTTTTCTGCTAGCATCGTATCTAGGGCTATCCTGTTTTCCCAGACTATTTAGTTAATGGGACCTAATTGGGAGGCTGTTCCCTTAATGGCATGTCTTGTGTAGTTAACAAACCTTTGTTGGTTGTAATAAATGTAGTTTATCCGATCTACATTTTTATTTACAGTTGACCACCAAAACAGCACAGATTCAAATCCTGAAGCTGTTTGATTTCGGGCCTTAAATTTATCTGGTACCCCTCGTGGAACTCCAGTAGCATCTTTATAAACGTGGGAGTCAAAGGACCCATGAAGGTCACTTCTTCTCTTCTGATTTTCTCTTCTATTATGTTAATGGAATGCTAGGGTGAAAGGGATGGCCAGTTGGACTAGAGCACAAGTACCACTCCAGTTACTTGGCAGAGTGTCCAGTAAGGGTCCACCACAATACCACCATACGTATGCTCGAGGATGAACAAGGGCAGACTGACTGGTAAGCTCTTGGGAGAGTTTAAGTTCACCGCATCCCTTTAGGTCTTCATGAAATGCCAAGTTTTCCCCTTGTTGTGAGAGACCCGAGGTAAAAATTGGTGTCAATAGATGGAGGCTGGATGGCCCTCAGGGACTGACCTGCAGGGTGTTGGACTTTAGGGAATAGCAGAGAGAGAGCTTGGCAAGATTCATTACCCCAGGCTGTGGGGTCTTGGAGAAGAGCTACCATACAGCTCATGCCCAGTTGGCTGGAAGACCATCCGAGTGGAAAGGGGACAACCTGGGCCTCTGGCCTACTGTGCGCACAAGTGTAACAGTTGCTTTTGTTTAGAGTGCGGACAGAATATTTAATCCATTCTAACCAAGCATTTGCATCTTGGTACCCTGTCTCAGTTGCTATGGTTTGTTTCAAATTTTTAACTTCTACAATGGCTTACCTTGATTTTATCCTTGGTTGAAGGAAGAACAGCGGTTTCGTTGAGAGAGAGTGTAGAAGGAGGTGGAGGAGGTGAGAAAGTAATGAAATGCATTTCAAAGGATTCTATAAGATGTGTCCCTGCTATTTTGGCTCCTATGCCGTATAAGCGACTTAAAGTAGGTTTAGGGTTGGCAGAAGTGGGGATAAGAATAGAAATTTGCACTGGATTACATTGGTTATACTGGCAGTCAGGGGGTGGGGAATGTTTCCTTTAACAAAGCAAACATGGTTTTAGAGACTTACAACTGCCTGTTGACAAAGCCCTGATGTTCAGTTGTCCACATAATATCATTCCAGCTGTGGCAGGCCTGTTTCCCTACATTTCTTAAGGAACAAGAGTCGTAATGGGGGAGGCTTTTGTCTGAAAGGGACGGAGATACTTCTCTGAGGCTGAGAGTTGCTTTTGACTTTGGAGATCTCCACAGGATATAACAAGGCAAGCATCAAAGGTAATAGTTTGGGGTGAGCTCGACCTAGTTACATTAATAACGAGAGGACTAGCAATAGAAGGGGAAAAGAAATATAGCATAAGAGGATCAAACCCGTTTTAGCTTTAACTTGGTTGGAATTGGCCCTGAAATAGCTGTCCATGATTCTGGAGTGGGTGGTGCTCTTTTGACTCAGGTATGGTGAGTCCATTCTTTTTCAGTGGTGTGGACGGCTGTCTCAGTCATTAGAAACACTAGATAATGTCCCTCCCAGGTGGGCTTGAGCTTCCTTTCTTTCTGACCTTTGATGAGAATGTGGTCACTGTCCGGGCTGGTGGTGGTGAACTGGAAATTCAAGGGGTGGTGTATGTGCCAAGAGGCCTTTAGTCCTAAGGAAAGAGAAAGTGGAGGATAGACCAAGTATATAGTTCTTGAGAAACAGATCTTTTGTTTCGAACGAGGAATGTCAGCAGTGGAGTGTAGATAAGGCAACTCATACAGCATTTCATAAGGAGGTGAGCCGACATCTTTCCTAGGGGCAGTTTGGAATCTTCACAAGACCATGGGGAGGCATTTAGTCCATGGCAACCGAGTCTCTAGGACTAATTTGGTTAGGTGGTTTTTCAGAGTCTGATTCATTCTTTCTACTCTTCCTGATGAAGGTGGGTGCCAGGGGTTATGGTAGTCCCATGTTATATCTAGTACTTGGGCTAGTTTCTTAAGAACATGTGCAGTGAAATGAGTCCTGTTGTCTGAATCAGCATTTTCTATTAATCCAAACCTGGGTATAATATTTTCAACTAATGCCTTGAGTACATTACTAGCAGTTGCACTTGAAAAGGGAATAGCTTCTACCCAATGAGTAAGGTGATCTATCACTAATAAATATTTTAAGTGACCAATTGGGGGCATTTCGGCATAATCAATTTGGACAATTTGGAACAGCCTTAATCCTGGATTTCTCCCTCCAACAGGTGGTTTTCTGAGGATCTGCTTATTAGTCTTCTTACATACTAGGCAACTATCTGTAACTTGTCTTGCCAAAATGTAAATTCCTATACATCTGTAGACCCCGAGGACTGCATCACACTTAGCTTGAGGTCCCTAATGAGTCCCTTGATGCAGATGAAAGAGGATTTCCCTCATGAGGGGTTTGGATAACATTTCTCTTTGGTCTGGTGACACCCATTTCCCTTCTGAATTTTCTTTGGCTCCTATTTTTATTAATTTTTCCTTTTCAGCGGGAGAAAAGATGGGGACTGCAGTCGAGGGAGGAAGGCAAGGGGCTAAGTGAAAAACAGGCATTTTCAGAGGAAACGGCAGTGTGTTTGGCTATTTGATCTGCTAGGTTATTCCTTCCGCTTTGAAAAGAAAGACCTTTCTGATGTCCTGGAACATGGACAATAGCTATTCTGGCAGCTGCAGGTTATCTAATACTTGGGTGATTAATTCTTTGTGGCCCAGGTCTTGGCCTTTGCTATTAATAAGATCTCGTTCAGTCCAAATTTTTCCAAAGGTGTGAGCTGCCCCAAAGGCATACTTGGAATCAGTATAAATAGTCCGTTCTTGGTTTTGCAAGTGCTTTAAGGCTTGATTTAATGCAAACAATTCATTCACATGTTTGGGCAGACCAATTATTTGGCAGGCTTCCTGACTCTACTTCTTCAAGTGCCTCCCCATCTACTACTGAGTACCTATTACGCCTTTTTCCTTCAATTACTTGGGAAGAGCCATCTATAAAGAAGCCCTGCCCCGTTTTGTAAGGGGTCTCTCTTAAATCAGGCCTAACTTTTGTATGATCATTAAATCTAAACACTCATGCTCAGGTCTCTTTAGATTTGAATCTCCAGTCAGGAAACCTCTGGGTTAAGTGAATTATCAGTGGTTAGTGTTAAATCATCTCTTTCTAACAGGATAGCTTCATACTTTAAAATTCTCAAGTCAGTAAGCCACCTTCCTGCCTTTTAATTTAAGATGGCTCTAACCTGATGGGGCATGTTTACAACTAACTTTCCCCCAAAGGTTAGTTTTCTGCTTTCTTTAGTTAACAAGGCGGTAGCTGCAATGGATTGAAACATTCAGGCCATCCACAGGTTACTGGATCTAAAACTTTTGATAGGAGATCCATGGGTTGCTGGTGACCTCCGTGTTCTTGGGTAAGGACCCCTAAAGCTACCCCCTTATTTATGTTAACAGAAAGGTGAAATGGCTTTTCTAGGGAAGGCAAAGCTAAAACAGAGGCAGTTATAAGCAGATGTTTTAGCTCCTCAACCTGGTGGAGTTCTTCAGAAGTCCAGAGGAGAGGGTCAGGCTTTTCTTGGGTGATTTTTAGGTAGAGAGGCTTTATGACAAGGGCATATGAGTCAATCCATAAGCGGCAATATCCGGCTATCCCTAGGAATTTTCTGAGTTCTTGTTTAGTCTTAGGCAAAGGTATGGATACAATCCCTTCAACCCTCTCAGGCCCTATCCTTCGTTTGCCGTTACTTATTAAGTGTCCTAGGTATTTAACTTCAGGCTCTATGAATTGAAGCTTTCTCTTTGAAACCCATAGCCCCTCTCCTTACAAATGGTTAAGGATATGGATGGAGAAAGCAGATACCTTTTCTATAGCCTAACCGGATATTAATAAGTCATCTACGTACTGGAGCAGACATATACATTTTGGGGTATAAACTTGTTCTAACACTTGTTCTAGAATTTGACCAAAGAGATTAGGGGAATCTGTGAAGCCCGGGGGTAGAGCTGTCTATCGATACTGTTGCTGTCATCCAGAATGGGGATCTTCCCATTCGAAAGCAAAAATGTCTCAGCTGTCCTCATCCAAGGAGCATGCTCAAAAGGCATCTTTTAAACCTATTACTGTAAACCATTGATGTTCATATGGAATTTTACTGAGAATGGTTTAAGGATTAGGGACAACAGGATGGGTAGTCTAGACTGTCTGGTTGATGGCCCAGAGGTCTTATGCTAGTCGACATGACCTATCTGGTTTCTTCACAGGCAGTATTGGGGTGTTATAAGGGGACATACAGGGTTCAAGGAGCCCATCCTTGATGAGGCTTTCAATTACAGGTTTCAGGCCTATTCTGCCTTCTAAAGGAATAGGATATTGCTTTCTTCTTACTATTTCTCCAGGGGTTTTTAACTTTATATGTATAGGGGGAATTTGGAGTTTTCCCCAATTTCCTTCCCTTGCCCAAACATCAGGATGAATGTATGTTTCTTCTGCAGTGGTGAGCAGGTTTAATGAAGTGTAGAATCCTTCTGAGCCAATATGTAAACCTATACCTAATTTTAACATTAAGTTTCTTCCTAATAGATTAGTTCCTGCCTCTGAAATTAACAAAAATTCAACATTAGCTGAGCAGTTTTTACATCTAATTTCTGTTTCTTTTAAAATTTTTAGTTTGATTCCCTCTCCTTTTACCCCTGAGACTACAAGCTCCTCTGAGGACCAGGTTATATTGTGGGGGAAGGTAACAAACAGAGGAGCAGGCTGCTCCTGAGTCTACTAAAAAGGTCATAAGCTCAGATTTGGGTTCCACTTCTAAATTTATCAAGGGCTCTTGGTGGGATTCAAGGTAAAAGAGACAGAGCCCCTAACCCCCCTATTCCTCCTCAAAGGTCGTAAGTGGGACGACTTCTCTTTCTGATTTTAATTTGGGACAATACCTCTTGAAGTGGCCTACTTTCTCACAATTGAAGCATTGATTCTGTCTCTTCTATTTTTGGGTTTCTCGGCTTTGCCTCCTTATGTTCTTTATATGGCTTAGGAAGTGGGGGCCTAGGATCTTTATAGGTTTTGGCTCTCGGGAGGCTTTGTTTGGGAGTGTGTGGGTCTCTGGGTAACAGAGAGTAATACTGGTGTGTTTTATCCTTTGGGGCCCCCTGTTGGAAGGTGGATAACATAATTTTCATTTTTTCTTTTTGCTTCTCCTCATCCCTCCTTACACACACTTTCTGAGCTTCTCTAAGAAGCTCGTTCGTGGGATGGTCCTTCCAATTTCCTATCTTTTGTAATTTCCTTGTGATATCTGGCTGTTAGTAACAAAATGAAGCTTTAACATTCACTGCCTAAGAGGATCTTCTAAATCTAGGCCAGCATATTTTCTCATTTGTTCTTTCAACCTGTCTAAAAGTTCGATAGGCCCTTCATCTTTCCTTTGTTGTATGTCGAATGCTCGAGTAAGATTTTGGGTTCGGAGTACTGACTCCCGAATCCCTTTTATTATCATTTCCCTAAGTTCTTGCGTATCCTCTTCAGTGGGCTGCGTTATTATTGTCCCAGCAGGGGTCTTGGTTGGGGAATTTTTGATCCGCTGCATGAATGTTTTGGCCAGGAGGGTGTTCATGTTCCCAGGCTACCATAGCAGCTCTACAGATGATGCTTCTTTCTTCCCCTGAGAAAAGGATGCCTAGGATGGACATTAACTCAGCCCAAGTATATATAACTGTGGTCCTAGAAATTGGTTAATTCGATCTGCTATTCCACTGGAGTTGTCTAATAGTGTGGCTTGAACTCTGTTTTTAGGTTTTGGACCTCCGAGCTGGTTAAAGGAGCATTTACAAAGTGAATACCTCCTCCTCGTAGGGACACCTCTCTTCAGGGGAAGAGAGGTGGAGCTAATTCTCCCGAGGTAGAGGGGAAGGGGAAGTTCTGAATATCCCTTTTACATTGCTCTATCTCACATTGAAGTCCTTTCAGGGAAGAGTACTTAGGGTGATAGTGAGCAGGCTGTTGGGACAATTCCCAAGAGGCAGGGTTATAAAGAGGGGGAACAATGTGGGTAGGAGAAGGGTCTGGGACAACTGCCTCTGCTTGAGGGGGAGGGAGGTTAGGGGTATTGGACGGGGGAAGGTGGTGGAGGAAGTTCCATGTGTTGGTGAGCTGTCTAGGAACAGGGACCTTATCTTTCTCAGAGGAGTTAATTTCTGACTTGCTTTTCAGGATTGATTCCTGAGTCCAAATGAAACAACAATATTTTATCATTTGCTGCTTTTTCTTGTATTTAGTCCTTTCACTCTCTTTCCATATTTTAGCATAAGCCCTAGGGGACTATCAGGAGGAATGTTATTGTTGCTAGCTTTATCCTTTTTCTCCCCTGCATTACTTGAGGTATTTCCCATCTTGAAAAGGGATTGGGGTGAGGCTCAATTTCCCCTACTAGAAATTTCTTCCCAGTTACGAGAGGTTTGTATAAGGCTCAACCTCTCCTACTGGAGATTTCTCACCTTTCCTTTCCTTTCCTTTCCTTTCCTTTCCTAGAGGCTCAACCCCCCTGCTGGAGGTTTCTTGCACTTTTCTCCTTTCGCTTCATCCTTCTCTGGCTGCTTCCCTCACGGGAACGTTGGTTTCCTCTTAGCAATGGCTGTTTCAGTAGAAACCCCTGACCCAGACTCCTTTACAGAAGGGCTACCTTAAGCTGTATAAGGTGACCACAGAACTGCAGATCTGGACTGAACACTTGCTTTGCACTCAATTGTGAGTCTCAACACACACTTTCAATCTCCAAGATATCCCAACCACCAAGAAAATACTTTGTCGCTCTTGTGATGTTTCTTACATTGGTCTGTGCACATAGTTACCTGGTCACCATGGTATGTGAGGATCCTTTTCTCTTAAGTTGTTGGTCTGTTCCTTTCCAGACTGCTGAGAGTCCGGGTTTATTCATCACACTGGGTGGGTCCTGATCCCTCACCATGAGGCCACCTCAATGAGGCAGTGGGATGCTTCTCCTCACTATTGGTGACTGGAGACCCTTTTCTCAGAGGAGAATGGGAATTCCGGACGAGCCCCCAGATTGTTAGAAACAAATGATCAGGCTGGGCGCAGTGGCTCGCCCCTGTAATCCCAGCACTTTGGGAGGCCGAGGTGGGCGGATCATGAAGTCAGGAGATCGAGACCATCCTGGCTAACATGGTGAAATGCCGTCTCTACTAAAAAAAAAAAAATACAAAAAAATTAGCTGGGCGCAGTGGTGGGTGCCTGTAGTCCCGGCTACTCAGGAGGCTGAGGCAGGAGAATGGCGTGAACCTGGGAGGTGGAGCTTGCAGTGAGCTGAGATCAAGCCACTGTGCTCCACCCTGGGCAACAGAGCGAAACTCTGTCTCAAAAAAAAAAAAAAAAAAAAGAAAGAAAAAAGAAACAAATGATCAGTGCTGCAAGGAAGAACCAGCACTCAGGAAAAAAAGTTTTCTCAGCAAGACAACTTACTTCTGCAAAAGAGTGCTGTTTGCATTAGTCACGAATGCAAGAGCACACCGAGCGGGATAGAGCAGGAGTTTATATCCCTAACGCAGTCCCTACCTCTCTGTCATTCCCACATGGGCTGGAGTCGGACTACACAATCTAAGCAGACTTGATTTGCTATCGCGAATATTCTCCCTAATAAGGAAGGGAGAGGGAATGTGAGTTACAGGTTGGGACTGATGGGAAGAGTTGTTTACAAGGCAGGTAACTGAGCAGATAACTAAGCAGGTAAATAGGGGTGAGAAGGTACAGGGAAATTGTTCTTAGGAACAAAGAACAAGGAAGTTGAACAGGTTAAACCTTTGAAGAGGAACTTACTGTACCTAATAAGTTTTTTTGATTGGCTAATTAAATGTCTATTCATTATTGCCAAAAAGTGCCTACCCCAACAACAAGATACCAAATTTTAGAAAATGTTGGAGCTCTCTCTGAATCTAGGAGGAAGTGAGTAGTTTAGCTTTTATTTAGTAGTTAGGACCTTAAGTAAATCACTTTTTTTACTGTGTTTCTGTATAACATAGATAATATTTTTTGCCCTGCAAGAGAGCATATAGAGGAAAGCTCTTTGGCAGCGATACTGTGCCCTATGAATAAAAAAGTGATGGTGTCATTTGTGGCTGAATAACAGTTTATTTTGAGAATGCTTTATAACAGCTTTTCATGGGAAATAAAGCAATGCTGTTAACTTCATCTTGCATTTTTCTCATTTTTACTATGATTAAAAGGTAGTCAGCTTGTACAAAGGAAAGAAACAAGCCTTGACTCAGGAGCCTAGGACTTTTTCTTTGGTTTGCCCTCCTGGAACAGATTACCTTTCCAAATTGAATTTGTGGAGGAGCATTGGGAAATATCAGAAATGTCATATTAAGCACCTCAGTGGTACTTTTAATAGAGGAGTTATTCAGAAATTATACTAGGCAGATAGAGAGGGTAAGGAGGCCTCAGTAAGGCTTTCCCTTTTAATAGAAACAACTCCAGAAACATTTCTTTTTCTTTTCTTTTTATCTTTTTTTTGGAGACGGAATCTCGCTCTGTCACCCAGGCTGGAGTGCAGTGGTGTGATCTCAGCTCACTGCAGCCTCTGCCTCCCAGGTTCAAGTGAATCTCCTGCCTCAGCCTCCTGAGTAGCTGGGACTACAGGCTGCCAAGCTTTGATATGCAAATGCCAGCGCTTAGAAACTGTGTCCATTCAACATGGAGATTCCCACCCTCTTCTTCTAGTCACCACCTCAAGGTGACACCTCCAGATGACCCCATGTGTGCAGGACAACATGGTGACCTACATTTGCATATTAAAAGGCTAGGGTGGGAGGGCCACGTTTTTCTCGGGCTACATGAATGACCTGCCTGGTCAAACCAATGCCCTGGGCCCTGTGCAAATCAGACACCACCTCCTCCAGCCTCCCAATATAACCGAGTACTGTTCTGCCACACACGGGGCTTTTTCTCTGTTCAGACCCCCTTTTTCTGTACCGCAGGGAGCCTTTCTTCTTTCTTGTCTATTAAACTTTCTGCTCCTTAAAACCACTCCTGTGTGTCCATGTCGTTTAACTGGCGTGAGACAAAGGACCCCGATGTTTCTCCCGTTTTCAGAGCCATATCACTTTGAGTCCAGAGGAATTATTTTCATTTATCTGACCAATTTATAATATAGGGTCAAATTCCTAGTGGTTATCCTCCCTCATCCCCATTTTTATACCCTTCCTTGAAAGGAACAGGTATATGAAGAGGAGACAGGTTTCCCTTTTGTGAATAGTATATCCCTTAGTATCTTGAATTTTTTTTGGTGGGGGTGGGGGGAGTTAAACTTACTTAGACCTGGTAAAGGGCAGTATTTGATAAATGTCAGCTAGTTTAGGGTTAGGGAATTGAGTTGAATGGAGATAGTCACTGCCAAATGTAAAGCATGACTGGAGAGCCACAGTGATGAAGCCAGGGTCCCTTTCTCCAGATCCTTTGTAACAGTGTTATGTGATCTCTTCTAGAAGATTGTTCTGAAAGATAATGCCAACTCGGAACCTAGGAAACCATCCAGTGGGTTTCTGCAGCTTAGGTGGTTCAAATCCTCATCAGCACGTTTGTTTTCTCTGCCTCAGTTTGCTTACAGTGATGTTCTCAGTAGCTGTAATTGCTGTCTTTGAATACTTAAGCATTTTTTTTTAGCTCACAGGGGTATGTGTGCATTTTTCTTTTACCAAGTGTTAGAACTTTGACTCTGCTTTTGTGGGCTCTGGTTTAGCAACTTGGTTGTTTAGTTGTAAAATGATTAGTAGGGAAAACCGTGTGTGTGTGTGTGTGTGTGTGTGTGTATTTTAAGTTTCTTTTGTTCTCAGAGCACTTAGAATTTTATATGGAAATTCTATCAGTTTACTTGATTCTCCACCCCACATTTCTTAAACAGCAAAGTATGAAGGTAATGTGTCCCATAACCAGCCTTCAGAAGAATTACAGCTGCTGTGTCTCTGAACTTTCAAGAAGTTTGTGCATCAATTTTCAAAAAATTATGAAATCCTTGAAGATAGCTGTGTTCTACATTTGGAAAGATACAAAAACTGAACCTTCTAGCAGGCAGTTTTGCTTGCTGGTGCTTGAGATAGAGCCACACATTGGTCTCAGTGGATTTATGGAGAAAAATAGGTACAGAAAGTTATTTCTAAATAAGACCAAAAATCCTTTTCTTAAGCAGTGACAGGTAAAGAGGTTGTCTTGGCTAATATTGAATTGTGTTGCCCTTGATTGAGACAGTTTTATGGTGGGGATGGTAGTGGTGATAAACTTGTTTGAAATTTGTCCACCTATAGTAACCTTTGTGGTAGCTGTCACAGACAGCTTCATCCTCACAGGCCCTAAAATTACTATAAAACTAATAGATTGGAGGAGAAACAAAGGACCTGAATAATTAGATGCTTAGATAATTGTTCTGTGTTTTCATAACAAGTGAAAAAGAGCAGTGTTAGAAGTACTTAAACTTTCCATGTAAGGAGCACTGCCTGAATTTATATTGTGATTTTAGAGCATCATTCACTGTTTAAAAACAGGCATATTGTGGGTCATATTTTAAAGACAAACAGAAAACTTATCTTTTCAAGATGGATCTAAAGCTTAACCTTATCAAAATTACAAAATGTGAAGGATATGATTGAAAAATATTAATGCATAGGTTTAAATATTGGTCATCATTTTAGATGTCTTTCAAAATAGGTTGTCTCTTAAATATTAAACTGAACAAACATTGAACTTGTTGTAGAGTTTGTGCTCAAGGTTAAGTTTCCTGGGGTGATGGATATTTGATAATATGGATAACAAAAAGTTCTTAAGAAATTTAGAAAATTTTTAGGCAAAACTAGAAAATAATACTGATAATTCTACCACTCAGAATGTACCACTATCAGAATTTTGTATCTTTCAGTCATCTGCTCATCTCTTTTCTCCTTTGCTTGTATGTGTTCCCTCTCCCTTAAAAAATCAGATTTTTTTTTGTAATCTGCATTTTCACTCAATATTGTAGATCTGTGTCATAAGTTACTCCTCTACAGTGCCTTCAGTTATTGTGTGCTTTGTGTTGGATGACTGTACCATCTAGTCTTTCGTGTTTCCTGGTACTGACTACATAGGGGTGAGTGTGTGTGTGTGTGTGTGTGTGTGTGTGTGTGTGTGTGTATATTTTTTTTCTACCTTAACTAATGCTTTGGACATCATCAACAGGTAGAGCTAAATCCTTGAAACCTTCCAAGTGGTGGCTTTCAGTTATTGCTGAATTGGTTTTTAGAGATGGAACAAATTATATTGTATGGAAACTTTTTTTTTTTTTTTGAGACAAAGTCTCACCTTGTCACCCAGGCTGGAGGGCAATGGCATGATCTTGGCTCACTAAAACCTCCACCTCCCAGGTTCAAGTGATTCTCTTGCCTCAGCCTCCCGAGTAGTTGGGATTACAGGGGCCTGCCACCATGCCCGGCTAATGTTTGTGTTTTTACTAGAGATGGGGTTTCATCATGTTGGCCAGGCTTGTCTCGAACTCCTGACCTCAGGTGATCCACTCACCTTGGTCTCCCAAAGTACTGGGATTACAGGCATGAGCCACCATACCCAGCCTTTTTTTCTTCTAGGTACCAGCTTTTATTTATCAGATTGGTATAAATGTTAGAAAGCGTGCAATGAAATGGGCATTTTCACAGTCGTGGCAGAAAGTATAATTATCTTTGACTTTCTAGAAAGCAGTCTGGCATTCTAGAAACTTGCCTAACCTCTTCCCATTTAGACAAGATGAGTTCTGACAGGGCCAGCCTTGTCCCTGTGATTCCGTATCTCCCAGAAAGAGAGGTCTAGTGTCAGGGAAAACCCAGATTTTCTTGGCTTAGCCCACCTGACAGCTAATCACTGGAAATGGGGTGGGCCGGTAGAGTCCTTTGGTCAGGTTTTGTGTCAAGAGAGGGATGTGGAAAGATGGGAGAGAGGTAGCAAAACTGGCCTCAATGGAACTATGTAAGTTAACATAGAATGGCAAAGGAATGTTTCTTCCAAGGAAGAAATTCTAGGGAAGGAATAAAGTGGAGGGGAAGGCAGCAGTTCTCAAAGTTTTGGGGTCAGGATTCCTTTACACTCTTAAAAGTATATTGAGGGCCCAAGGAGCTTTTGTGTATGTAGGTTATATCTATTGGTATTTATCACTAGAAATTAAATCAGAAATACTTAAAATATTCCTTAAAAGCTCACAAAATATTGTTATAAATGCTTTTATGATAAGAAAATTTCTAAACCCAAGGTAGTACAGTCTTACGTCCTTTGCAAATTTCTTTGATGTTTGATATGTCATTTGTACCTGCATTCAATTTATTGTGTGATATTTGCTTGAAAAAATGTGAACAAAGGACAGTCTCATACAGATAGGCATTTCAGATCATTATGGATATTTCTTTTTGCTTTCTTTCTTTTTTTTTTTTTTGAGATGGGGTCTTTCTCTGTCTCCCAGGCTGGAATGCAGTGCTATGATCACGGCTCACTGGAGCCTCATTCTCTGGGGACTCAGGTGATCCTCCCACCTCAGCCTCCAGAGTAGCTGGGACTACAGGTGTGTACTACCCCACCTTGCTAATTTTTTGTATTTTTTGTAGAGATAGGGTTTTGCCATAGGTATTCAAATAGAAAGTTTTGTTTTTGTTTTAGTATATAAAGAAATATAACTTTCCATGTTGGAAAAATTTTTAAAACCTTTTTTTAATTTTAAAACTCATAAGCAACCATTGTTGAGAAAATTGGTAAAGTACAGAAAAGATAAAAGAAAAAAATTAAAGTCTCCCATAATTTCTCTATCTAATATAACCACTATTGACTGTTGACATGATGGTCATTTTCTACCAGTATATAGTTTTTCTTTGCTATTAAAATACATAACCCTTACACATATGCTTAATAGTTGAGGTCATATTCTCTATAGTTTTATATTCTTTTTTTTTTTTTTTTTTTTTTTGAGACAGAGTCTTGCTCTGTCACCCAGGCTGGAGTGCAGTGCCGTGATCTCGGCTCACTGCAAGCTCCACCTCCTGGGTTCCCACCATTCTCCTGCCTCAGCCTCCCCAGTAGCTGGGACTACAGGCGCCCGCCACCATTCCCGGCTAATTTTTTGTATTTTTTAGTAGAGATGGGGTTTCACCGTGTTAGCCAGGATGGTCTCGATCTCCTGACCTCATGGTCTGCCCACCTTGGCCTCCCAAAGTGCTGGGATTACAGGCGTGAGCCACTGTGCCTGGCCCTTTTATATTCTTTTAAAAAGTATTTACTGTATTTTCCTGTGATGTCATAGTCTTTATAGAAAATTTATCATTATTTTCAGTTGACATGATTGTTTACCTAAAAATATCCAAAGGAACCAACTGAGAAAAACAATTTTTAAGATTACTGGTTAAAAGTTCTTTTATATAAAAATCAATAGCCTTCCCCAGTGTTAGCTATAATCACGTAGAAGATATAGTGATGAAGTATTTTTTCAGGTATTTCAGCAAAAATTAAATACCTAGGAATAAACTTAGATGTGCAGGACTTTTATCAAGGACAGGACAAAATTTTGCTGAGTGGAATGAAAGATTTGCATTCTATGTTCCTGGATGAGCAGATTTCATGTTATAAATATGTTAGTTATCACCATGTCTTCATATTAATTTGTAAATGTAATTTCTGCTGGGCACAGTGGCTCATACCTGTAATCCAAACAGTTTGGGAAGCTGAGGCGGGTAGATGACAATTAGCTGGGTGTCTGTGGCACACACTTGTATTTCCAACTACTTCTGAGGCTGAGGTGGGAGGAGCACTTGAGCCTGGGAGGCAGAGGTTGCAGTGAGCCGAGATCATGCCTCTGAACTCCAGCCTAGGTGACAGAGTGAGACCCTGTCTCAAAAAAAAAAAAAAGAACTAGAAAAGTGTGTGTGTGTATATATATATATATTTCATATTTTATAAATATTTATATATATAAATTGTATATATACATTTTATATTTTATATATAGTGTGTGTGTATTATATATATACACACACACACAAATTTCAGTACAAATTCTGGCAGATTTATTTTTGACACTTGACAAAACGACTCTAAAATTTGTTTAGAAGAATAAGTAATAAAAAGTAATAAAGTATAGACTCTTTCAACCAGATAGTAAATAAAATATTGTGGACTATCCCTGGGCCAGACAGATAAAGGCAATGGAAGTTTAGAACCAGAGTCATGCAAACGAGAATTTAGTATAAGGAAAAGGTGGTATTTTAACTTAATACTGAAAAGATAGATTATTCTGTAAATGGTTTTAGGAGAACTATTTGAGGAAGTCTGAGTCTTAACTCCAATTTTTGTCAAAATAAGTTAGTTGGTTTAAACACATCTATTCTTAAAAATTAGAACAGAAGAATATTGGTTTGAAGATATTTTAAGAGTTAAGGCTGAGGCTGGGCACAGTGGTTCACGCCTGTAATCCCAGCACTTTGCGAGGCCAAGGTGGGAGGATTGCTTGAGCCCAGGAGTTTGAGATCAGCCTGGGCAACACAGCAAGACTCTTTCTCTCTCTCTCTCTCTCGATATAGATATACATATAAATATACGTATACAAATAGAAAAAAAAAAGAGTTAAGTTTTGTATGGAGAGCCATGAAGATAAGAGGTAAAAATTAAAGGCTTGATGGACACATGTTTACATCTCCATCAAGGGGGTTGATGGGAAAGAATGATAGACATAGCTCCATTACTGCTACCTCCTTTTAGGAAGTTGCTTCTGAACATCTAAAGATATCAGTTTTATAATAGAAATGAGTTATTTTTCAGTGTCTAAAACATCACATGAGATACATACATACATGCATACATACATAAATATGTTCATAAAGTTAAATGAAATAGGATATAAAATTGGGCCTAGTGTTTAAAAGGTAAATATATTTACATGAAGGAGAAAACAACTCACCTCCCACTCTTAGAGCCTCTGCCAGTTTATCATAGCCTAGTTTCTTGAGAGAATAAGCTACATGTCTTCACCTTTTTTCACTGAGCTCATTATACTCTGGATTCTGCCTTCATCGTTGCACTAAAATTTATCTCCTAGTTGTCAAATCCAGTGGCTCCCCTCTTAGTCCCCAAATTGACCCCTCTGCAGTATTTTGATACTGTTGATTGTTCCTTTGTTGAAACATTCCTCCATTCTTAATGTCCACCAATAAAGAGTTGGTTAAATAAAAATTATAGTGTGCCGTTTTATAATAGAATATTCTGTTGTTCTGTTGTGGACCAAAAAATGCAGCCAGTCTTTCCATAAGAGCACGTGCAAACTTCTAAGATATATTAAGTAAAAAAGTAAGGCATAAAATATTGTGTATAATCTGACCCCTTTAGTACACAGTGTAAAAACATCTGTGTCTGTGCTTCTTTATACTTACTTTTTTCTCCCCTGGTGAATACAGGAAACTGTGAATAGTACAACACAATTAAAAAAAAAAAAACTGTGTGTCTGCTGCACCAGGACCTGTGATAATTGGGTATAAAAGACAAAAAAGACATGTCCCTGTCCTCTGGGAAGGGACATGATAATCAAATGAGACTTCTGTCGGATTCTTTTCTCCTGTTTTGATCTTATCACCCTTTCTTGGTCTCCTCCGATCTCTTCTTCCTTGTCCTACTTCTTCTCTTCTCATTCTGTGCTTTCTCTGAGTAATCTTTGACTCCCATTACTTAAGTCATGACCTGTGTTCCAGGGACTCCTAAATTTGTATTCATCTCCAGAGTTTCAAACCCATATATCTGTCTGTATATCATATATTTAGGGAATCTCACTTGGAGTGACATGGGTGTTCAAAATGATGATATTTAAATTTTCACGTATCCATCTCCTAGCACTCTATCTAGTCACATATGCCTAAACCTGGGAACTGTCTTAATATTCTTTTATATACACCTGTTCTGACCTCCCCCCAAAACTAGTAAATTTCTAAGACCTGTCCTTCTGAATGTCTCTTACAATTTTTCCTGTGATCTCAGTTTCTTCCTCCCATCCCTCAAATGCTTTGTGTGTGTGTGTGGTGGGGGAAGAGAGTAAAATTGAAATTTGTGGAAAACGTACTAGCCTGTCTGTCTGTCTTTCGAGGTGAAGTCTCCCTCTTGTCCCCCTGGCTGGAGTGCAATGGCACAATCTTGGCTTACTGCAACCTCCATCTCCTGGGTTCAAGCAATTCTCCTGCCTCAGCCTCCTGAGTAGCTGGGATTACAGGCACCTGCCACCATGCCCAGCTAATTTTTGTGTTTTTAGTAGAGATGGGGTTTCATCATGTTGGCCAGGCTGGTCTCGAACTCCTGACCTCAGGTGATCCACCCGCCTTGGCCTCCCAAATTGCTGGGATTACAGGTGTGAGCCACCATGCCTGGCCACTACCCTGTCTTGTTGCTTGGTATGACTCCACTACCCTGCTGCCTCTCTCCCCGTACAGCAGCATAATTTAGGAATCAGAGAGACTGAGGAGGATATATATTATTAGGTGCACTGGCCCAGTCAGATTAACATCTAAAGGACTGAGCCCTGAACAAAGAGTCAGGTTACCTTTTAAGCATTTTGTGTCGGTCATTATGCCGACAAGGTGTCCGCACTAAGTTCAGTATCAGTATGGTGACCTCCTGGGAACAGGGGGCCATCGGGTTGCCTAAGGATGGGAGAACTGGCTCAGGTCAGAAGGGGAGCAGGTCAGAATTCCTGCGCCAATCGGTAGTGGGACTGTGCCTGGGCAATATAGCAAGATCTTGGTTCTTAAAATTCAAAATAAAGAACAGCTCATTCCCCTCTGGGGAGGGGCTGGCTCAAGGTTACACAGTGAGTGTGGGGGCAGAGGCGGGCCCACTGTACCTCCCTTGTTGGGTTGTCTGAGGACCCCTCTGGCCACCCCCCACAGGAGATGGAGGAGGACATCTGGACAGTGAGCAGGAGGCGCCTCGGCCCATGCCGAACATCCCAGGGGACCTGGAGAGCCGGGAGGCCATGGTGAGCCTGACTTTCCCTGCCCCTACTTTGCCACCTTCCTCTGTGGTCCCTCCGAAACCCCCTTATGTTCTTGGTTTCCCCGCCTTCTGACTTCTGTGGACTTTCACTCCTCCTGGGAGCCAGTGGTCAGACACCATTTCACCTGTGACCAACAGGTGCACTCTGTGAGGCCCGAAAGGAAGGGGCTATGCTCCATCTGCCTGCCCCAGTTGTTATGTGTATACCCCTACAAGAATACTCACCTCTTGTCTTCAGGTGGCATTTTTCAACTCCGCTGGAGCCAGTGCCCAGGAGGAACAAAGGGTGTGCTGCCAGCCCCTGGCTCACCCAGTGGCCTCGTCCCAGAAGAAGCCAGAGGTAGCGGCCCCAGCCCCAGAGAGTGGGGGTGAGTCTGTGTTTGGGGAGACCCACCGGGCCCTGCAGGGGGCCATGGAGAAGCTGCAGGTGAGTAGGTCCTGGCATGGGCCAACAAGGGGGGCGGTGGGGCAGGACAAGGCAGGTGACTCCTGACATGTGACCCC
The DNA here is from genome assembly GCF_000001405.40 of Homo sapiens. Classification (NCBI taxonomy): domain Eukaryota; kingdom Metazoa; phylum Chordata; class Mammalia; order Primates; family Hominidae; genus Homo; species Homo sapiens. The sequence continues at coordinate 84,204,709 of NC_000015.10, read as the reverse complement.
ATTATTTTGGCTCCACAGCGACTTTATGGAAGGAGAAGGTGGACCTGAAGGAGCGGGTAGAGAAACTAGAGCTTCAATTCATCCACCTCTCAGGACAGACAGACACCATAGTGAGCGAGAGGCTAGGGCACCGCTGGGGGGAGCTGCCAGGCCATCCGAGGGGCCCCAGCATCTGAGCCATGTCCTCCTGCAGGAAAGTACATCAGCCAGGGGGCAGTGTCAGAGACGCAGCACTGGGAGAGGAGGACATCGTCAGGCTGGCCCAGGACCAGGAGGAGATGAAGGTAGGGTGTGCAACATCTCGGTGGGGGTGGGGGTGGAGGTGGGGGTGAACGTGCGTGCCGGCACCGGCATGGCAGCTAACACCCCTTCCTCCAGGTGAACCTGCAGGAGCTGCGGGGCAGGTGTTGCAGCTTGTGGGCGACCACAAGGAGGGGCATGGCAAATTTTGACCATTGCCCAGAACCCTGCTGATGAGCCCACTCTAGGAGCCCCAGTAGCCCAGGAGCTTGGGTGTGCTGACGAGCAGGGTGGTGAGTAGAGCCCTCAGGTGGGGTGGGCAGGCAGGAGCAGGGGAGGCTCGCACTGTGCTCAGATTCCCACCCCCCTCCCTCTCTCTGAAGATCTTTGTGAGGTGAGCCTCACTGATAGCGTGGAGGCTGCACCAGGAGAGGACAGGGAGGGTTCTCCCCACGACAACCCCACTGCACAGCAGATCCAGCAGCTGCTTCCTGTAATGCAGGACTCCCCAGGAGCACCCAGGCATGGGCAGCAACCCCTGCATGCCATTCTTTTTGGGCTCCCGAGAACAGGGAGATAAACACCACCATCATCTGAGAGCCGGGAAGGGGAAGGCGTAGGTGTGGGCGTGGCAAGGTTCCTGGAAAAGAGGGGCTGGAAGGGAAAGGGGAGGAAGATGGAGGGAGAAGCTAGAGCTTCATAGGTAGTGCCTGGGGGCTGTGGCAGCCCTCCCCACCCCACACACACTGGCCTCTCTCATGGCACCCAGGCAGTCCACCCACAGTTCAGACCAATGCTCAACCCCCCCGGCTTCCCTCTTCTGTGGTCACCCCATCTTCCAACCCACTGGCCCAGGGCCACCTCTTGCTTGGGGAGCCCCACCCAACAGCCACCAAGCCTGACAGAAGGAACACTGCTTGAACCAAAATGGTGAAGCTATAAGGGATGGCGGGCTGGAGTGAGCGCCAGAGGCCCCTCTCTGGGCAGTCAGAAAGCCCAGGGTCCACTGAAGGGACCCTGGGGAAGGCAGGGAGGGCAGGTAGCTAGATGCCACTGCCCGTAGACTTATAAGTCTAAGAGGGGAGCCTCAACTGGTTGGCGGGGGGCTGCAGGTTGCATAGGTGAGGCTGGGCCCTTCCTGCTGGGAAAAGCAGAAGAGGGAGACTCCGTGGCAGGAAAGGCAGGTGGGCTCGCTAGGCGGAGCTCAGCTGGGCCAGCAAGCACTGTGGTCTCCTTGGCTGAATAGCACAGGTGACCCCTAGGAGCAACAGGCCAAGGTCCGTGAGTCTGCTGGCTGGCAGTAGTGCTTCAGTAGCGCTGGCCAGGGACCCAGCCTTCAGTCACACGCTAGCAGCTGTGATGGTACCTGGGAAGGAGGGAAGGGGGCTGTGTGTCCTTGCATGGCCTATGAAGTGTGTTGTGGGATAACCGTGTGTATTGAACTCTCAGGCTTTTATCCTAGATCACCACTGGATTGCTGACAGATAGAGGAGGTGGGACCCTGACTATCACCCCTAATCTGCAGTGGATTTGGCTCTCGGCACTCCCAGGCTGGGAGCTGGATACCTGCCCTGGCAGCATGGCTCAGACTGCATGACAGGTACGGCGTGCCCAGGATGATGTGCCCAGGCCTCTGGCCGCCTGAGTCCAGCCCCCCACACAACCCCCTCCAAGCTCCCAGCCCCTACACCATAAACCATGAGCTCTGTGCCCTCTCTGATGGTTCCACATCTGCCACCTTCGGCATGGAGCCTGTTGTAAGAGCCCCCAGGCTCAGCCATGGAGACCTTGAGCAGTGGCACTGAGTCCTGTGGCTGGCAGGGAGGGAAGTGAGACAGCCAGCAGCACAAGGACAGAAAGAGGAAAGAGCAAGTCTGCAGCTCTAGAAGGGAGGGGCAGGCAGCCTGGCTCTGAGGCTCCAGGTATGCCCCCTGTGTGGAGCTGGGGCAGCGGGGCAGGCAGACCATTCATGCAGCAGGCAGTGAGGCATGTACCTACCATGGCTGATGCTCCTCAGGGGCCACTGATAGTGATTCTGAAAGACAGCATCAAATCACATGGCAGGTCCCATGCATGGGTGGGGCAGGCCTGGGGGTGGCGGACACACGCACACGCCAGATTGTGCACACACATGCTGTGAGGCCCCACGGCCCGCATGCACACTCTAACACATGCCCACAAACAACACGCATACGTCGCCCTCTCCGCCACCTCCCGGTGCCCAGCACCCTCACCGGCCGGCACGTGCCGCATGGATCTGGGGCGTGCAGCCACTCGGCACACTGAAGCACATGCGTGGGCAGAGTCACAACACAGATGCTCACCCGCACACAGAGGCATTTGCACCAGCTCCCTGCACACTCGTGCCTGGCGTGCTCAGAGGACCACCCATGCTGCTCAGGGAGACAGGGCTTGCTCACTAATGTCCGGCTGTCATTTCTCCACCTAAGAGCCTTCCATGGCTCCCTACTGCCTACAGCATTGAATCCCAACAAGTCATACTCTTTGGACTTTGAAGGTTCTCCACCCTGTGCCCCACCCTCCCCACAGAGCTCTTCATTCTGTCTCTGTTCCCTGCTTTGGCCAGTGGCTATCCTCATTGTGACCCACACTACACCTCTGCCCACACTGCAGCTCTTTACCCAGTTACCCTCCAGTTCCTCACAACGTATGCCTATCTCCGTCATGCCCCGGACTGCATTGAAGCCAGGCTGCCTTGAAGAAGCTCTCCCAGACTGCCCTTTTCCCCAAGGCAGGGTCATGATTTGCCAAAGGTTTCGTGTGTGTGTTAGCAAGACTGGAGTCAGAGCAGGCATCAAACTTTACATCCCATATGTCACACCTCACCATAGACCTGGGTGCCAAATAGCCTGAAGAGTCTGAACTCACGTTGGCAGTTAGGAAAGTGCTCCTACAGACGCATCTACGGTTAACATAGCATCCCTATGGCCACTGTCTCCCTTGATCCCCACAGCCATTCTAGGAGAAAGGCAGAATGTCATAATTTGCTAAAAGGGATGCTGAGGCTCTGGGAGGGAAAGGGACTTGCCTAAAGCCCCAGGGTGAAGCAGCATCTCTGGACTCCCAGTCCAGTGATCTTGCCCAATACTTTGCTGCTTGCCTATACCCCTCTAACTTGGTCAACAGCACATCACAGGGCAAGCCCCAATCCCTGCTTCATTTTTATATATGGGCGCTGGTCCCACAGCCCCACTCTCCAGCCATTTGGAAACAAAAACAGATGCTATTGTTCTTCCTTAGAGAACGTGGCCAGTGGAGACGGCACACTGGAAATCAGAGTGAATGTTCTTGAAAGAGGGTCACGGGTCAACAAGGCCCAGCCAAAGGATGCAGTAGAACCATTTTCCTTAGAAATCTTTGGGAGTGAAGTAGGCTTCAGCCACTCCCATCCCTGCCCTTGCGGCTACCACTACCCCATTAGTTTAGACAGGGTCGGGCGGGGAGGGGTGTGGAGAAGAAATGAGCTTGCCTGTGGCCCCCAGGCTCCCTCTGTCCTAGCTCAGGTCTGGGTGCCATTCTTTACACTCGTGTGCTCGCTCACGCACACATCACACACCTTGCTGGTCACACAGTCACAGACTCGCCTCTGCTCCTGTGGTCCAGTGGCCGGACACCCCCTGGGATGGCTCAAAGGAGTCAGGACTTGGAAGTGGGGACATCAGGGTAGCTGAAGGAAATCCACACACCCAGAGCATCTCGGAGTTCAGACTCTCAGACCTGAAGTAGGCGCCCCCGGGACTGGGCTAGGAGTTGGACGGAATGGAGGATGGAGGACAGCGAGAAGAAAGGAAGAGAAATGCAAAGTGTGGGCAGCCGCCAAGAGTGAAAATAGAGGGAAGTGTCATGCAAGTGCTGGACAGAAGGCGGCAGGTGGGACGAGCCCCACAGCCCCCTCCTCAAAAACGACCACCTCCAGGACTCAGTGATCCCTGGGGGGCAGGCTCTGCCAGCCCTCGGCCACACGTGGCTCCGGCACCCATGGTCCCAGTGCCTTGGATGGAGACGGCCAGTTCTGGCGGCCAGATGTGGTGCTCTGGAATCCAGTCCCATTTCCTTCCTGGCCACGCCTGTCCAGCGGCCTCTTTGGCTGCATTCAGCCCCTACTTACCTGGGGACCCCGGCTGGGGCACAAGAGCACCAGGGGGGTAGGGCCCAAAGGGATCAGGGGAAGCCTCTGGCCTGGAGGGTATGGGGCACACTTCCCCAAGGGCGGACCCAGCAGGAGGAAGCCCAGGAGCTGGGTCCTGCCGCCCAGGAGCTGGGCCCTGCCACCCAGGCCGGGCTAGGGACATGGCAGGGCCTGGGCATCCTGGCGCTGGACTTGGGCGACCTGGGAGGCACAGGGAGGGGAGAGATGGGCGGCCCCGCCCCAGCGCAGTGCCGGCCACACCCATGCACTGAAGCTCCTCCCTGCCACACCCCAAGGCGGTTGCCGGAGCTTAAGCCCCGCCCCCAGCAGCGAGAACATCCCACCCCTCCCCCCCCCCCCCCCGCAGCCAGTGCTCCTTGTCAAGCTCCCCCCGTCACTCCAGGTGGGAGCCACCCCGGTGAGGGGGTGTGCCACTTGTCCCCAGGGCACTCCTCTGGGCATCCCGGGTGGGGGATTTTGGGGCCGTGGGGGGCAGTCTCTGGTACCTGTGTGCGTCAGGGATGCTCTGCACCTGCAACCAGGTGTCGTCCACGGGCGGGGGCATGGTAACAGTGGTCCTGTTGATGTCACCGATGATGCTGAGCGCCTCCTTCAGCGCGTGGTGCATGTGCAGCATCTCGTCGTGCTGCTGTGCCTGCTCTGCCAACTCCTCCATCAGTGTGTTCTGGTTCCCACATGAGTACATATTGGCCAGCGGCTCCGAGATGATGAACTCCGGGGTCTGAGAGTGGGCAAACAGGGAAGAAGGTTGGGACCTGGTGCCTGTGCCGCCCTGGCTGCCTTGCTGGGCCCTTCTGGGACTGTGCGCTGGACTTGGAGCCCCTTGGAGTATGGCTTTTCACACGGGCTTCTATACCGCTTCGACTGGAAGATCCACCTCCCCACTGCCTTTTCTCACTCAGATGGGGACACCGAGGTCCAGAGGAAAAGACACCTGTCAAATGTCACAGATCTGGGAGGGGACTTAAGACCTATCATGCCAAGAGGACACCTGTCTACTCAGTTTTTTTTTGGTGGGGCGGGGGGCGGTGATAGGGTCTCGCTCTGTCACCAGGCTGGAGTACAGTGATGACTGCTCACTGCAGCCTCCACCTCCTGGGCTCAAAGTGATCCTCCAACGTCAGCCTCTCGAGTAGCTAGGACTACAGGCACATGCCACCACCAAGCCCAGCTATTTTTAAAATTTTTGTGTGGAGACAAGGTCTCACTATGTGGCCCAGGCTGGTCTCGAACTCCTGGGCTCAAGTGATCCTCCTGCCTCGGCCTCCAGGAGTGGGAGTTGGAGTTGATACCTGGATACAGGAGCTCTGTGGGTGGGAGTGAGGCAAAACACAGGGTCCTGAGGTCTGGGGACCAAGCAATGTCCTCTGGTGAAAAAAATCCTGGACTTGCTGGCAGAAGTTTTGCCTCTTACTTGCCATGTGCTCTGAATACATTTACCTGCCCTCTGGGAGCTTCAGTTTTCTTATCTGAAAAATGAGGACACCTGACCCCTTCCCTACCCAGTTCAGTGTTGTGGGACAGGGTTGCTGTCAAGACAATACCCAGTCCTGCCCTCCTCCCTGAGTGGGCCAGGTAGCCCATGTAGCCTCTTCCCGGCTTTCCTGGGTGGCACTGTCAGCTTGGTGCCCATTCAATCTAGTCCTTCATCTTGCTGGAGCATGGGGAAGCTCTGAGTAACATGGGACTATAGAGTGCAAGAGGGTTGCTGATGGTCTGCGTCCTGTGCCCTCCTCATTCCTGGGCATTCTTGACAAAGGCTCCCAGCAAGTGAGGGTACGCAGCAGCTGTAGACACCAACCTGATGAATATCTCATTGTGGGAAGGGCACCATAGCAGGAGTGGAGCTCCAGGGAAATACAGAACCGAGGTCTGGGAGGTGCTGATGTGAGAGGCCCAAGAAACCTCGGCTTTGCACTTGCTGAGTACCATCTGCACCTCTCAGGAGGGAGAGCGCCAGGCTCAGGAGGTCCTTGCCGAAGCAAGGGAGCTTGAAAAGGGGGCTGGGGTGGGCTCTGCCATTTTCAAGGGCTGACAGGGGTCCCCTCTGGAGGTACTTGGGGCAGTGCTGCGGGCCGTGGCTCCTGAGTGACAGAGTCAGCTCTGCGCCCCACAAGACCGCTCCCTGCCCAGAACTCACTGTGATCATGTGCTGGGTCCAGATGCTCACGCAGCCTCCTGATGGGGGCATCAGGTGTGCTGCCTGCCCAGGACGGCCCACAAGAGTCTGCCCTGCCCTGCCCTGCTATGGAACAACTCCCATTCTGCCTTTGGGGAGAGGTGTTCATTTAAACCATGACTGGGCTGGCCCCCATGGCACAATTACCACAGAGAGTCTGCCACTACCCATGGCTGAGAGCTCTAGTTCTTCTCTGAAGCCACCAGGACAGATGAACAGTGGCTTCCCCCTTTTGGCCGACTCAGCTGCCTTTCATCAGCTCATCTGCTCCTAGGATCCACTCTTCCTCTGGCTGGCACCTGATCTGAGCCCGAGGCTCACACCTCTGCCCACAGGCCCCAGCAGCTGCTTCACCTCCGACTCCATCCCCCACCAAGCACTGCCCCTCACCAGCTACTGGGGTGCCACTAGTGCCCCTACATGGTTCTCCCTCTCCAGACCCTTGGGTCCAGCTCTAGCTTCCTTTGGGAAGCCACACCCCAAGACCCCAGCCCTGCTCTAGGGCCCTGTATCCCCGACTTCCTGCATTCTTCTCCCTCCTTCTGGGAACATGAACTTGCCCTGCCAGCCTGATGACGCCTAGAGGGCAGGACACCAGGTCCTGGACCATGGCAGGCCTGGGAGTGTCTGCTGCCGGTGATGCTGGAGCTGGTGCCCATGTCCACATGATGTCCATGGCACAGTGGCCACCTGAGGCTGGGCGCATCTGAGTGGTGGCTGCAGAGTGGGGCCCTTACCTCTGCCTGAGTGAAGTTCACCAGGTCCTCCCCTGTGCTGTCATGCTGGGCGTGGAAGAGCCGGCCTAGCTGGAGGCCCCGCACCACATGGTAGAGCAGGAGCTGGGGGTCGGTGCCTGCTGGCTCTGAGGCTCTGGCTGCTGAGTGGCTGGACGGACTCTGCCAGAGGCAAAAGGGGCCATCAGCCTTTGTGATCCAGGCCGAGGCCTGTGGCTGCAGAGAGGCAGTGTGACCCTGGCATGCCACCCTCAGCTCTGCCCCAGCCCCCTGCACCCAGGAATGCCCACAATCAGCACACCCACCTGGGCAGTCAGTGTCTGGCTGCCCTCCAGCGAGTGAAGCACTTGCTTCTGGGCCGTCACTCAGAAGCTAAGTGTCTGGAGGAAGTATGTTCACCGTCAGAGAGGCCAAAGTGGATGCCTCTGTCCAGGGCCCCTGGGGACAAGGGTGTTGGGTCCAGCTGGCCTGAACTGGCTCCCCACCTCAGGGTGCCCCCGTGGGCAGCAGAAACCTGGGGCTCGGCCCTCAGCACCCACCTCTGTGTGAGAACAGCACGAGCCCACCATCCAGCTGGGTCTGCATGAAGCTGCGCACCTCAGTGCCCGGCACCGCCCACCGCACTACCCACCCATTGCTGGGCTGCTTAATGGTGTACACCAGGTCCTTGGGCCCAGAGTAACCATCCATGCTCCTCAGAGCCTCTGTAGGGATGGGCACGGTGGCCCCCTCCCACGTCTGGGGACACAGGCCTGTGAAGGTTCTGCCCTGCCACACTTACCCACCCCTTCCTCCCCGGCCCTGGGCTGCCACCAGGGCTCCAACCCCACTGAGGCTCAGGCCCTCAGGTGGCATCAAGGCTGGCGCTGCTGTGGCTCCCCTGCACAAATGGCCTCCCTGCATTCACCTTCCCTGTCACCCCAGGGAAGGCCACCCTCCAGGCCCAGCATCCCTGCTCTTCATCTGTCCTAGTCCTGTGTGTCCCTCAAGACCAGCTTGTGTACCCAACCCAGGAAGGCCCTAGCTCTTACCCTCACCAAGTTCTCACCCCCAGAAACCCCCAGCGCTGACCAACAGTGCTCCTTAATCTGTCTCACTGGTGGGGCAGCAGTCTCCTTTCAGACCCTCCATGTGTGCCTGGCAGGGGCTGGGCACAGGTGGGAACAGTGATTTTAGAAACGAGCACTCCTTCCAGCTAAGGGAGGGGTGGGAGGCGCAGAGAGCTGAAGCCTGATGGTTGGCACTGTCCTGCAGCACAGAAGCAGTGCTGGGATGGGCCCAGGTGCTTCCAGAGCAGTTACGGGCCCTCCTCGTGTTGGGCAAAGGGGGCCCCTTTTCAGGCCTCCCACTAGCAAGCAGAACAGGCACCCGTTCCTGAGGTCCTGGTACCAGTCTTGCTGGGTCAATTACTTGTGGGCAGTGCTGCAGTGGGACTCACATGCCCAGAAAACAGCCCTCTGGCATTCCTGGGCTTCCTCCCCTGGCCGCAGGGAGCCCTCAGGCCGAGCCTTGGCAAGAGGGGCCATACTGTGGGAGGCAGGGCCCCATCACTGGGCTCCCGGAACAAACACGGGTAGATGGCACCACCTGGTGGCCGCACTGCCACAGAGCCATCCCAGCCTGTGGTTCCAGGGTGCTGTGTCCCACTCTTCTGTGGCCTCCGCACCATGAGGCCACCCCCTACAGGCACATCCTAGACCACCAAAGCCCCCCGGTGCCCCATGTCAGAGACAGCCCAAGTCAGCCCTCTTGCGGAACCTTCAGTGGCTTCTGCTGACTGGGGAGGACGCGCCCCAGAAGCTGGGGTTCAAAGCCCTGCCACTTGGGCTTAGTAAAGCCATGCCCTTTCTGTTCCACCAGAACTACTTTTGCAATCATGGAGAAGTTCCATCCCATGTCTGGGCCTCAACTTCCACCTTTGCCAAATGGGGGCCCTGCTCTGCTGTGGACAAGGGGCAGGAGTTTGGGAAGCCAAGCTGAGGCCTTCACTTGCTGGGGTGAAGGTGGGAAGCTTAACGGTCCCACCCTGACGCCAGCCCTTAAGGGCTTGTAAGTGATTCTTTCAGGTGTTCTGGTCCTAAGCCACAGGAGAAGGAACAGCAGAGCCACCCATGGCTGCTCAGAAGTCTGCCTGCCGTACTTGCAAATGTCCAATAACAAAACCTCCCGCCTGTGTTCTATTTCAGCACAATCTCACATCTCTCCTTCCAACAACTGCGTGAGGCACACAGTAGTGTCCTCATTTTGCAGAGGAGGAAACTGAGGCTCAGAGGGGGGGAGATCTGTGCCGGGAAGTAGGGGACATTGGCCTCTTTCTCAAAGCAGACATTGGGGGTGGTCCCAGGAATATGCTCACCTGCAGGCCTGAGTTTGTATGAGGTCGGGGGTTGGCCATTGACAGGCAGGATGGTGACAGTGAAGGCCACAGGATGGCTCTGGCGGTCCATCTCAGAGGCATTAGCCATCAGGACAAAACCGTCAGTGTCTTGCTCCCATCGTGCAGGTACTGGATCAGATGCTCTTCCACCTAGGGGCAGGCCCAGGGCTGGCAGTCAGACCCCAGCAGCACCCTTCATGTTCTGCCTTTGGGTGCAGGAAGAGACTGACCCTTTTAGGGCCTCAGCTTCCATTGGTGGAAAATGGGGACCATAAGTTCTGGTTCCCAGAGGAGTTGTGAGGAAGAAAGGGGATATTTTATTTTATTTTGAGACAGAGTCTCTCGCTCTGTTGCCCAGGCTGGAGTGCAGTGGTGTGATCTCGGCTCACTGCAACCTCTGCCTCCCAGATTCAAGCGATTCTCCTGCCTCAGCCTCCTGAGTAGCTGGGACTACAGGTGCGGGCCACCACACCCGGCTAATTTTTTGTATTTTTAGTAGAAACAGGGTTTCACCGTGTTAGCCAGGATGGTCTTGATCTCCTGACCTCCTGATCTGCCCACCTCGGCCTCCCAAAGTCCTGGAATTACAGGCATGAGCCACAGCGCCCAGCCCGAGATACAGCATCTAAAGCATAGGTCTTTCTGAAATGTGACTCCCTGTCTCCTCTCTGTATAACCCCTGGACTGGGAGTCCCCGGGGCTCCCTCCACTCTGCCCCCAGAGCTGGGCTGCAGCCCCTGGGCCTCTCTCACAGCCGTACCTCTCTCCAGCAGAAGGTGCTGAGGGTCCTGGCTTGAGGCCCATCCTCCTTCTGCAGGGCCCCATGCCGGGGTGGCTCCAGCACCTGCAGGCCAAGGCCCGGGAGAGTGGGGAAGTAGGACCTGGCAACGCGGAGCAGTGGAGGGGCCAGGGTGCAGCTGCGACTGTGCCCCCTCTACTGCTGAAGTTTTGTGCCCCCAGTGGGGATGACAGCAGGCAGCACCTCCAGCTCCACGTGACGTCCTCAAGGGGAGCACCCAGGCCGAGGCCACATCCAGCGAGAAGGCATGGCTCCGGGCCTCAGGGCGGGAGTGCAGGTAGAGGATCCTGCCTGTGTCCACTGCCTCTTGGGAGAAGCTCTGCACGGGGTCCAGGCTGGGTGGCTCATCTGCCAAGATGCCACGCAGCACCATCACCAGGTAGCCGGCACTCGGTGGGCTCTTCACTGAGAAAACGATGTCTGCTGGCGGCACTGCCTCCTGGGCTACCTGGTTAACAGAGGTCATGAGGACTCACAAGGGAATGCGCAGAGGGGTCTCAGAGGGGCCCACTGTGGCCCTAAGCAGCCAGAACAGCCTTGATCTTGCTCCACTTATTTCCCCAGATACCACTGCTCATTTAGTGACACACACACATGTGGGTTCACACACACAGCAGCCAGACATGCAGCTGGTCATATTTTTTGTTTTTTTGAGACAGGGTCTCACTCTGTCACCCAGGCTGGAGTGCTGTGGTGTGATCACAGCTCCCTGCAGCCTCAACGTCCTAGGCTCAAGGGCTCAGCCTCCCAAGTAGCTGGGACCACAGTCATGTGCCACCATGCCTGGCTAATTTTTAAATGTTTTGTGTAGAGATGGGGTTTCACTGGGTTGCCCCAGCTGGTCACATGTTAATACCCACCCCACACATGGTTACGGGGTGTCGGTCACACAGCTTGAGATGCACTCCCTCAGGGAAGTGCATAATCACATGTCCCCAGACTCAGTGACACAGACATATGAGTTCATCAGATGCCGATGCAGTCACACAGGTACAGGTACACATGCGTGTGTGCACACGCACACAGGCCCCCTGCTCAGGATCTGTTCAGGCCTGTGGCTGGTTTGCTGGCAGCATCCTCCCCAACCCCTGCTATTACCACCCAGGACCATCAGAGGGTGCCCTGCCCCACCCCACCCCACCCCTCCTAGAGGCACAGGCACCCCCAGCACAGGCCCTACAGAGCTCACACCCCAAAGGCCACATGGGCTCCCTCACCTGATGGGCCATCCACAAGAGGCTAAACTGCCTCCAAACTCACATTCCTGTTTTGTGCCTTCGGCCGGAATGTTCCTTTTGCATGGAATACCACTCCCCATTCTCTGCTCCTAATGGCCTGTACTCTTCAGAGCCCGGCCCAAACACTGCCTCCTCCCATGAGGCCTTCCTGATGCCAGATCTGCTGGCTCACCATGGGCCCCAAGCTCCAGATGCAGACCAGAAGGGTCTCCGAAATAAGCAGTGTGGAAGAGTAAGGCTGAGAGCGGGCAAGGACTGGCCTGAGGTCACAGGGCATGTCAGATCTCTGGAAGGCCCGTGGCTGCTCTGTGAGGTTCCTGGGTAAGCAGAAGCCCTTGACAGACCCTCCTGGTCCTGGTCTGGGCTCTGAGAAGAGAGCAGGCTACACAGGGGTCTGAGAGGCAGCGGCCTGTCTCCACGGCCAGCAATCCCAAAAGTTCAGGACCCGTGATGCCCTCCCAGGGAACTGACTGCAATGCAGATTCTCGGGCTCCACTTCAGAGATTCTGTAGGGCTGGGTGGCGTCCAGGAATCTGCATGCTCAGCCATGCCATGGACATGAGTGGGCACCAGCTCTAGAGGCACACACCACTCCCAGGAGGATGGGTGTACAGCAAGCTCCCCAGAAACTCTTGGGAACACAACATATATGGGAGCATATCTGAGGCACGTGCACACACGCAAGCTGGGACCACCACAGGTACAGCCCAAGTCACATGTGTTCCCGGCATGGAGGCTGGGAGGAAGGCCCTCTACCTGGTCCACACCCCGCTCACCACCTCCAGCTCCTCACCTCCAGCTGGTCCCTTCTGATCTCAGCTGCCTCTCCCTGGAAGATGTAGATCTTCTTGTGCTGGGCCAGCTTCAGTGGGGCTACTGGGCCCTCTAGGGCAATGGTCACTTGTAGGGTGGCATCTGTGTGCACTGGTCCCACATCCATTGAGAAGGCCAGGGTGTTGCAGGAGCTGAGGCTGCCATTGTGGCCATAGGGAACAGCCCCAACCAGCAGGTCCTGCTGAGAGAAGGCTGTGGCTGGCTGAGTGGCTTGGAGCAACTGTCCCCAGTGAGGGCTGTCTGTGACGTGGTAGTGGGCCTCATCCCTACTGCAGATGTTGAGGTTGGTGCCCAGGTGGAGCTCGGCCATGTTGATGGTACCCTGGCCTCCTTGAGGAACCATGAGGCCGGAGCCATTGGCCACACAGAGGTAAGGCTCCAAGGCCTGCACCTCCAGCACCGTGATGGCCTGGTGCTGCCCATCGGACACCTGCAGCGGGATCCAGCCGTGGTCAGCCTGAGTGTGTGAACAGGACTCGCCTCTTCCTGAGGCCCCTCCTGGATGAAGCGGCAGATGGGCTGCATGGGCTCATCCGTGGCCATGATACTGCCAGAGAGGAGGTCCTGGTGGGTCAGCACCAGCTGGGCCTCAGCAAAGCCCGAATCAGCATTGCTGAAGGCCATGTTGTCTGTAGTCAGCAGCCGCCACCTACCCCAGGCCACATGGAAGACGCAGCTGATGGTCTGCATAGGGGCGTGGTCATTCACAGGCTGGATGGCCACTCAGAAGACACCCCATACCTCCTCCCAGGCCACGTCACCACTGCTCTGGTCCTGGTGGCAGCAGGAAATGGGATATCATCTTCTGTGATCTCGGAGTCATCATGCTGCTAGACCAGCTGGCCATGCATCAGGTCTCCATTGGTGAAGGATGTCACCATAGTGATCTTGTCCTGTGTCCCACGCCAAGTCAACCTCCCATGGCGGGGCTGCTCCATGACCTCATAGAGGTACCTGGCACTGTTGAGACTCTTGATGAAGAGCTGGTCAGCAGAGAGGACACACTCACCACCCTCGGGCACCATGAGGACAGGCATGTCTGGGTCACCGCCAATATGGATGGAGAAGGTACAGAGTGGGGAGAAATATGGTGGAGCTGTGACATGGAAACAGAAGGTGTCCTCCACTGCCACTGAGGCACGTGCCATGGCCCCATAGGTCACCTCTGCAGCCTGTACGTCATCCTGGGTGAAGCCCTGACCGTCTGACATCATCGTGCCCTGTAGTTGAAGGTTGCCTTTCCTGGGAGCCTGAACCACCTCACAGTGGAAGGTTGGGGGGCTTGGGCCTGCCTCCTCCAGGGTGGCCTCCAGGTGGGCTGTGGTGAGGGCCTCCTGCTGGGTGTTCTGAGTGTGCAGTGGCTCCAGCTGCAGCATCCACACAGTGGCTCTCTGGATGGTCACTAGGAAGGACAGATTGCTCAGGATTTCCCAGCTCACCTGCACCTGCAGATCCAGGTTCTCCACGGTGTCCTCGGTGTAGTGCTGTGGGTCAGTGCTCAGGTATCTCACGTGGCCCTGCTCCACATCCTGCTGGTGGAACGCCTGTGTGACCCACCACTCAGCATCCTCCACCCCACCAGCCCCCTGCTTCTGCAGCTCCCTGAACGGCAGGCCTCCGGTGACATGGAACAGCACGGTCACATCCTGCCCCACGGCGCTGGTCTCCACCAACAGGTTGGTAGGCAAGATGGGCATGGCAGAGCCCTGGGCCAGATGCAGCCCTGTGCTGCGGTGGATTTGTATGGCCAGCTGGACAGCCACCACCTTCAGCATGGCCGGGGGGCTGGCCTGCAGTCCATTGCTGACCCGGAATGTCAAGTCCTGTGTAGGGCCACCGCAGTGGACATAGACTAGGCTGCCGGCCTCCAACTCCCAGCAGGAGAACTCAGTCACCGGCTCCCCAGGCTGGTCTCGGTGCTCCACGGGGAGGCCAGAGGGGGTGCCAAGGAGCTGGAAGGTGAGGCCCTCACAGGTAGAGTCCAGGTCATAGGCCTGGAGAACCTCAGGCCCCAGAGGCTTGTGTGTGTGTTCCAGGATCACCATAAGGCTGCCATGTGGGAAGATGATGTGGGGTGGGTCATTGACAGGGTTGACCTGGATGGGCAGGAGGTCTGTTTGGCCCCTCCGCAGGCATGAGGGCATAGGCACCCAAGCCATCACTGACACCTCCAGCACCAGCTGGTCAGAGGTGTCCTCAGGGCCATCGTGGATGAAGTGGGCCTTGCAGTTCACCACGTCCAGAAGGGTGAACATTTTTCATGCCTGGGCACCCAGGACATCCAGCTCGAGCTCGCTGTAGTGTGCCCCTCAGGTCACGCTGAACAGCACCTGGGATTTACGCAGTTCAGCCTCCATCAGTGCCAGCATGGGCTGCACATGCCACCACTCAAGCCAGGCTGTGCCACCCTCGGTCACCACCACTGCACTGATAGCAGCTGGATGAAATTGGCAAAGACAGGAGGTAGCCCTGGCTCAGGCACGCATGGCTCAGCTAGCTCCACGGACAGCCAAGCCTCGGGAGCCAGGGTGGAGAAAGCTTCATAATGGCCATAGGCATTGTCCTCATACTCCTCCACCTCCTCCAGTCTGCAGCCAGCCACCATGTTGTGCGTCAGCAAGGCTTCCCACAGCCCCTGCCTCTAGCCATTGACACTGAGGTCTTCCATGCAGCCAGCCCAGCAGGGAGGCATTGGCAGCCCCTGGTGTCAGGCCTGAGCGGTGTTCCTGGAGGTGACGAGAGGCCTCTGCACCAGCTCCCCAAGAAGGAGACTGTCACGTGGCTCCAGGTAGCTGAGGACTCCTCGGTTCAAAGTACATGTGGGGTACTGGTCCATGGAGATTTCTAGCTGGTGAATGTTGATGTGGATGCTGACCTTGTGGGGCTGTGCGTCAGTCACAGGCACACTGTTGAGGAGCAATACAGTACCCTGGCCCTTCTCAACCATGGACCACAGGTGGCCCTCAAATATGTCCACATGGATGAAGTCCCCATGCCAGCCTGCTGCCTGGAAGGCCAAGGGTGCCTGCCAGCTCTGTGTGGTGAGTGTAAACTCCAGGGTTCCTTCATCCTGAGTGCCCCAGGCAGGCAAGGCAGCCAGAGAGTGGGACCCAGAGAAGCCCAGGGCCACATCGTCATTGGCAGAAAACTCTTCAGCACAGCCCTCATGCTTATTGGGGGTCAGAGGCTGGAGGAGTCTGCGGCCATTGAGAGCGGCTGCATGGAGGCAACCCCTCAGGGGATGGCTGGTTCCCCTCAGGTAGGGCAGGCCAAGTCTCCCAGTGCTCCCAACAAAGAGCCCATAGGGGACTTCTAGGGGGGCTCCCAGGACTACAGAGGAGGCATTCAGAAACCCATTGACTGACAATGTGGGCCAGTCCTCTGAGACAGTCAGAACTGTGGTGTGGGGGACGGAGTCACTCAGTAGAATTTCTGCTGGGGTCTGCAGCCTCAGCTCCTCCTGGCCCAGGACAAGCCTGACCTGAGGAGAGACGGGGAATGGGAGATGGGGGGCAGCACTTTGAATCCATCATTTCCCTTATAAAAGCACAGTGGGTTCCCCACAGGGGGCCCCAGAGCAGAAAACCTAGGACAAGGGCCTCTGGTGCCACTCCTCTTGCCTTCCTGCCATCTCTTTATTCATCCTCCAAACACTCACCAAAGGAAACTCTGGGCCAGGCCTGGATGGGCTCTGGGGACCCTGGTGTGAATCAGATGTGGTCCTTGCCCACAAGGAACTGACATATAGCAAGATGCTCTTCTAGAAACCCAACCTGTATTTTTAAATTCTCCTCCTCTTTCCTTGAGTGAGAAGCACCAGAAATATTGTCTTGGAATCTAGATTTCACCCCTGGAATAATGGGTAACTGAGAATCCGTTGATCAGTCCCCCTAAGTTTGGCAAAGTTTCTCGAGGTCACTGAAGGAAGCCAGGCTAACTGTTCAGGGACAGGGAGCCCAGGCAGATGCTCTGTGTTCTGGAAAAAAAAAAAAAAAAAAAGCTGCCTGACCTGTGGTGGAGGAATATCTCAAGGAGAGATGAAGGACATAGTTCTGTCACCATGACATTGACACAAGAAATGGCTCTGGTATGGTGCTCCCAGATGCTAGAATAGGTGATGGCAGAGTATGGGAACTGCAGAACCAGAACACTAAGAACCATGATCTTGGAGTCCTGGTATGGTGCATCTCTGTAGGGATGTGGCATCACTACCTGCACAGCTCAGCAGCCATCAGCACCAGACTGCACCACATAGGTGTTCAACAGTGACACCTTGTGGCAATGAGCAGCAATGACAGCAGCAGACTGACCAAGCCCTAGTCCTCTTCCCACTGGGGTGTGGAAAGAGATGGCTGCCCCAAATTTGTTAATTTGTTTTTTTTTTTCCTTCTAAAATAGAGATGGGGTCTCATTGTGTGGCTCAGGCCAGTCTTGAACTCCTAGGCTCAAGTGATCTTTCCACCTTGGTCTCCCAAAGTGGTGGGATTATAGGCATAAGCCACTGCACCCAGCCTGCCCCAAATTTGGACTAAGACCCTGGGTTCTTAAACTCTTCCTGGTATGGGGTAAGACTCAAGTAGGAGCCACAAGACTCCTTGATAATAAAGCTTGTGGTGTCTTGAAGGATGAAATGGAAAAATGAAGCTGAGGCAGTACTGGTGCTGTTACTCTCATGGACAGACAGTGGTGCTGCAGATAAATTGGTGCAGTGCCACCAGGATGCGCAGGGGTCATGGGGGCCCAGGAGGGGGTCTCGCCGAGGAGGAGGGGATGCCCACACTGAAACTTCAAGGAGAGACTAGAGTTCGGCAGGTACAGGGAATGGGTGGGTCACACACCTGGCAGGAGGAGTGTGATGACCAAAGGCCTGGCTGCAAGTGACCATAAGATGGCCAGGAACTGAAAGCAGTTCAGTGTAGTCAGAGCACAAAGGGCCAGTGAGGGCTTGTGGTGGGAAACATGGTTGGAAGGAGCCGGTGGGCAGAGCCAGTTCATGAAGGATTTACCATTTCTGAGCTGCTGCTGCCCATCCCACAGTGGAGAACTTGAGACCCCAAGAAAAGTGACTTACACAAGGTCAACAGCCAGCTGGGGTTCACTCAAAGCTAGACAAGGAATCTCGCCCCAATCCCAGGGGGACGTCACTCACCTGCAGGTGTCCAGAGTAGAGCTGCAGCAGGAGGTGGTCAGCTGGGCCTGCTGCCAGGAGAAGGAGGGCTTCGGGTTGGGACATGGAGAACTGCAGCTGCAGGTCTATGTCAGTCAGAGCCATGGCCACAGTCACCTCCAGGTGGTTCTAACCAAAGAAGGAAGCTGTGTGAGAGAGGGAGCTGTGGTCAAGGCTCAGATTCTTGCCTGGAGGAGGCGAGGTGCTGCAGGGAGGGATGGGTGGGTTGCAGAAAGGGGTCCGTGCTGGTGCACCCTCATGGTTCTGCCATACGGTGCTGCCTCTGAGCACTGCCCAGATCCCAGCATTTCCTTGGTCCTGGCACCAGAAGGCACAGCCTCACCTTGTGTCCAGCCCAGACCTTGACTTGGCAGGAGGTCAGACCCAGAAATTCCCAGCAACTCAGGTCTCCTCCTTGGAGGTTCCTGGAGCCAGAGGCCTCTGCCAGCTCTGACTCACCTCCCCTGGGCCCCAGAGGAGTCTCCCTCCCAGGTCTGGCTCCCCGACCTGGCCCAAAGGGAAACATCACTGGCCTGATCACCTGGCTTGGTGGTCACAGCCCCGAGGAATGGAGTTTCTGGAGAATCACCCCCAGGCCAGATCGATCCCTGCTCAGATTCCTTCTCCTAAGTGCCCTTGTGCTTGGGCTCCTGTGCAGCACCTGCTGTGCCATGCCCCACCTCCATGGGTTGGCTGGGGCCACGGCTGGGATCTGGGGGTGATGTCACTGCAGCCCACCTATCCCTGCTTCTCCCTCAGGCCATTCTTCCAGCTGCCATTGAGGGTGGGGGCAGGAGCTTATTGGCCTGAGTTTGCCAAGGAGTAAAGGCTCTCAGGCCAGATGGGGACCATATGCAGTGTCAAACCAAAGTGGGCCCACACTTCCTCCACTACCCCTGCTGTTGCTTCCTGCTAGAGAGCTATTCACAGTCCCCGCTGAGCAGTCAGATCCGGCCCCATTGTTTCCACCGTGGCCAAGGAACCAGGGATGAGAACAGCTCAGCTCCCAACCTCCCCAGGCCACCACTCAGTCTGAGGCTGAAGACAGGGCCTAGAAGGGGCTGAGGGTCTGCTGAGCAGGCCAAAGAGGGCCTCCCCAGGCAGAAGGCCATGTCTGGGCTTGCCTGGGGTTAGTGGTTCTTATGCAGGGCCTGTTCTGTCCCACAGTGTGACTCCTCCTCTTTTGAGTTGCTGCTTCCTCCAGGCAGTTTCCCCAAATTAGCCTCCCTGACTTCCAACCCGATGCCATAATTTCTGGTCTATGCCTTTTGTGGTGATAAGAGCCAAATATAACTTTAACTTTGCCTGCAGATGTCCAGGGCTGGGGGGCAGACAAACACAGGTTAAAAACTGTGATTCATCCCTGTTGGGTTTCCCTCAAACCCCAAGAACAAGCACAGGCTGATGGCCTTGATGGGGTGATCCAGCACCGACCTCACATGCACTGGTCCCTAGCCAGCCTGAGCCAGCTGCCATCTGCTCGAGGAAGTAGCTTCAGCCATTGGAGGAGTTGGAAGTTTGTACACCCTCAGGGCAGCCAGCCCCACCTGGAGGGATATCCAGGAAAGATCCCGTAAGAGCCCCTCGGGTTGAGTTAAATCCCCTCTAGTTATCCCCTCCTCCTGCCAGCACTGCTGGCAACACCAGCACCTTGGCTGGGAAGCTAAGGGAATCAAGTAAGCCCCGCAGACCATATGCGCTGGGGTGGCCCAGCAGTCTCAGCAGGCACAGCACAGCTTGGTGCCAGCAAGAGACAGACCAGGGAACTGCAGGTGGTGGCCAGCTACTGGGGTGCCTTATCTGCAAAGACATTGATTCCTAAGAGCAAAACACAGCACACTAAAGTGAGGGTGGCCATAGCACAAGGGGTGGGGGCACATGGCCCTGCAGGATGGAGCCACCACAGTCACCGGCTGGAACGGCTCACAGCAGCTGCCAGGAGCCAACTGTTGAATTTTCAGGAATTTTGAGAGGCAGGTGATACTGCCCACAGTGGGAATATTTATACCAGGAAAAGAGGCAAATACTGAAAATCAGGGTTCCCTCTCCCCAAGAAAGCCCTTTGCGAAACATTTACCTACCCAGCACCCACGGGGAAGGGGGCACATCTCCCTGTGCCTACCCACCTGTGTTAATCAGGGTTCCCTAGAGGGACAGAACTAATAGGAGATATAGACAGATATAGATATAGATAATAGATATAGATATAGATAATAGATATAGATATAGATATAGATAGATATATAAAGGGGAGTTTATGAAGTATTAACTTACACAATCACAAGGTCCCACAATAGGCTGTCTGCAAGTTTGAGGAGCAAGGAGAGCCAATCCGAGTCTCAAAACTGAAGAACCTGGAGTCCGATGTTAGAGGGCAGGAAGTGTCCAGCATGGGAGAAAGATGTAGGCTGGGAAGCTAGGCCAATCTTACCTTTTCATGTTTTTCTGCCTGCTTTATATTCGCTAGCAGCTGATTAGAAAGATGGTACCCACCAGTATTAAAGGTGGGTCTGCCTTCCCCAGCCCACTGACTCAAATGTTTATCTCCTTTTACAATGCCCTCACAGACACTTCCAGTAGGTCAATACTTTGCAGCCTTCACCCCAATCAAGTTGACACTCAGTATTAACTGTCACACCACCCTTGCACTAAAGGTATACATACACCCACTAGGGCATGGTCAACGTCAGAGATCTGGGCCAGACAGGAACTGAAGTAGATGGTTGGCCCTAACCACTGAACCACCTGCCTGCGGCCTCCTCCCATCAGAAGAGAGTAGAGCCTGTTTGGCCAGAGTGGAATGGTGGCAGAAAGCAGAGGTACTTTCCGGAGCGCTGGGGTCTGAATGGGTCCATTGAGGCTGGGCCCTGCTGCTTCCTGTAGGGCTGAGTGGGAGAGGCTCACAGAGGCTGCCTTGTGCAGCTGGAGCGCATAGCCAGGGAGGCCCCCACTCCAACAGAGGCCTCTGAGGCCTTGCTGGCCGGGGCTTTGGAAACTCTGACAGCGCTGCTTCCCTCACCTCCTGATCTCCTTTTTCTGCCCCTCTTACACTCTCTGAGGGGCTGCAGTTGCAAGAATCCAGAATCTCTGTCTTGGAGGTAGTGGGGGGGGGGGGCAGTTGAAGAGGGGCTTTGAATGGAGAGGGTCTGCACAATAAAGATGTAATAAGCTAGGAGTCAATCCAGAGGACTTCCTGGAGGAGGTGATGGTGGTGTAGAGTCACAGAGAGGGAGGAACAGGCAGTCTCAGAGGACAGCAGCAAGGCCAAGTGAGAGACTGGCAGAGGTATACAGGTCCCCGTTGGCTGGGGTGAGGAGGGTTTCTGCTCCCTCACCCCCCAGAGCCTCTGGCTTATCACAGGATAAAAGCCAGCTAAGCTCCAGGGGCTTTCCAGGAAAAGTGTCTCTTGGAAAGGGTGTGACCTTTTCATCGGTCCTGACAGCACCCTAGAAATAGCTTGGCCTTTTCCCTCCCCTGAGCTCCACAGAGAACACAGCCAGCAGAAGACACATTCCCTGTCATCCAGAAATGGGTTTGATTCTCAGCTGAGGGACAGCAGGACTGGTAGAGACTGTCAGGCCACACAGCTACCTACAGAGCACCCCCATGCTTGGTCGGGGGTGGGAGGGATGGCAGGGTCTGGCTGTCCACAGGCCGGGCATGACAGTGGGGCGCACTGGAAGTGGCGCACTTTGGAGGGGCAATGTCAGGGAAGAGCTTCCTCTTGTTGGGCCACAAGACTCCACAAGGACAGCACGGTGACTGATTCCCAACGCTAGAGGCGAGGCAATCGGTCATGTGTAGGTGTGTGTGTGTGTGTGTGTGTGTGTGTGTGTGTGTGTATACACACACATATGTGTGTATATATATATGAGGGTGTGTGTATACATAATTTATTTATTTAGATGGAGTCTTGCTCTGCCACCCAGGCTGGACCTCAGTGGTGCGATCTCGACTCACTGAAACCTCTGCCTCCTGGGTTCAAGCAATTCTCCTGCCTCAGCCTGCCGAGTAGCTGGGACTACAGTCACCTGCCACCACACCGGGCTAATTTTTGTATTTTTAGTAGAGATGAGGTTTCACCATATTGGCCAGGCTGGTCTCAAACTCCTGACCTTGTGATCTGCCTGCCTCGGCCTCCCAAAGTGCTGGGATTACAGGTGTGAGCCACAGCACCCAGCTATTTATAGATATTTATAGAATATGACCTCAACTATTTAAACATATCTGTAAGGGTATAAGTACTTTGATAACAAAGAAGCAATACATACTGATAGAAACTAGCTATCATGTCAACAGTAGTTATATTAGGTAGAGAAATTATGTGAGATTTTTATTTTTTTATATTTTACTAATCTTCTCAATAATGGTTGCTTATAAGTTTTATAATCAAGAAAAAAAGGTTTCTAAAGTTTTTGCAAAATGGAAAGTTATGCTTCTTTATATACTAAAGACAAAAACAAACTTCCTATTTGAATACCTTTGACTTTTACTGCAGACTTACAGACCCTTGAAAGAAAAGGCAATCCCCTCCCACTAGTTTTGGTGTCATTCTCCCCATCTCTCCCTTCACTTCCACCTTGGTCTTCTTTCTACTTCCCACCTTGGCTAGTGGTCTCCACCCAAAATGCTTGCTTGGCTTAATGGTTAGAATTCAGGGAAAAAGAGATCCCGAATTGCTAATCTAAACTAAGATTATACATGTGGGAAATAATAAAGAGAAACCAGGTAGTAAATAAGATTTGGAGGACTTAAAATACCCAGACTTTAATTCCTCTAAGATTACAGTTGTTAATCATGTTTTTATATAATATTATCACTTAACATTTAATTTCTAAATATAATGTTCATGAGGAAAAGAGAAAATAGCTTGGTTTCTTTCCTCACCGAACTGTTCTCCTTAGTATCTTCTAGACGTTCCAGAACTGATGTCAGATTTGGCTCATCAGAGTCCACAGACCATATCGGTGAAGAAGATGAATAGGATTCCTGTTTAACCCAGAGACACCTATGTTAAATGTTTACATACAGACTAACCCAAATATGCAATTAAACCACACCACTAAATGGCAAGATGACCATGGATTTAAACAAAATGTATCAGGGGGAAAAGGCAACACGTTTAAACCCATGTGAGGAGCTGGACTTCTGAGACAGCCATTCTCCTTGCATAGCACTGTCTGCTGCTACAGCTCATAGAAGTCAACAATTTTCTTCAACACTGGTAGGCAGCCTTTAAATGGCCCTGATCACCCTCACCTCCTGCCATTCACACCCTTGTAAAATTCCACCCCTGGACCTAGTGACTCACTTCTAACAAAGAGAATACAGCAAAAGTAACATCGCTTCTGAGGTGAGGCTACAAGGAGACTACGATGCCTGCCTTGGTCACCCTTCTCCTGCTCTTTCCATTGCTCCCTCTGATGGAAGCCAGTTGCCATGTGATGAGGTGCCCTATGGAGAGGCCCACGTGACAAGGTATTGTAAAAGGCCTCTGACCAATGGCCATCTAGAAACGGAGGCCCAGTCCAGCAGCCTCTGAGATGAATCCTGCCAACCTGATCTTGGAGACAGATTCTCTCCCTATCCTGCCTTGGGATGATCACAGCCACCACCAACACCTTCACTGCCTGGTGAGAGGCCAAGCCAGTGAACCCAAGGTAAACTGGACAGAATCCTGACCCACAGAAACTGAGATAATGTTTGTTATTTTAAGCTGCTCAGTTTGTTACAGAGCAATAGATAACTAACTCAAACACCATAAAATTCTAATATTTTATTCTATCACACAAACCAGGTAATACCAAGTAAATGCCATTACTATACATATATTTTTGTAACACAATTACATGTGATTTTTTAAAAAAGCTAATGAACTATGCATTATGTGCTTTCACCCACTAACAGACATTTCTGCTGTTACTTTGTACTGTTCTCTATTATAAATTGGGGGAAAACCATTATTATTATATATTAGCTTCAGAATAACTAGGTTGAAGTCACAGAAAACAATTTTGCACAAACAACTTTAGGCAACACTGCTTTGAAAACTGTAATCTGAATTAAAGCTGAAGCCACAGAAACCAAATATTTACTGAAGGTTCCTTTTTAAGAAAAACAAGATGGGCCGGGCACGGTGGCTCGCGCCTCTAATCTCAGCACTTTGGGAGGCCGAGGTGGGCGGATCACGAGGTCAGGAGATCGAGACCGTCCTGGCTAACACGGAGAAACCCCATCTCTACTAAAAAAATACAAAAAAATTAGCTGGGCGCGCTGGCGGGTGCCTGTAGTCCCAGCTACTCAGGAGGCTGAGGCAGGGGAATCACTTGAACCCGGGAGGCAGAGGTTTCAGTGGGCTGAGATGTCCACTGCACTCCAGGCTGGCGATAGAGCAAGACTCCATCTCAAAAAACAAAAAAAAAAAAAAAAAGAAAAACAAGTTGTATTGATGGAGGACATCATTAACAGTATATCTCTTCAATAATGGTTTATTTTACTATTCTCATTCTTCTCATTCCTCTCTTACTGTGTTCCAAATCTCTTTACAGGCTAAAAGAAACTCTTCAGAATTACTCCTACAGGCTAAAAGAAACTCCAGAATTACTCCTATTCTTTTTTTTCTTTTTTTGTTTTTTTTTTTGAGACCGAGTTTCGCTCCTGTTGCCCAGGCTGGAATGCAGTGGCACGATCTCAGCTCATCACAACCTCCACCTCCCGGGTTCAAGCAATTCTCCTGCCTCAGCCTTCCTGAGTAGCTGGGATTACAGGCACGTGCCATCATGCCCCACTAATTTTGTATTTTTAGTAGAGACGGGGTTTCTCCATGTTGGTCAGGCTGGTCTCGAACCCCTGATCTCAGATGATCCGCCCACCTCGGCCTCCCAAAGTGTTGGAATTACAGGCGTGAGCCACTGCGCCCAGCCAATCCTATTCTTAAAGAACACCACTTACTGAGTATTGCATTTTCTTCTATAAATTCTTCAGCATACACTGAGAATACACCATATGGACTATTTTTACGCTTTTAATTTTGGGTTTTTTTTATTTTGGCTAAGGAAATTGCAATTAGATTTAGGACTTCATTCTGTTAGGTTAGTATTTTCTAGTAAACTTCAGCGTAAGCAAAATAAAATATGTGTTGTTGCTCTGGACTGAAACCCCTCAAAACCATATTTTAAAAATTACAAAAAAAAAATTAACTGAAATCAAGTTTTTAAAAACCTTGTAGATGAAAAGATATGATATCTAGTACGTCTAAGTACCTATTTCAATGGTTCCCAAAGTGCGGCCCTCAGACCCCCAAGTCCAAACTATTTTGACAGGAATATTAACATGGTGACATTTGCTGTAAGTGTGCAAATACAATGGTGGGTAAAAATGCTGGTACTTTAGCACAAACAAAGGCAGTAACACCAAACTACTACTAGTAGTCATGGTATTCTTCACTATGAACAGGAAAGGTTTAAAAAGGAAGGGTGGGTGGGGCATGGTGGCCTACGCCTGTAATCCCAGTGCGTCGGGAGGCTGAGGTCGACGGATCACCTAAGGTCAGGAGTTTGAGACCAGCTTGGCCAACATGGTGAAACCCCATCTCTACTAAAAATACAAAAATTAGCTCGGTGTGGTGGTGCATGCCTGTATTCCCAAATACTTAGGAGGCTGAGGCAGGAGAATCACTTGAACCTGGGAGGCAGAGGTTGCCTTGAGCTGAAATTGCACCTATGTAACTCCAGACTGGGCAACAGAGCAAAACTCCGTCTTCAAAAATAAAAATAAAAAGGAAGGGCAACAAAAGGTTAGTTTCATTTAAGAATGTCTATGATAAGGTTGGGAATTTTGGCTCATGTCTGTAATTCCAGCACTTTGGAAGGCCCAGGCAGGGGGATCCCTTGAGCCCGGGAGTTCAAGACCTGCATGGGCAACCTGGTGAAACCTCATCTCTACAAAAAATACAAAAATTAGCTGAACACAGTGGCTGCATGCCTGTAGTCCCAGCGTCTTGGAAGGCTGAGGCAGGAGGATTGACTGAACCCAGAAAGTTGAGGCTGCAGTGAGCTGTGACTACGCTACTGCACTCCAGCCTCAGCGACAGAACAAGGCCATATCTCAAAAATTAAAAAAAAAAAAATGTCTATGATGAAGCAGTGAATATTTTACTATATCTAAATCCTTGAATATATCTTTTTAATATTTCAAGTGATGAAATGGGAAGTATACATGAGCATTCCTACAGGCTGCCTGAGAAAAAAACCCTTGAGTGACTAAGTCATGAAGTGAATTAACCACTTTAATGGAATACCATTTTTACTTGAAAGGCTGACTGACAAAAAATGTTATTTTAACTCGCATTTCTGGCAGATATTTTCTCAAAACATGAGATTCTGTCATTTCAAGGAAAACAACAGACAGGCTATAATAAAATTCAATAACAAAATTACTAATAAAATTCAAGCTTTTGAACAAAAAATTAGAATTTTAGAAAACTTATGTCCACCATCACTTTCCAAAAGTATTCTGATGAGATTGATGGTGGTATTGATGAATGTATTTTGATACTGTACAATCAAATGTATCAACATGTAGAAGATCCTAGTGAACCACTATTTTATAAGTGACCAATGCACGATGTTGTAATATCATGCAAGGGTGGAAGATCCAAAGTTCAAGAAAAACCAAGATTTGATGGAGTATCAAAAAAGAAGCCTAGGCAACATGGCAAAACCCTGTCTCTACAAAAAATACAAAAAGTTAGCCAAATGTGGTGGTACACACCTGTAGTCCCAGCTACTCCGGAGGCTGAGGTGGGAGGATCACCTGAGTCCCCGGAGACTGAGGCTGCAGTGAGCTGTGATCACACCACTACCTTCCAGCCTGGGCAACAGGGCAAGACCTCATCTCAAAAAATATATATATATCCACAATGATCTAAAATGTTATCTGTATGAGATTGGTCTTTGTTCACATTTTTTCAAGAAAATATCACACAATAAATTGAATGCAGAAGCAAACTGACATATCAATTTGCTAATGACATGTCAAACATCATGCAAATGACATATCAAACATCAAAAAAATTTGCAAAAGGTGTAAGATTGTACTACTTTGGGTTTAGAAATTTTCTTTTCATAAAAGCATTTATAACAATATGTGGTGAGCTTTTAAAGAATATTTTAAATATTTCTGATTTAATTTCTAGTGATAAATACCAATAGATATACCCTACATAAACCAAAGCTCCTTGGGCCCTCAATGTATTTTTAAGAGTGTAAAGGAATCCTGACCCCAAAACTTGGAGAACTGCTGCCTTCCCCTCCACTTTCTTGCTTCCCTAGAATTTCTTCCTTGGAAGAAACATCCTTTTGCCATTCTATATTAACTTACATAGTTCCACTGAGGCAAGTTTTGCTACCTCCCTCCCATCTTTCCACCTCTCTCTCAACACAAAGCCTGACCAAAGGATTCTACCAGCCCACCCCATTTCCAGTGATTAGCTGTCAGGTGGGCTAAGCCAAACAAATCTGGGTTTTCCCTGAGACTAGACCTCTCTTTCTGGGAGAGATGGAATCACAGGGACAAGGTTGGCCACCTTGGGGTAGTGAGAATTCATCCTGCCTAAACAGGGAGAATTCAAACAAGTTTCTAGAAAGCCAAACTACTTTCTAGAAAGTCAAAGATAATTATATTTTTTGCCATGACTGTAAGAATGCCCATTTCATTGCACACTTTCTAACATTTTTACCAATCTGATAAATAAAAGCTGGTACTGAGATGAAAAAAAGGCTGGGCACAGTGGCTCACACCTGTATTTCCAACACTTTGGGAGGCTGAAGTGGGCAAATCACCTGAGGTCAGGAGTTCAAGACCAGCCTGGCCAACATGGTGAAACTCCGTCTCTACTAAAAATACAAAAATTAGCCAGGCATGGTGGCATGCGCCTGTAATCTCAGCTACTCGGGAGGCTGAGGCAGGAGAATTGCTTGAACCCAGGAGGTGGAGGTTGCAGTGAGATCACGCCATTGCACTCCAGCCTGGGCGACAAGAACAAGACTTCATCTCAAAAAAAAAGAAAAAAAAAGTTCCCATACAATATAATTTCTTCCATCTCTGGAAACAAATTCAGCAATGAGAACTGAAAGTCACCACGTGGAAGGTTTCAAGGATTTACGTCTACCTACTGATGTCTAAAGCATTAGTTAAGTTACAAAAAAATACGCACACACACACGCACGCACACACACACATACCCGTATGTATTCAGTACCAGAAAACATGACTGACTACATGGTAAAGTCATCCAACAGAAAGCACACAATAACTGAAGGCAATGTAGAGGAGTAAGTTATAACATGGATCTACAATACTGTTGAGTGAAAAAGCAGATTACAAACAAATATCTGATTTTTAAGGGAGAGGAAACATATATAAGCACAGGAGAAAAGAGGTGAGCAGATGACTGGAAAGATACAAATTTCTGACAGTGGCACCTTCTGAGTGGTAGAATTACATAGGTAATATTTTCTAGTTTTGCCTAAAAGTTTTCTAAATTTCTTAAAATAAGAAGGTTTTGTTTTCCATATTACAAAATATCCATCACCCCAGGAAATTTAACCTTCGGCACAAACTCTACATGTTCAAAGTTTGTTCAGTTGAATATTTAAGAGACAATCTATTTTGAAAGACATTTAAAATGACCAATATTTAAACCTATGCATTAATATTTTTCAATCACGTTTTAAATTTTGTAATTTTGATAAGTTTTAGATCCATCTTGAAAAGATAAATTTTCTGTTTGTCTTTAAAATATTACCTACAATATGCCTGTTTTTATACAGTTAATGGTGCTCAAAAATCGCAATATAAATTCAGGCAGTGTTCCTTCTATAGAATGTGTAAGTGCTTCTAATACTGCTCTTTTTCACCAGTTATGAAAACACGGAACAATTATCTAAGCATCTAATTATTCAGGTCCTTTGTTTCTCCTCCATTCTGTTAGTTTTATACTAATTTCAAGGCCTGTGAAGATGAAGTTGTCTGTGACAGCTACCACAAAGGTTACTATAAGCAGACAAATTTCCAGCAAGTTTATCACCACTACCATCCCACCATAAAACTGTCTCAATCAAGGGCAACACAATTCAAGGTTAGTCAAGACAACCTCTTTACCTGTCACTGCTTAAGAAAAGGATTTTTTGGTCTTATTTAGAAATAACTTTATCTATTTTTCTCCATAATTCCACTGAGACCAATGTGTGCCTCTATCTCAAGCACCAGCAAGCAAAACTGCCTGCCAGTATGTTCAGTTTTTGTATCTTTCCAAATGTAGGGCACAGCTATCTTTTGATATCATAATTTTTTGAAAACTGATGCACAAACTTCTTCTTGAAAGTTCAGCCAGGTGCGGTAGCTCACACCTGTAATCCCAGCACTTTGGGAGGCTGAGGCAGGCTGATCACGAGGTCAGGAATTCAAGACCAGCCTGGCCAACATGGTGAAACCTGTCTCTACTAAAGCTACAAAAATTAGCCAGGTGCGGTGGCAGGTGCCTGTAATCCCAGCTACTCAGGAGGCTGAGGCAGGAGAATTGCTTGAACCTGGGCAGCAGAGGTTCCAGTGAGCCAAGATTGCACCACTGTACTCCAGCTTGGGTGATAGAGTGAGACTCCATCTCAAAATAAAAAATAAAAAAAAGAATTTCAGATATACAGCAGCTGTAATTCTTCTGAAGGCTGCTTATGGGACACATTACTTTCATAATTTGCTGTTCAATAAATGTGGGGTGGAGAATAAAGTAAATTGACAGAATTACCATATAAAATAAAATTCTAAGTCCTCTGACAACAAAAGAAACCACACACACACACACACACACACACACACACACACACACACACACACACACAGCTTTCCCTGCTAATCATTTTACAACAACCAAGTAGCTAACCCAGAGCCCACAAAAGCAGAGTAAAAATTCTAACACTTGGTAAAATAAAAATGCACATATATCCCTGTCATCTAAAAAAAAATGCTTACATATTCAAAGACAGCAATTGTAGCTACTGAGAACATCATTGTAAGCAAACTGAGGCAGAGAAAACAAACGTGCTGATGAGGATTTGAAACACCTAAGCTGCAGAAACCCACTGGATGGTTTCCTAGGTTCCGAGTTAGCATTATCTTTCAGAACGATCTTCTAGAAGAGATCACATAACACTGTTACAAAGGATCTGGAGAAAGGGACCCTGGCTTCATCACTCTGGCTCTCCAGTCATGCTTTACATTTTCACTTCTTACACTCTCTTTCATAGGAAGTCAATTTACAGGCCTCCATCAAGCCCTTAGAGACCTTTTTGTACTATCCATGACAAGTTCTTGATGTTATGTCTGCACTTCTGACAAATTCTTAGCAGTTAACTTACAAGGCAGTTAAGGTTTTTGTTCAAGCACAATATAGCTAGAATAGGGTCATACATTCAATAAAACAAATATTTACCAAGCATTTATTGAGTGGAAGATAAAAAGCACAAAGCATAATTATAAAACATTCTCCCCTGCCACCATAAAAATTTTTTTTAAAGCCTTACAGAATACAGCATAACATAACCAAAGCAAAAATAGTGAGGACTAAAGAGGGGAGGAAGGGGAAATATCAGCATGAATTAAATATGACCCAGAAGAGCCTTGATGGTCAGACACGTAAAGACAAATTGGGTAGGGTTAGGGGGTGGCTGTCAGGGGCACATTCTACAGGGGAAAAACAGCTGATACAGAAGCCTGAAAGAAAAAGCGGGCAGAGCACCTGGACAGGACTCTTACCTGCTGCATCCAGGGTACAATGCGCCTTTCCAGAACACAGCAGCGACCCGGGATAGAGGGATCGCTCAAACAGCACCAGAGGCTGCATTCCAACTTTTCCTCCATCAACGAGTCCGTTTTCATTGTTAGTTTCTCCTTAAACACGATTGGCTGAACATGCGGGAACAAGGAAAACCTGACTGAAGAACGAGGCATTTAAGCTTAAGGGCCTTGGATCTGGGCGCGGTGGCTCAGGCCTGTAATCCCAGAACTCTGGGAGGCAGAGATGGGTCATTTGAGGTCAGGAGTTCGAGACCAGCCTGGCCAACATGATGAAACCCCGTCTCTACTAAACAACACAAAAGTTAGCCAGGCGTGGTGGCGGGCTCCCGTAATCCCAGCTACTCGGGAGGCTGAGGCAGGAGAATCGCTTGAACCCACAGACTGTCAAGAGATGGAGGCTGCAGTATGCCGAGATCGCTCCACTGCACTCCAGCCTGGGCGACAGAGTGAGACTCCATCTCAAGAAGCGCCTGCCACCATGCCCGGCTAATTTTTGTATTTTTAGTAGAGACAGGGTTTTACCATGTTGGCCAGGCTGGTCTAGAACTCCTGACCTCAGGAGATCCAGCTGCCTCAGTCTCCCATAGTGCTGGGATTACAGGAATGAGCACTGCGCCCGGCCAAAAAACCGAAAATCTTAAAGGCCTTTCCCCTTCCCTCACTGGGCTCAAACAACAGCGGGAGCCGCCCTGCCACTCCCCGTCGCGGTCCAGGGGAGCAGGCTAGCTGACTGAGGGCGATCATGGGCCCCAAAAGGTCTGCGGGCGACGCGGGCTCCCACCTCAGGGCGCAGCGACTGGGGCGAGAGGTGCCGGCAGCCCCCAAGCCAGCCCCGCGGCAAGGAGCCAGAGAGACGCGCCCTCCCCCTCCTCCCACGCAAGCCTCACACAGCGGGGCGGGCCAGACGCGGGAGAAAGGGGCGCGCTCGCCCCGCCTGGGGAACCGGGGCCTCTCCCGGGCAGGCTCGCCTTTGTCCCGGGACTCTGGGCGCCTCCTCTCCGCCCTCGCCCTGCCCCGTGAGGCCGCCACTGGGCGCCTCACCGTGATGTTGCAGTGGAGCGTGAGCTGCGGCGGCGGCTCCTGGTTCTTGTGGAAGATAGAGGCCAACAACTTCAGCTTGGCCTTGAACCCTCACACGGACATTTTACTCTCACCTCTGGCGGGAGGGGCGCGGAAGGTGAGCCCGTCGGGAGCCGCTGTCACGGCCGCAACCACCCGCGGGACCTCTCGGCGGCGCTCTCCCAGCTCCGCCTCTCCCTGATGCCTCAACTCTAGTCGGAGTAGGGCTGGAAAATGGCAAGGGGCACCGAGGCCTCTGCGGGGAGCTGTGTGGCGGCCTGGGCGGCTGCTCCCCTTGTAACAGACTCCACCGACAGGAGGCGCTGCTCCTGTCAAGCCGCAGCTTAAAAGGGCAACAGCACCACAGCCCCCGCTATCGCCTGGGAAAGGGCTGCCCCTACCCCGCTCCCGTCCCTCTCGCCCCTCACACCCGTCGCCCCTCACCCCTCAACCCGCGCGCCCCCTGCGCACCCGTTTCGGCGGCTGCAGGAGTCCAGAGCATGCGCGCGCTTCCGGCTGCCCCTCCTGGCCTTGACCCAGCACTGCTGGACCCATCTGGTCCGTTCTTCACACTCGCGGACTGGAGGCTCCGGGCAGCACAACCACCAACTCGTGTGTGTGTTGGGGTGGGGGTGGGGGGCAGAAAACCACCAACTCGTGTGTGTGTGTGTGTGTGTGTGTGTGTGTGTGTGTGTGTGTGTGTGTGTGTGTGTCTCCCAAGGGAACAGCACTGCTGAGTTCAGGCTATCAGCTCATGGACTGTCAGCAAAATACAGTCACAAGAAGGCTATGTGCTGTTTTGTCTCTTGCAGTGACGTCATGTTGCTCATGTTTTATGTTTTTCAGAGTTCATTAGTTTCTGTTTGCTCTCAGTTAATATCCAGCTCAATAGATTGTGTAAGTAGAATACCCCCAAACTGAAAGTCACCTACATAAAATATAGTGAAAAATATGTCACCCACTTAAACTATAGTTGAAAATATGTACTCATTAGTTTTGTGTAGCCAACACTGGATAATGGGTAAGGGGAAAGGATCCCAGGGCTAGACTGCCTGGGTTCAAGTTCCGATTTCCTGCTGGCTGTGAAATACTTGACAGCGTTCAGCCTCTGTTTCTTTTCTTTTTTTTTTTTTTAGCTTAATCCCAAATATGATAGTAAGTCTCAGTTTCTTGATCTGAAAAACAGAAATTATTCAATGACAGTCTATGTGAAAACTTTAAAGTTTTCAAAGCCACTATCTAGCTTAGGAAAGTCCTCAGCTTTAGGGGTTAAAGTTTTTAAAACCACTGCCTGGTTCAGGAAAGCCCTCAGCTGTAGCCATTATTAGCTATGATTATTATTGTGGTGGCTACACATACATTAATGAGGCAGGAAAATGCTCAAGGATAACAAGCAAGTATCCAGATTATCTCATCAGACCAAGACAGATGCATATGCATGCATGATCATGTTTTAGCTCAGAGCCATTTGTCTAAAAGGCTCTTGAACTCAGAGGCCCAGGAGTATCAACTTTGCTTTGCAGTGGAGCCATCGCTTTTGTTAATCAATGAAATTGACATAATGCTCTTCTTTTTTTTTTCCTTTTTAGCACCAACCATGTGCCTAGAGCTAACTGTGTTAAGAAGAGCATGCTTCAAGTGGCTGGAGTGAGCAATTCAACTTGTGGAGGAATGAGAAGTGACAGTGTTGAGACAAGCAACATAAAACCCCAGGGTAAGGTAGAAATCACTGAAAGTCAGGCAAAGGAACTGGCGTCCAGTAATGAGTCAGGCTTTGCCAGCCTCTGGCCCTACAGATGGCTCTTTGCAGAGGAAAAAATTAAGCCAGGCCCGAGGGCACAGATCCTAAGGGAATGCTGGCAGCTCTAGGCTGTCTATGAGAGTCCAGAGATGCTGCTTCACCCTGGGGCTTTAGGCAAGTCCCTTTCCCTCCCAGAGCCTCAGCATCCCTTCTAGCAAATGACGTTCTGCCTTTCTCCTAGGATGGCTGTGGGGATCAAGGGAGACAGTGGCCATAGGGATACTATGTTAACTGCAGATGCGGCTGTAGGAGCACTTTGCTAACTTCCAACGTGAGTTCAGACTCTTCAGGCTATTTGGCACCCAGATCTATGGTGAGGTGTGACATATGGGATGTAAAGTTTGATGCCTGCTCCGACTCCAGTCTTGCTAACACACACGAAACCTTTGGTAAATCATGACCCTGCCTTGGGGAAAAGGGCAGTCTGGGAGAGCTTCTTCAAGGCAGCCTGGCTTCAATGCAGTCTGGGGCATGACTGAGATAGGCATACGTGGTGAGGAACTGGAGGGCAACTGGGTAAAGAGCTGCAGTGTGGGCAGAGGTGTAGTGTGGGTCACATCGCGGATAGCCACTGGCCAAAGCAGGGAACAGAGACAGAATGAGGAAGAGCTCTGTGGGGAGGGTGGGGCACAGGGTGGAGAACCTTCAAAGTCCAAAGAGTATGACTTGTTGGGATTCAACGCTGTAGGCAGTAGGGAGCCATGGAAGGCTCTTAGGTGGAGAAATGACAGCCGGACATTAGTGAGCAAGCCCTGTCTCCCTGAGCAGCATGGGTGGTCCTCTGAGCACGCCAGGCACGAGTGTGCAGGGAGCTGGTGCAAATGCCTCTGTGTGCGGGTGAGCATCTGTGTTGTGACTCTGCCCACGCATGTGCTTCAGCGTGCCGAGTGGCTGCACGCCCCAGATCCATGCGGCACGTGCCGGCCGGTGAGGGTGCTGGGCATTGGGAGGTGGCGGGGAGGGCGACGTATGCGTGTTGTTTGTGGGCATGTGTTAGAGTGTGCATGCGGGCCGTGGGGCCTCACAGCATGTGTGTGCACACTCCGGCATGTGCGTGTGTCCCCCACCCCCAGGCCTGCCCCACCCATGCATGTGACCTGCCATGTGATTTGAAGCTGTCTTTCAGAATCACTATCAGTGGCCCCTGAGGAGCGTCAGCCATGGTAGGTACATGCCTCACTGCCTGCTGCATGAATGGTCTGCCTGCCCCGCTGCCCCAGCTCCACACAGGGGGCATACCTGGAGCCTCAGAGCCAGGCTCCCTGCCCCTCCCTTCTGGAGCTGCAGACTTGCTCTTTCCTCTTTCTGTCCTTGTGCTGCTGGCTGTCTCACTTTGCTCCCTGTGAGCCATGGGACTCAGTGCCACTGCTCAAGGTCTCCATGGCTGAGCCTGGGGGCTCTTACAACAGGCTCCATGCCCAAGGTGGCAGTTGTGGAACCATCAGAGAGGGCACAGAGCTCATGGTTTATGGTGTAGGGGCTGGGAGCTTGGAGGGGGTTGTGTGGGGGGCTGGACTCAGGCGGCCAGAGGCCTGGGAACATCATCCTGGGCACGCCGTACCTGTCACGCAGTCTGAGTCATGCTGCCAGGGCAGGTATCCAGCTCCCAGCCTGGGAGTGCCAAGAGCCAAATCCACGGCAGATTAGGGGTGATAGTCACGGTCCCACGTCCTCTATCTGTC
Source organism: Homo sapiens (assembly GCF_000001405.40). Classification (NCBI taxonomy): domain Eukaryota; kingdom Metazoa; phylum Chordata; class Mammalia; order Primates; family Hominidae; genus Homo; species Homo sapiens. Next base: position 84,169,573 of record NC_000015.10, on the reverse strand, counting down.
AGCAATCCAGTGGTGATCTAGGATAAAAGCCTGAGAGTCCTATACACGCGGTCATCCCACAACACACTTCATAGGCCATGGAAGGACACACAGCCCCCTTCCCTCCCTCCCAGGTACCATGATAGCTGCTAGCGTGCGACTGAAGGCAGGGTCCCTGGCCCCTGCTGAAGCACTACTGCTGGCCAGCAGGCTCACGCACCTTGGCCTGTTGCTTCTAGGGGTTGCCTGTGCTATTCAGCCAATAGTGCTGCTGGCCCAGCTGAGCTCCGCCTAGAGAGCTCACTTCCCTTTCCTGCCACGGAGTCTCCCTCTTCTGCTTTTCCCAGCAGGAAGGGCCCAGCCTCACCTATGTAACCTGCAGCCCCCCGCCAACCAGTTAAGGCTCCCCTCTTAGACTTAGAAGTCTATGGCCAATGGCATCCGGCTACCTGCCCTCCCTGCCTTCCCCAGGGTTCCTCAGAGGACCCTGGGCTTTCTGATGGCCCAGAGGGGCCTCTGGCATTCACTCCAGCCAGCCATCCCTTATAGCTCCACCATTTTGGTTCAATCAGTGTTCCTTCTCTATCAGGTCTGGTGGCTGTTGGATGGGGCTCTCCAAGCAAGAGGTGGCCCTGGGCCAGTGCGTTGGAAGACATGGGGACCACAGAAGAGGGAAGCCCGAGGGAGCTGGCATTGGTCTGAACTGTGGGTGGATGGGTGGATTGCCTGGGTTCCATGAGACAGGCCAGCGTGTGTGGGGTAGGGAGGGCCGCCGCAGTCCCCAGGCACTACCTATGAAGCTCCAGCTTCTCCCTCCATCTCCCTCCCCTTTCCCTTCCAGCCCCTCTTTTCCAGGAACCTTGCCACGCCCACACCTACGCCCTCCCCTCCCCGGCCCTCCACAGCTGCTGCAGCGCACCCATACTCTGCACTTGCCTCACCAGCTCTGGCTTTTCTCTAACCCGTTTTCTCTCTGCTTTCTCTCCAACTGCCAGCTGATCGGGTCAGGCAAGTCCATCCCGTCCTGAGAGCCCCAGGCCCCACTTCGACCTCTAAACACATCCCTCCTCTTCTCAGAGACCTCCCTTTCCAAGCCTGCCTGGGCGGGTGTCCTGTGACTTGACAGTGGCTCCCCCAGCCCCAAAGCCAGCCCCCTTCTTCTGTGACTTAGTCTGTTGTAGTGGTGAGCTGACACGTCCAGGTGTGACCGTTGCTGAAAACTTGTGCCCCCTCTGTGGTATGCCCCTGCCCTGTTCTATAAATAGCTATAAATTCTCTCTCTCACACACACACACACACACACACACACACACACATATATACATATATATACGTGGCCAACTGCCTCACCTCTAGCACTGGGAATCAGTCCCGTGCTGTGCTTGTGGAATCTTGTAGCCCAGCAAGAGGAAGCTGTCTCCTGACATCGCCCCTCCAAAGTGCACCACCTCCAGTGAGCTTCCGGGACATGCGCGGCCTGTGGACAGCCAGCCCCCGCCATCCCTCCCGCCCTTCTGGCCAAGCATGGCGGTGCTGTGCAGGCAGCTGTGTGGCCTGACAGTCTCTACCAGTCCTGCTGTCCCTTGGCTGAGAAACCCATTTCTGGATGACAGAGAATGTGTCCTCTGCTGGCTGTGTTCTCTATGGAGCTCAGGGGATGGAAAAGGCCAAGCCATTTTTAGGGTGCTGTTGGGAGCAGTGAAAAGGTCACACCCTTTTCAAGGGACACTTTTCCTGGAAAGTCCCTGGAGCTTAGCTGGCTCTTACCCTGTGAAGCCAGCTCTGGCCACTAAGGGACAGGGCCCTGAACTCAGCCTGGAGGGAACCTGCGGGGCAGCCGGCACTCTGGAGGGACAGACAGGCCACCCGGTGCAGACAGGAGAGGGAGGCAGGGGGACAGAACGGAAGACACCTGGGGTGGATGGAAGTCAGTGCCCTTGGGCACTGGTATCTGTCTTCCCTGCCACAGCTAGATCAGGCTTCTCAACCAGTTGGCTGTCAGGGCCAGAGTGTACTCCGTAGGCGCCATGGCAGTCCCCATGAAATCCACCAGGTGTCACCAGGCAGCATACAGGTAACAGGCCTGGAAGGTCCCCAACAGCCCAGCTGGACATGCTGAGACACTCTGGGGCTCCTCATTCAGTGGGACAAACTGCAGGACCCAGTGAGGGAAATGGGAACATACCAGGCCGAGCAGTATGGCTAAATCCATTTATTCCAAAATCAAAAGCAAAAAACAAAAAACAAAAAACAGGAGTCCCATCACCAGGCAGCCATGACCCCATCCCCGCCTGCTTCCTCGCTCCTATGCTAGCAATAAATAAGTTTCCCAGCCGCGAATAATTATAAGAACCTCTTCCTCATATGCCAGCTGCAACCTCCGCTAGGTACGATACAGAATGTTACACAGCTACAGTATGTACACGGGGGAAGGGGGGCCACCCCCAGCAGCCTGTGCCCTGGCCTGGTCTACAGTTAACTCCACTGTCCCGCCTCAGCTGCCTCTCTGAGTAAGAAGATGGGAGCCCCCCTGAGGGAAAAGTTGCTTTGGTGAGAGTAAGAAGGCCGTCAGACCTCCTCCAAACAAACCAACTCCACCAACCTCTGGCTCTTAAATAACAAACATCATCATCCAGAAATGTAAGGACTCAGCCTTGGTCAAGGTGGTAAAGGGTCTGTTTGTCTCCCTCCATTAGACAAGGGTCTTGTCTTGCTACCCTAATGGTAAAGGGCTGACTGGGGAGGGGTTGTAGGGACATGGTGGGGGTGAAGACTCCAGACCCACTTCTCCAGGCTTATGCTGACAGGGGCCTGCTTTTATTTATTTTTATTTTTATCCCATGACTTTTTTTAAATCCTGTAACTAATTTTTCATAACTTTTTAAAATAACTTTTCATAAAACTTTTTTTTTACTTTTTTTCCACAACTTTTTTTTGCCACTTTTCCACAGTATTTTTTTATCCTGTAACTTTTTCATCCCACAACTTTAATTTCTGTTAACTTTTTTAGTTTGTGTTCTTTTAATAAACACACTTACATAGTTACAATTTTGTAAGAATAAAAACCGATTACCTCATGCCAAGCATGCCGAGAATTTGCAGAGTCTCAATACCCAATACTATAGTTTTCAAGACACACAAAATTTTTAGGCAAAACAGCACCTTGAAACAATTTAATAATGTATTACATTACAGTAGCATCACAGCAGCAGTCAATAATGCCACTTTAGACAAAAATCAGTATTTCCATTATGCATTCTGTTTATAAGAATTCATAAATCGGTAAAAGTCATTCTAAGAAAACTTGGCAAATACAGCTTTGGACTGGAATTGGCATTTCTTTGTCTACTTTTCCTTCCCCTAGATTCTTTGTTTTAAACTACAGTATTCATATTTTAAAATGTTTTAAATTATTTTAAGATGTTAATATAGCAGTTACATTTTTGAATAGTTATTTGAAAGTGACTGTAAGATAAAGTTTTAGAGAATCTATTATGGATAGGGTTGATTTACATTTTCACATTTTCTAAAAATCAGCTTTGGTTTTAGAACTGATTGTTTTTCATTTTGGGAAAACCTACCAGGTTTAATCAATTACTTTAAAAATAATTATCATATTTTGCAGTCTTTAAATAGGTGTTTTGATTCTTTACTCCCTACAGAAATTCAAATTTATTCAGTTGAAGTCACATTTTAAAATTCTATGTTCCTGCTGAACTCTAACCTTCTAATGTTGCCTTCTAAGCAAATTAAAGGCTGCCTTATACTGAATGAGGTAGAGAACAAATACTTGGCTGAATGAGGTACTGCAAAAGACTGCATGCACTTTGAAGAAAGACTTGAGTTATTGTCATAGGATTTCCATTCTCTTTAGCTTTTTCTTAAACATATGACAAAATACCTACACAAAGAGTCGTATTTGAATTAATATAGTATATTTATTTTTCAGACTGACATTCATCTTAAATATGCCAGTATGTGATTTAATCCACAGGTACCTGATGAACACATTATTGTCAGATTGGTTACAGTTGCTAAACGCTATCTGAAGGTCATTCCTAGTCATTTATACGTGTCAGGGTAAAAGTGAAGCGATTTGAACTATAAAAATACCTTTGAAATAATTTATCAATGTATTAGATAAGCTCAGTTTCAGAATGATAAACAAAAACTGTTAGACCAAATAATGTGCTACTGGCAACCCAGGTGCCAATGCAGGGAGAGCCCAGCCGGGCAGCCCTCAGCAGGGACAGTGTATTAGTCTGTTTTCATACTGCTATAAAGAACTGCACGAGACTGGATAGCTTGTAAAAGAAAAAGGTTTAATTGACTCACAGTTCAGCATGTCTGGGGAGGTGTCAGGAAACTTACAATCACAGCGGAAGGTGAAGGGGAAGCAAGGAAACTTCACGAGGTGGCAGGAAGGAGAAGTGCTGAACAAGTAGGAAAAGCCCCTTATAAAACCATCAGATCTCATGAGAACTCACTCACTGTCATGAGAACAGCATGGGGGAAACCCTTCCCATGATCCACCAATTACGTCCACCTGGTCTCTCCCTTGACAGGTGGGGAAAATGGGGATAATTCAAGATGAGATTTGGGTGGAGACACAAAGCCTAATTATATCACACAAGGACCCCCCATCATCCATAACCAAGCCCTACTGTGTCCCTGGCCTCTCTTCCCCACCTCCGTCCTCTGCTCCCTCTGAGGCTGAGGAAAAGGAGCAGGCTGGTCACCTTGGGTGAGGCCAGGCACCTCAAGCCTCAATTGCCCTGCCTCTCCTCCCTGTAGTTCCACCCCAAGAGTGCTGGGCCCTGCCCACTGGGATGTGTCCTCCAAGGCCTTGCCTGAGTCTGGCCCTGCCTCCTTCAGGAGTGTGTGAGCCCCTGGGCCAGGCTAGAGGCCACCTCCAGGGAACTGTGGCAGAGGCAGGAGCCTGGAGAAAAGGAGGGGGAGAGGAGGCCCGTGGGCAGATGCTGGGCCGCCAGACCTCTGAGAGGGGCCTGAGCCAGTGCTCACGCCTGGGTCTGAGAGTCCCCTGTAGGACTCCATATGGGGCCAGATGGCAGGATATGACAACAGGGTGTAAGTCAGGCACCAGACCTTGAGTCTGCAGAGGCCCAGACAGGACCAGGCGCTTGCTCAAGATACCACAGAAGGTCTGGCTGCTCCAGGGGAAGGGAAGCCTGGTGTCTGTAGGGAAAAGAAAGAGAGATCAGACTGTTACTGTGTCTATGTAGAAAAGGAAGACATAAGAAACCTCATTTTGATTTGTACCCTGAATAATTGTTTTGAGATGTTCATTTGTAACTTTAGTTTCAACCCTGTGTTTACAGAAACACGTGTTGTATAGAATTAAGGTTTAAGGGATCTAGGGCTGTGTAGAATGTGTCTTGTTAATAATATGTTTACGGGCAGTATTTTTGGTAAAAATTATTGTCATTTTTCATTTTTGATTAACCAGGGGCACAATACACTGCGGAAAGCCGCAGGGACCTCTGCCCAAGAAAGTCTGGGTATTGTCCAAGGCTTTTCCCCACTGAGACGGTCTGAGATACGGCCTCATGGGAAGGGAAAGACCTGACCGTCTTCCAGTCCGACACCCATAAAGGGTCTGTGTTGAGGAGGATTAGTAAGAGGAAGGCCTCCATCTCTTGTATGCCCCTGGGAACGGAGTGTCTCGGTGTAAAACCCGATTGTACATTCGTTTTATTTTGAGATAGGAGAAAACCGCCCTGTGGCTGGAGGCGAGATATGTTGGCGGCAATGTTGTTCTGTTACTTTTTACTACACTGAGATGTTTGGGTGGAGAGAAGTATAAATCTGGCCTATGCATACATTTACGCATAGTAAAAAAAAAATTTTTTTTAATTTTATTTTTATGGATAGGGTGATTTTAAGTTTTTATAAATTTGGTTTAGTTTTTTAGTTAAATTATTATTATAGGCTGGATTAATGGGCCAGATGGATGGGGCCTGCGAACACGAGTGAGTTTGGCCCATAGAATTACAATATAATTGGTTTTGAGGGGCCTAGTTTATAATAGTTTTGAATTTATTGTTTTGTAGTATTATTGTAGTATTAGTTATACATTTTTTTAAACTAAGACTTTTGGATCTTTTGATTTTTTAGGGGCAAGGTTTTTTTTTAGGTTTAGATTTTAATGATTTTTGAAAAGAAGAGTTTTGTAAATTATTTGTGGTTTGAGTGACATTTTACTTACTATGTGACAAGTAAATTTATTGGTATTGATAGTAGGTACTTTTACTAATTTTGGGTTGTAGGTATTAAATATTTTGGTGTCTTTTTTAGGCAAATAGGATAATAATATTTAATGGAAATATTTATATTATTATTATTTTTAGGTTGGGCAGGGCAACGATTATTTGTGGGGCCTGGTACCCATGTATTATTAATATATATTTTAATAGGATTATTTATTTATGTGACTGTTTGAATTAAGGGTGGGAAAGGTACATAGGCTTAGTATAATTAGTTGTAGTTGTTTTTGTAGACATGGGGATACTTACTATTGTTGATATAATTATTAAAGCCATAAACAGTATTTTTTTGGAGTTTGTGTCACTTTTGTGTTTTTTTGGGTTTTTTTTTAGTTAACTGTGTTAGTTTTTTTAATTGTGTTTAAGTTGGTGGCTTTGTTTTTTTGGTGGACGGCGACTTTGTTTTTTTTGATGTTATTATTTTATTTGGTGAGTTAATGATGCTTGATTGTGGTGTTTGTATTTTTGTGGAGGTGGGTTTTTGTATTTTTAATGGGTTTATTGTAGAATTTGAAATGTTTAGTGGGTATTTAAACAGGAAGTTGATTTTTTTTTTTTTGGTGAAACACAAGTAAAGCTTTTTTTAATGTTTTTATTTTTTATGTTTTTTAAATTAAATTAGTTTTTTTATGTGGGTTTTTTTATTAGTAAAATGTTGTTTTGTAGAAGTAGTGGTCTGATTTTTATATATGTTAAAAAAGTTTAGAGTGTTAGATTAAGTTGTATTGGGGGAGTGTTATGCTTTTTATTCTTTAATTGAGTTTTGAGTGTTAGTTTTTTAAATTATGGTTTGTATTTGGGAATTATAGGGGATTTTTGTTGTATGTGTAATTTTTTGTTGATTTAAGAATTTTTGAAATGTTTTATTACACTATTTTGGCCTATTATTTAATTTTTTTGGAACTTTTATGACAGTAAAACAAGATAATAAATGTTTTTTAATATGGGAAGTACTTTTGTTTGGTAGGTTGTTTATATAAAATGTGAATAAGTATTAACTGTTGTATGGACAAATGACAATTTTTCAAATGAAGGTACATGTGTGATATTTATTTGTCATAACGAATTAGGACATAGACTTTTGGGATTAACTTTTGTTTTTTGAGTGGGCAGGTGTAGAATTTGACACTGGGTGTAATGTTGTACAATATTTTTTGTTTTTATGTGATATTAAATTTATTTTTTAGTTTTGTTGTATTTATATGAGTTAAGGCATGAAGTTTTTGTGTTTTTATGAATGTAGATGATACTAGTAAATTAGTTTGTTTGTTTTAGTTAAAGGCCTTGGTAAATTAGTGTGTGTTTGAATATGAGTAATATAAAATGGGAAATTTTTTTTTTTACCGTTTGTTGTAACAAATTAAATAGTTGGTTTAACTGATTATATTTGATATTTGATTAGGGCTGTTTTAACTTTTTTTGTAGTTTGTATTATATATGTAGAATTTGATACAATGTTAATAGGCTGATTAAAATTTTGTAATATTGTAATGACAGTAGCTAATTTTGTTTTTTGAGTTAAGTGACATTGAGTTTTAATGACTTGTTTTTTTGGTCTGGTGTAAGTTGTTTTTTTATTGTTGGAACTATTAGTAAACACCGTTAGAGTATTTTTTAAAGGTTTATGTTTGGTAATTTTAGGTAAAATTTAAGTAGTCAATTTTAAAAACTGGAAGATTTTTGTTTTTGGGTAATGATTGTCAATAATTTTTTATAAAATTAGTAAGACCAATTTGTTATATTCCAGAATTGATAAAGGCTTGTTTAATTTGTTTTTTGTTTAAAGGAACAATTATTTTATTTGGGTTATTTTTATATAATTTTATTATTTGTAGTTTTGTCTAATTAATGTAGTCATTTGATTTAAGTACAATGTAAGTCTTAATTGTGCTATAAGGAAGGAAGGACCACTTCATAAGATTTGTATTTTGAACAATAATGTCTGTTGGAGAATGTGTAGTAGTAAAAATTAAAAGTTGGAGTGGGGCTAAGTGATTCATTTTATTTATTTGGGTTGACTGAACTTTTTTTAATTAATTTTTTTAGTTGTCTTTGGAGTTAATGTTCATTATTTAATTTTGGATTTTTTTTTAAGATAGAGAACAAATTTGACATGGCATAAGTAGGGATGTCTAGAGTTGGCCGAGTTTAATATTTTTTAGTAATTTTTGAAAGTTATTTAATGTTTTTAATGTTTAATTTTTATTTTTTGTGGTTTTTTTTAACTTACATTTTTAAGTAATGGAAAGGATTAGAGGTTTGAATTTTATTAGATATTATTGTCAGTCTTGTGTTGGTAACCTTTGCTTGTAGAAATGTGTAATAGTTAATTTGTTTTTGTTTTTGTAGTATACAAAATATTATTAATATAATGAATAACAGTTTGAAAACTTGTGTTTAACTGGTTGAAGAGTTTGAGTTACAAAAAAGTTTGACAAATAGTTGGACTATTAAGTATTTTTTGACGTAACACTTTTTACTGAAACCTGGTGGCTGGTTTTTTATTATTTATGGCTGGTATAGTAAAAGTAAATTTTTTTAAATTTTGTTTTGTCAGAAGAATGGTAAAAAAGTAATCTTTTAGATTAATTATAATTAAAGGCCAATTTTGGGGGATTATGGCCTGAGAGGGCAACTCAGGTTGGAGACTCTCCATGGGTTGAATTACGGCATTAATGCTTTTAAGTTGGTTAGTATGTGTCATTTGTTGGATTTTTTTTTTTTTGAATTATAAACATAGGAGAATTTTAAGGCGAAAATGAAGGCTCAATTTTTTTTTAAATTTTTTTGTTAATAAGTGTAAAGTTTTTAGTTTGTGTTTTGGTAGTGGCCACTGATTTACTTATATAGGTTTTTTTGTTTTTTAAGTTAATGGAATGGGTTTTGGAGGCTTTACAGTGGCCACTTTTAAAAAGGATACTTTATTTTTTTTTAATTTTTTTTAGTCTTAATTGAGACTTCAGTGTCTTTTTTTTTTTTTTTAGTTTTTTGTCAGGGAGATATTTCATTTTAGTCACGATTTTTTGACTTGTGGGGCTGTATAGGAAGGCTGGGATAGGGCAGGGATGGAGCTTGGAGGAGGGCTAGAGCTCTGAGGGGGAGGATCAGAGGGGCTTCCTGGAGAAGGAAGACACAGGAGGGGTCCCCAAGGTAGGGGTGTTCAGACAGGCTTAGAAGGGGAGGGCCACGAGCAGGACAGGCTCAGGCAAGGCAGGAGGTGGCCGGAGTCAGACCTCCTGATGGGGGTGTGTGGGAACTTCCGACCAGAGCCCGTGAAGGCCCCACTGATTGGAGAGTCCACTACTGACCTCCCCCTCCACCCAGGACAGAACCGAAACCAGTGCCAGCCTCATCCTGGCGGGAAATTCCTGTTATCCTAACATTCGGGTGAGGTTGGTCTGGGCCCCCTCCCTCCACCTCAGACTGGGGCCTGCAAGTCAGGGTCCTGTTTCACCCACAGTCATCCCAGGGCAGGGGTGGAGCCCCACCCCACCCTGGGCCCCAGCAAGCAGCCCTGAGCCAGATTTCCCCAGGTTCCAGCCTCCGTCAGCACAGAGCGGGCTCTTTGTAGAGGGCTCTCTGCAGCGGCGGGCTGGCTCAGGGGTGCCAGCACGGTTGGCAGTGTTCTCAGCTTTTCGCTCTTGCAGGGAGTGGTTCTCCCACCCAGCATGCTCCGGTGACCAGGGTGACCTGAGCAGCTGTGACTATCCTGTCAGCTGAGCCGCCAGGTGGTCACAGGAGAGGAGGCTGTGGCAGGCTCTCCCTCTGTCTCCCACAGCCCTGCTGCCCCTGGGCCACTCTGGCACCCCCGTCATGGGAACCGAGGGTAATGGTGGGGTAGCCCAGTGGACTTCATAGCCTAGACTGCACCATGTACATGGTACTTCATGGGAGGTAAGGAACATGCTGGAGCCAGCAGGCCCACCTGCCTCAGCCCCTCAAAGAAGGACCCCCCAAGAGGAGGGTGGGTCAGGCATAAGTCACCATCATAAAGAGGAATTTGTGAAACTCCAATGTTTTCGGGGGCTCAGCCCGCGCTGGGGAGGGAAACTGTCTGCTTGCAGGCTGGGTGCTTTGCATGTAAATGGGTCCTGCCGTTCTTCGGCTCCACAGAGGGAGAGATGCGCACTGTGTGGATAGGGCTCCTCGTGGTTTTTTTGTTTTTTGTTTTTTTGGGACGATTCTTGCACTGTTGCCCAGGCTGGAGTGCAGTGGTGCGATCTCAGCTCACTGCAAGCTCTGCCTCCGGGGTTCATGCCATTCTCCTGCCTCAGCCTCCCAAGTAGCTGGGACTACAGGCGCCCGCCGCCATGCCCGTCTACTTTCTTGTATTCTTAGTAGAGATGGGGTTTCACCGTGTTAGCCAGCATGGTCTCATCTCCTGACCTCGTGATCCGCCCGCCTTGGCCTCCCAAAGTGCTGGGATTACAGGCGTGAGCCACCACACCTGGCTGGCTCCTCGTGTTTTAAGAGAACTTTAAAATGCAGAATTTGTGGTGGAATCTCCCAGGTTTTAAATGTTGACAACCAGGTCAAATTTCAAAAGAACGTGTGGTTTAAACAAAACACATCCAGGAACCATACTGTGCGCCAGGAGATGGAAGCAAGGCATCCATGGTGCGGCCCAATTTTCCAGTGCTTCCTCAGCCCCGTATCAGCCTGTGCACCTGTGGGAACCCCGGCATGCCAGACGGGGGAAGCAGGCCTCAGGACCCCAGATCCCCAAAGACAAGGCACCACACTTTATGGCTCCTCCAGCATTTTCCAAAGGGTGGTCCAGAGAAACTTGTTCCTGGAGTTATTCATAGACATTCCTTATTTAGAGCCAAAACACTCTGGGAACCTCGGAGTTAAATAAATCAAAACAGACTTCTTTACTCCAGAACCTCTGGGAGCCTTTCACCTGTTACAGTGCCTTGTGAGTATCCGGGAGGCAGAGGCTGTGCAGTGCTTCCCAAACCAATTCCACATGGAACCCATTTTCAAGGCATACCTGTTAATTCCAGAAAGACGCTACTGCCCCATAGAATGCGGTTCTAGAAGTGGAGCTCAACACACCACTCCACCCATTTCACAGACTCAGCCATCCCAGGGTGGTGGGAGCCCAGGCTGGGGTAGGGAGGGGCAGAGGAGCTGCCAGACTGTCAGACGCTGGTCAGGAGGACAGCAGCAGCACCCAGGAGGAGCAGACTGAAGGAGCCAGACCCCCTAGGAGGCCCCTGCTGTCATCCAGGGGACAGGGAAGGGGTGGAGCCAGGCCTGAGGCAGGGAGGTGGGTGCAGAGTGGATGCCTCCCAGGGAGATTTTACAAGTGGAAGGAACAGTCAGAACTTGGTGACTGGAAGGCTGTGTGGAGTGTAGGGGAGGGAGGAGGCGAGGAAGAGACCGGGTGAGGGCTAAATGGGCAGAGCTCAGATGGAGACTCTGGGACCCAGGGGAGGGGTGCTCAGAGCCCAGGCTGGGGACCAGTTCCCTCCACCTCCCCTGACCCACAGCCCATCTCAGGGAGCTAGGCTCAAGCAAACTTCAGCCACCTGGAGTTCCCATGGCGACCACGGGAGAGGAGCCCCAGAGGACCTGGGCAAGCAGGAGGAGGAGAAGCAGGTCAGGGCACCAGGGGCTCAAAACCCGACCACCCACTTTTTGGTTAATCCCCACTGCTCTGAGCATTCTCACTAAACAAGTTAGGCTGGTGGTTAGTAGTCAGCTCTTCCCACCCTGCTACCGAGCCGGGCCTTTGTTCCGGTGGTTCTATTCTCTCTGGGATGTTTCCAGCAACCCTGGAACCAACCACACATTAAAATCTCACCTTGTGGCGCAAGTCAAATATCCCCCGCTACATGAAGCATCCCCAACTCCTCAGCCAGAGCTGAGTTCTCCCTTCCCTGCGCACCTCATGCTCCTTAGAGCCTGGTATTCGGGCATCTGAGGAGTCTATGTCTCCCCTATGAGACCCTCAGCTCCTCCAGAACAGGGTCTCAGTCCTGTTCGTCTGGTTCCCCCATAAGCCCAGCCTGGTGCTGGGCATACAGCAGGCATTGGTGCAGCCTGGGCGGGGTAGGTGGAGCCGAGGCAAGGGTCGACTGTGAGCAGGGCTGCTGATGCCATCTCAGTTGCTAGTTTGCCTGTGGTTGAGGCCCCTGCCTGCTTCCCACCCTGAACTAAGGAAGACTGCCTCACCCCCAGGTCCCCATGGCTCCTGGTTGCCCTGCAGAAGGCAATGAGTATCTGACCCCAGAGGCCAAGCCTAGGACATGCAGAACCTCTGGCCTGATCATAAACAACTCAGGCCAGACTGTCACCCTAATAACTTGGGGGACCCTGAGCTATGGGGGAACAGAACCCCAAGGAAGATGAAGAAGCCCATGAGAAGGGAGGAGAGAGCAGAGGAGACCCTGGGGAGCAGCCAGTGGGGAGAGGCCCCTGTTACCACTGCCACTGGAGGCCTGGCTGCGCACACATGACCCAGAGAACAGATTCGGGGAAGACCATTCCATTTAACTGGCAAAGTGGGATCATTCCCGCAGAGGGGAAAAGAGCTTTTCCTGCCACCCAGAGCCAAGGTGGGGCCCCCTCCAGGAAGAAGTGAGGAATAAGGGCTTTAGAGCCATTTTGAGGAGCATCCTGGGAGTTCCAGGACGGCCAGGCTGCTGAGGTGATGGGGGAAGGGCTGGGAGGAGGAGGCAGATCCAGAGATGCCCTGAGCTGGAGCCCACAGCCTGCACTCACTGCTGTGCTCCTGGAACTGCCACTGAGCTGATGCTGGAACCGCTGAGAGGCACGTGTCTTGCAGGTGCTGGAGCCTGCCAGCACCTCCTCTTGGAAGAACTGAACCAGGAGCAGCATGCAAGGGGGTGTGGAGAATGTGCCCCGCAGACGTCTATCCTGCCACCCAGATGGCACAGAAGGGCCAGTGTGGGGCCCAGAGCCAACAGCAAAGTCACCCGGGGAAGACCCAGAGACTCCACTGTGGCCTGCGCCCTTGCACCTGACGCGAGGACTAGGACAGACAGGAGAGCCTAGCAGCGGGGGAGCGGGGGCTGGCGGCTGCAGCACCTCTCACTTTCTGCAGCCACAGGAGAGCAGCCGGCGAAGGCTGCGGCTGACCAGGCAGTTGGCCTGTGGCTGTCCATCCAGGCACCTGGATGCCCTGACCTGTGGGTGTTTCTGGCAGAACAGGCCTGGAGGGCAGGGCCCGGGCAGGCATCACTCACTGTGAGGACTCTGCCTCAGAGAGCCCCTGTTGACAATGGGGGAGGGAAACATGAGAGAGGCAGGCAAGGAATAGGAGGCGCGGTTCTGCTACCCCCACCTCAGCCTCAGCCCTCCCTTCACGGAGCACCGCCCCGGCCCCTCCCCACCAATGCCACCTGATCCCAGCCCCTGCTCTGTGCAGGGCCCTGGGCCACTCAACCTGGCGTGTTCATGATTCAATGCCTGCATCCCACACAAACAGGTTCCACCCTCGGCCCAGGCAGCAGGTGGCTGTCCAGCCCCTGCCTCCCAGTGCAGCCTCCTGCTCAGGGCAGGGAAGCCCAGCCTCCATTTCCTGGGAAAAGGAGGCTTGGGCACCCTGGAAGGGAGAACGCTCCACACCCCCCAATAGAGGCTGGTGGCTTTCTGCTGTGGGAAGGTGAGTGCCCTGAACACAGAGTCCCAACCCAAAGAGAAAGATGCCCCTCAGCATGTGAAGGTGGCAGGGATCAGGGTGCTCAAGTCCCAGCTCCAGCTCTGGGAGGAAAGGCAGGGAATTGCCTTGGGGCCTCCATTTGTCTACTCATCGAGAATGAGCACATTCCTTAGACGGTGGAAGGTTCTGGATAAGCCAGCATAGGGCAAGACCCATGTCCTCTCAGGAGGATGTCAGAGAGAGAGCTGCCTGCCAGCGGGCCGTGACCTCCACCCCAGGTCCTGCTGCTTTCCCTCCAGGCTGAGGGCTTTGGGTGTGCTGGGCTGCGGCCAGACTCTTGGAGGCCACCATTGGCCATGTGCCTCTCCTCTCTGGCTTCTGGCCTGCTCCAGAGTGGACCCGGGTCTTGCCCCATGCTGGCTTATCCAGACCCTTCTACCATCTGTTTCCCTTGGGTGAGTTCTTAAGGGCAGGACCTAGGGTGTCATCTCTGCTTCGCAGCCTGGAAGTGCCCATGGGCAGGAATGGAATGCCTCTGATTTTATCCAAGTGCACCAGGGCTGGGTACACACCAGGCCTGACACAGATGTGGTTCCATCCCTCCCAAGCAAGGAGATGCTGGAGGAGGAGAAGGCGGGAGAGGCCCCAAAGGCCTAGGACGGAGCAGACCTAGGAATGACACACCCTGCCTTGCCCCACCTCACCCCAGGCGGTGGATCCCAAGGAGCCACTTCTCCAGGAGAAGGGATCCAGGTGGCCACTGGCGGTCATGAAGCCATCTGGAAAAGCCTCTTGACGGCCAAGTGCAAGTGCCCAAGCCCCCGCAGGTAGCAGAGCCGGTAAATTACGGCTGAGGGCTGCACACCCTCCCTTCTGTATTTATATCTGCCTTGGTGCCTGACAATGGATATTTATGTATTTTCAATATTCAGGGCAAACGCTCCATCACTCCATGCTCACGGCTGCAGCACACGACACCAGCCCCACAGCAACTTTCCTCTTTCACCTGGTTTGCCCACTCAGGGCCCCAGAAGGGAGACCCCCACCCCCATCTGCAGGCCCACATGACTCAGGGGAGTAGAAGGAAGAAAGGGACCAGGCCAGCCTCCCTGCGGAGCCTAAGGGCCCTCTCAGAGACAGGGCCGGTCCCCCTGCTTTATAAACCAGCAGCCGAGGCTCAGAGAGGTGGGGTGCCTGGGCGGGGTCACACAGCATCCTCTCTAGGCCAGGGTTCCTCGCTCACACCCCAGGCGAGTTGCCTCCCTCCTGACCAGGGAGAGTTACAGAGCCTGGCTGCCTTTCCTGACCCTCTGACCTTTTTTTGTTTCTCTTGTTCTTTCTAGCGTCCTCTCTGTGTGTCTCTGGGTCTGACTCTCACCATCCTGGCCCCTCTCACATCCTTCACCATCTCTGGCTTAGTGTCTCCCCCTCTCTCTCACTGCCCCCCATCTCCCTGTTTCACTCCCACCCGGCCCCACCTCCCCTCTCTCCTGGCTCACATCCTCCCTCCCTCTCAGAACCCCTGTCCTTGTCCACCTCCATCTCCCTGACTCTGTCTCAAGGCTGAGGTCAGGGCAGGGGTGGGAGGAGCTGTCCTGGTGCCCAGCAGGGGCCTCCCTGGGCAGCTGTGTTGCCCCTGCCCTGCACTTGTGATAGGAGAGCCCCCAGGGCCCTAAGCCAATGCAGGCACAGAGCAGAAGTGGGACTGAGCGTGGGAGGTTCGGGGTTGGGGGGCAGGTTTCCACTCGGTGGGAGCAGGTGAAAGACGTGTGTGCCCCATCCCCAGAGCTGTGTGTAGGGGGCACTGCGGGTGGACTTCTGCACCAGCCCCACCACTTGACCTTGAACGATCCGTCTGGTTCTGGGATCGGGGCTGAGTGATGAGGTCCCTGGGCCTGCCGTAAGCTGAAAAGGTTAATGCCTCTGGGCCCGGGGTCCCTCAGCCTCCTCACTGCCCACATCGGTTCCTCCCCACTTCACCTTCACCCTCCTGCTGCCCCTCTCCCCTCTCCTCTCCTCTCTGTCATTTCATTCCTCTCTCCCTCCTCCTCTCCCTTTCTCCCTCGGCTGGGAATGAGAAGAATTAATTAAATGTGTCCTCAGCTCCGGTCTCCTCACTTCCTCCAGGGAATTAGCCACTCCCTGCTCCTTGGGCCTTGTTAGATTCCAAGAAAAAAATAACTGGTGTGTGCTCTGCACGCATGTACGTGTGCACGTGGGCATCCCTGCACACACAGTGGTATGCCCCGGGCTGGTCTGCATGTTTGTTGACACGTACTCATGTGTGTACAATTCCATGCACACTCCGGAGTCTGGAGACAGGACTGTATGTGTGAATACACACGTGCATCTCCTAGGGTGCATGTGCACCTGTGTTCCATATGGGTCTCTATACGTGTGCACTGTGGGGCTTCACACCGAAAACCACCCCTGTGTGTACACGTCTCTGTTGGATCCGTGTGCTTGCACTGTGTGTTTGGGGAGTTGCGCGTTACTGTGCAAGTCTGTGTTGTGTGTGTGTGCGCTAGACTTATGTGCACACCTCTATTAATGCAATATGTGTGTCCATGCATGTGAGCATGTCTGTGTGTCTCTGTGTGTGTGTGCAGTGTACACGCACCCTTGCCACCCTACACACACATCTCCTTCCTGGCTCCCTTGAGCTAGCAGCCTTGTCCCCAACAGGAGGCCCATCATGCCGCATCTCTGGAGTGATGGCAGTGGTGGCAGTGGCAGTATGGGTGTCAGGAGGCTGCAGGTGGGCAGGTGGAGGTGGCGCAGGGGAAGGTGCTTGCTAATGAGGCCACCTTCCTTGCCAGCCTGAGAGCTGGTACCACTAATGATCTCTTCAGTAAGCAGCTCCCTGGGGAAGGGCTGCTGCCACAGCCCTGCTCTCTCTCTCCCCTGGGACCCTCCTTTCCCCACTTCCCCAAATGCTGAGGCGCTGCAGGAGCCATGAGCATGAAGATAAAGCACAGACAGAGCCAGGGGCCAGTGCCTGGTCCCACCAGGACCCAGGAGACCGTCCGCCTGCCCGTCAGCCTGCCACCAGGAAGCCCACCTTCCAATGAACCCTCTGTGTTAGGGCACAGTCTCCAAAAGGCCTCTGAGAGTCCACTTGTGCTTCTGGAGGAAGGGGCCCTGCACACCGCAGACAGGGAGTGTGCTTCTGTAAAAGGAGCACTCAGCTGGGAGTCAGGTGGGCTGGCCACTAATCCCAGCGCTGTGTGACTTCGGGCAGGCCCTGTACCTCTCTGGACCTTGGTTTCCTTATCTGTAAAATGGGGGAAGGCTAGAATGGCTAGTAAATGCTCAGCTCTGTGAACCATCTGAACCTGTTTTGTATCACCAGTAAGGAATCACCCATAATGGGGGGAAGACTAGAGCCACTCTAAACCTAAAACAGGATTAGATGGTATACGGAGCTGAGCATTTGCTATTTTAACTTTGTGTTTACTTTCATGGATATATTTCATGTGTATATTTTCACATATATGTGTATATGTATATGTCTGGGTGAGCATGTATGTGCACATGTGTATGTGTATATGTATATGTGTGCGGGTATTTGACTAGTATATCAGACCCTGATTTCTCAAATATGGCTAAAGAAGAGGGTAAATCACACACTTAAATTTTAAAGGTAAGCTGATTTTTAAAAAACACTAAGTAAAGAAGAATTCCAGTGGCATCTGAGTGTGGCAAAAGTCCTGATGAAAGGTGACAAATGGCTGCCTCCCTGGACTGAGTGTCCCTGTCCCCTTCCTGCCTAAGGGACAGTGGATTCGGGGCCCCGGCCTCCCTGGAATGAGAGATGCACAGACTGGGCCCTGATCTCCCACCGTGTCCTCACAGCCCCAAGACAGAATGCCATGGGGATTGGCAGGTGACCATGCTGTGAAGTTCATGGAGCCAACCCTCTGGGCCACAGGCCCCACGAGATCTCTGAGGCCACAGAGTGTGTCCACATAGGTGACCTCCAGGGTGATTCAGGCCAGGGCACAGGAATGGCCTAGGCAGAGGTGGCCTGGGCCTGGGCAGAGGTGGCTCAGGCTGAGCCTGAGGCATCCTGGGGGCTCAGCACTGCATATCCTCGGAGAGGCCATCTGAGACTGCTGGGCCCATGAAGAGGCTTCTTCCCAATACCCACCTGTCCTGCCCAGGAGAGAACAGCCAGCCCCACAGCCCCAAATGTCTCTGTCCTCCAAGAGGCCGGATGTGAATCAAAGGAATTTAAAGCCCGGCCTGGTGTGGGATTTATGAGTCTGCCTCCAGCCAGGACTGGCGGGGGAGTGGCCACTGTCAGCCCCCCATTGCCACTGATGGATGAGGCTGTTTCCTGCAAGACAAACTCCCCTCTGTGATAGGCAGCGGAGGGAGAAGCATCCGGGCCCTAGGGCCAGCCCCATACTTGTCCCAAAGCCAGATCGCTCATGCCTTCCCTTGGACCTGCCCAAGATGGGACATACCACACTCAAAGCCAGAATGGATCTCTGAGGTAGCCCAGAACACACACACACACACACACACACACACACACACGCACACACACGCATGCACATACATAAAACAGGATTAGATGGTACACGAAGCTGAGCATTTGCTATTTTAACTTTGTGTTTACTTTCATATTTCAAATTTTAAAAGTAAGCTGATTTTTAAAAAACGCACACACACAGTACACAGATGAGGAACCAGGGTCCAGAGAGGAATGGGCCTTGCCTGAAGTCACCCAGCAGCACAGTGGTGAAGCTGAGACCCCAGCCCACAAGCCCCCTGGACTGGTCATTTCAGTGTCCGGTCACAGTGGACTGTCATATGGCCACAGGGGTAGTTTTCACCTCCAAATGCGGGCACCTCTCCAGAGAAGAGACAGATCTGGGTTTGAGTCCCTGCCCCAGCACTCTGTGTGTAAAAGTCATAACCTCTCTGTGCCCATTTCCTCACCTGAAAAATAGGGCTCAAAATAACCCCAACTTAACAAGGTTCTTACGAGGTTCAAGTGAGAGGACGCAGGTAGAGCCGCAGGACAGAGTGGGCCCCTGACACATGCTTCCTGAGTGGTGATGATGGTTCTCCACCATCTCTCATGCCTGAAGGGGCTCAAGGCAGGTGGTTCAGTGGTTAGGGCCAACTGTCTACTTCAGTTCCTGCCTGGCCCAGAGCCCTGACGTTGACCATAATAAGGAGCTGGCAAGTAGAATCATAATAAGGGATTTTACTTTTGTTCCAAATATATATTCCAGGTCTTGAGTAATCTAAGTGATAATACTGATTAATAGGAGTATCTATTATACATGTGTTATGTATGTGTATTATTCATAGATATATAATACATGTATATCTGGATTTATTATATGTGTATATATACATATATATGTACGCATGCAAATTAACTTTAATATCTACAAAACACTTAAAAATGGATATTAGATCACAAGTACAACCTCAACAATGCCCCCAAAATATATATACTGTGCAGGCATTATTTTATTCTCCGTTTCTCCTTGATTTTTTTTCCATCTCATTGGCATCCCTACTGTAATCAAAAAAAGGAGAGTTTTTTTTGTCAAGAAATTGCTTAAAATTCCTTTCCATTGCCTCAGATATTTAAAGAAAACTCACAGTTTTCTTTGTCCCATCTTTTCTCCTTGGCTACTTCCCTACTTTTCCTTACAAATATTATGCATTATTCACATTGCAGTAAGTTACACCCATTCACTGTAAAAAAGAACAATACAACACACCCTGAAACCTTTGGGGCTACTAATTTCTAAAAAGGTTACTTCAAGCAGTAAAGTTTTCTTTTATAAAAAAGAAAGTTTAAAGTTTCATCACTCAAATGTAGCCTATCCAAAACACCTGGAAATGATTTCAAAGTTTCAAAGTCACTATTCTGATAGGTATTACTTCCAACCTAACCATTACTGGCCTTTGAAATATAGAAGCTAAAAGCAGACTGCACGGATCAAATACTATAGATAAAAGCATTTTGAAAAGCGTACCGTACTATGGAAACATAAGGTGGTAGTATTAAAAATGGATTTGGACATGAAATCCCAAACTCATTAATTTCAGTGATGCCTTAGTGCTTGGATGAGGGCAGAAAATAGTGAGACTTTCATCCAGATCCAGTTCAGCATCTTACTGGGATCATTTCAGGCCAGTCAGCTTTAATCAAATTACACTCCATCCATACATGATTAGAAACAAACTGAGGTTTTGGTCAAGTGCCACAGTTTTTCACTCAGGGCCATCATGCTCACTTTCTTGGAAGACACTTGGAAATTATGTGATCAAATCTGAAAGTAACTTTTCAAGAGGTGTGTGTGGTCTTTCTGACAAAGAAGAGCTTTATATTTGCGACTGAGTTAAAATCTCTGGCTGTAACTAATTAGTTAGTGATAAAATAACAGCAATGAACATGGAATACAAGCTAGAAGAAATCTTAGACTTTAAAACACGTTAACAGAATAAAACTTATAATATCACTCTCGTCTATCAAATATAGCCAAGAATATGGAAGAAAAAGAATTGTTAAAGATATACCTAGTAGGAATTTTTAAAAAACATCTGCTGAGACAAAGAAGCTGGGCATACTGTATGTAAAAGTAAAATTACAGGCCAGGCGTGGTGGCTCATGCCTGTAGTCCCAGCACTTTGGGAAGCTGAGGTGGGCAGATCATTTGAGGTCAGGAGTTCGAGACAAGCCTGGCAAACATTGCAAAACCCCGTCTCTACTAAAAATACAAAAATTAGCCCGGCGTGGTGGAGGGTGACTGTAATCCCAGCTACTTGGGAGGCTGAGGCAAGAGAATCGCTTGAACCCAGGAGGTGGAGGTTGCAGTGAGCCGAGATCGTGCCACTGCACTCCAGCCTGGGCGACAAGAGTGAAATTTCATCTCAAAAAAAAAAAAAAAAGTAAAAATACAGTAAGTAAAATCAGGTGTTTTGAAAACATATGGAACCTACTGAAATAATTAAAATATAAGCAGAGGAAGCATATTTTCCTTTAGCAGTGACAAAAATTAGAATTATTCATGGATAACCAATTCTTAGTAATCATGCAGTCATAGCTCACTGCTTTATGCTTAACTAAGTGCTTTAATAAACATTACATTATTTGGGTTTCACAACACCATGAGGTGGAAAGCCCTTGTGAACTTATAAAGAGAATAGCAACAGTAATGAATTTGAAATACAACAAAAGAGAATGTGAGAAATTGCCCAGGGACAGAGATTATACACACTCATAGTACAGTGGCTCTTGACACCACGTAAGCAAGAGCTCAATACATATCTGTTGAACTGCACCAAACTGATAATACATTCAATACCACTTTTATTAAAAAAAAAAAAAAGAAGAAAGAGAGGTAGGAAAAAAAAGTACAAAAGCACGTGTGTGAGGGGAGCACTATAGGAAAAACTATGGAAGGCTATAAGGTGATTTGTGATCAATGGTTGTATCAGAGAAGTGGTGGCAAAGATGAGGAGACTGTTATTTGGATACTTCTTTATTGTCTGGATTTTCACAATAAGCATGTATAACTTTTGAAATTCAAATGAGTGAAACCAAAATAAAAATCTACCAGCTAAATTTGTTAACAAAGAATGGGTATTGCTTTTAAAACACAAAAAATCAAATTACGTACTTTTTTAAAATGTAAGATAAAACACCCTAGGATTATGCTACAGTTTGTGACTACTGGATCCTGAAAATGGAACAGTTAATGATCAAATATACTTGACAGAGATCTTGGTGGAGAAAGAAATTTGGATTCCATTAATACATACTGAGCACCACCATCAGGTATTAGACACTGTATTAAGCAGCTATGCAGTAACTTAGGACTTAGAAAGTACCTGAACTCAATTCATGCACATCCTTCCTTATCTATAACCAATTATATCCCCTTCCAGCTTTATAGATAAGCAACCCCTATACTTTGAACACAAAGTCAAAGATAACTATTTTCTAGTTATCAAAGGCTTCTATTCATGAGAGTCCATGGCATTATTACATTTAAGAACAGTTAACTTGTCTTTATTTTGCCTAAGCTTGGAGGCACTTAGCTAGAATAAAATTTGGCAAAACAAAAAGATGACTCATTTTGTCAGGCACTGTAAACTGCCTATCAGAGGACAAGGTGTATTTTGCAACTTAAATTCTGAAAAAGGTCATTCTTCCCTCCTCTGGCTCGTAAGTGATTGACTGTTAGGGACTACACCTAGCTTTCTATTATATGTCTCCTTTAAATTAAGAGGACAAATCTATTATTTGGAAATACACATGGCTCAATCAATTGAATGTGCTTACAAAAATCTTCAACCTCTTTCAAGAACTCTTTACATGCCGTGCAAACTATTGTTGCATTTGGGCTCTCCCACCCAACTCGCCGCCTTCACTCTCCTCATTCTGGAAAACAGTGCTGTCACTAACATGGTGGGCAGCCACAGTGGCTGAACCAGGCTACTCTCTGTCTGTCTTTGCTTGGCACTGGAAAATTCCTTTGTCTTTATACTTAGCAGTAGTGTAATCTTAGAGAAAGAACTTTAATTGAAGAAGACTTTACTGAAAACTCACTTGGGAGTCCCTAGGTGAGTTTAAAACAGATCATTGAAATCTTTTCCACAGTTGGGTTTGGTCAGTAGTGCCATTGGGCGGATTGGATCTTCAGCCCAAGCACAATCCCAGTTCCTTTATCGGGAGGTATCTATACCATTCTAGACTGGACCAAATTTCGCTCTTCATTTTGATAAAACCAAACTGCTTCCTAAGATTCATTCCATAAATATTTCTTGAGTACTTTGTCCAAAGCAGATTACTAAATACTGCCAGAGACACAAAAATGAATCCGGCGCCATTCTCAAATAACTTATAATGTCTAAGTCTTAAATTGGTAGGACACAAAGGAGAACATTTCAGTACTGACTTACATTTAAAGAATGATCTGAAAAACACAAAAAGCAGCTATTAATAGAAATAAAATAGGATATACCTTCCAAAACATCAGAGAATTTAAAAATGCAGAAAAGTATAGTCAAAAATGCACTTACAGAATTATTAAAATCAAAGCATAAAATAATCAAGGACAGAATATATCAGTGATAATAAGGGTGACCACATAGAACTCATCATCCAAGCTAGGATTTTGAACAGTGAAAGGCGACACTATTAATAACTTCTCCAAGATGACAGGCATAAACCAGGATGTCCTCAGCAACCCAGGTTATGAGGCCTCCCTAGTTACGAAAATAAATAGCTTGCTTTCCTCAAAAAGAGAGATGAAGTTAATGGGTTCAAATGCTCAGCTTCTCTACTTTCCCACAGTCCTGTTTTCGGAATCTAGTAATCAATGAGGCAAAGAAAACAAAATAGAATACACAAAAAATTTCTATGATGAATACAAAGAACAAAACTATGGATCTGCTGTATTTTAAAATAAATTTAAACTTGGTAATGATTCGTGACCTTGGGAAATACTGTATTTTTATATCATGTATTGTTGAATATCAATACATTCAAATTATCATTATAATTATACAGTAAACTGTCACTTTCTACCTGTTTGGGCTTTTCTTAAAGACAATTTTATATTTTAGCACAGGTTTAACGAACTTTGTTTCAGTTATAAATTTGTCTAATCTCATAAGGGGAAAATTTTCAAATGTATTATACAAAAAACTCTGGATGTATCTGAATTATGTAGAAATCAGACTTTAATGAGCCAAACTCAAATCCAGAAAACACTCAAAGTTACTCTAAGGAGTGAAGATATTTAGAAAGACCTAAGTAAGACTAATGTTCTGTTACCCACAAACTCTTAGAGCTGTGTTTTCAGGCTGTGAACAGTGCTAGTGTATCTCATGTCTGGGCAGATTAATATATCTACTAATGAAAAACACACACCCAACCTCGTTGCCTACTCCAAGTTCTACACCTCTAAACTGATGTAGGCCCTTGGAAGAAATTAATTCTTGGGGAACACAGTGAACATTAGAATCAACGAAGATGTACACAAGCTGGTGGCCACATCCTAGAAACTCAAGTTTCCTAATAAGCTGGACCTCCAGTCTCTCTTTGTGATTTGCTGTCCCTCAATTTTCCCATATGTAACCGAGAAGCTAAATGCCAAAAAACTAATGAGTAACTGTAAGAATATCTCCTAGAACTTCCACAGACTCCATTTTCCTCCTGCTCAAACTTCTATTCCATTTCTGTGCTCAGAAACAGCACCTGGGAGGGGAGCACACAGTCATTCATTTATTCATTCCCACCCACACTTGAACATGCATCCTAGTAAAGTGCACCCAGGCTCAATGTCAGAGATATGCCTGAAGAATGAGGACCCTTGCCCCAGGAGCTCCGAGACACTAACTGAAAACACAAACAATGTAAAGGAATCAATGTTCTAAGAGAGATCTATTAAAAGAAGTATAGGAACTCAAAGGAAGGAAAGAGCCAGATGTATCTGTCTGACGCAGTTGGGGAAGGCTTCCAAGAGGTGACATTTGAGCTGGCAACGAAGGGAGAAAGAACACTTGAGGAGAAGAGACAGCGTGTACCGAGACACAGAGGCATGAAAATCGTGGTATATTCACGAGTGCTGAGAACTGAAGCACAGGAAGATCAGAAGAAGCAGACAGTGAAGCGTCTCTTTCCAAACTGAGCAGAACTGACAAATCCTCACTGTCAGCTTCTCTCTTCCTTTTGAGGAGCCCAGCTATTTCTCTGCCTGTCCTTTCCAGTGGTTTTGCCCCTTACAAAGGGAAAGACCTGGGTTCTATCAACTCTCAAACTATCAGCTGCCCAAGCTTGGAGGAGACCCAGCCTCTCTGTGAGTCTCACATTCTTTATTTATAGGAGAAAGGGCCTACAGAACCTATGAAACTCAAGGGTTCTATATGCACAGTGTCAAAAATCATTAGAGCATATTTTCATTTTTAATAATCATAGTAAGTGAGGAGAATCAGTAACAGTATTTCAAATAATCTCAGCTCTACAACTACACAGAAAATAAACTTATAGCTAATATAGCAAAATATAGCAATGGCTGGGATAGTGTAATTTGTTGAGCAAGTCAAAACCCTTTCAGTTTTTTAATATGCAAAATGAAGAGAAATTTACCACCAAAGTTTGTTTCAAGGCTTAAGAAAACAAACAAAACTGACTCAGGGAACATCTGACATGCAGTTGGTACTAAATAAACGTTGGTTAAATCTAATTTGATATATCTTCCAAGTGCATTAATAATTGTGGCATCGGCCAGGAGCGGTGGTTCGCGCCTGTAATCCCAACACTTTGGGAGCCCAGCCTGGCCAACATAGTGAAACCCTGTCTCTACTAAAAATACAAAAATTAGCTGGGCGTGGTGGTGGGTGCCTGTAATCCCAGCTACTTGGGAGGCTGAAGCAGGAAAATTGCTTGAACCCAGGAGCCAGAGACTGCAGTGAGCTGAAGTCGCACCACTGCACTCCAGCCTGGGTGACAGAGAGCGAAACTCAGTCACACACACACACAAATTGTGGCATCACTGTTAGTATCAGTTAACAAAATATATGCAAATATGGTGAAACCGATTACGTAAACTGTTTAGAAAGTGAAAATTTACTATTGTTTTAGAAAAATTGAAGACTTGTGGTTTTGAAGAAAAACAACCATTATACAATAAATCTACTAATTGCTTCTTTTGTTTAGAGCTAAAAAAAAAAAAAGTTCCTCTTTCCCTCCTACCCCTACCCCCAGGGGACATAAAATTTACCTTTGATTTCCAAAGCATATCAGATTTTCAGATTTTTTCCAGCCATTACAGAGTCAAATAATAAGACAAATTCAGATACAACAGTGAAGGAATAACAACTTTTACCTCAATTCTACACTTGAATCAATAGACTCAAATCCTTTGAAATATGATCATCAATGCAATTATGTGCTGAACTGCTAAATTAACAGTCATCTGGGAAACATAAAACAAAACTAGTGACAATGTGCTTCTAATTGCATGGGGGTTCAGGATATTAGTGATATTTTATATTCTGCTTCATTGTTCACTAAACAGCATATATTTTCATAATAATGCTTTTTCCAACTACAAACAACCAAAGGAGCCATAACTCAATTTCCAAGATGAAGAGAAAACAAAAATAAAAGAAAAGATATACAATTGAAACAATGCCTTTAGTAGTTGGAAGAGAGGTAGGAGGGGCAGGAGAATGAAAAAAAAAAGGCAAAAATAAATTTAAATGACTGCTTTGAAGTCATTCTTCAGGTTGAAACAGCAGGCTAAATCAATTTCAACTCCTGTATATTAATGATTCAGTCATCTCTAAGCCTCCAATAATAAAAAGTGCCTGCCTGCCTGCCTGCCTGCCTACCTGCTGCCTGCCCTACCTACCAACCTGCCTGCCTGCCATGTGTAAGACTCTGGGCTAGGCAGGGGGATATAGTCTATAACCTACACTGAGGAGGCCTGGGTTGTGTTAACGAAACTGTAGCACAGTGAAGCACAAAATCTACTCAGCATTCATATGCCCTTCACCCTGAGGCTCTTTATAAACAGAGTTACAGGCTACACGTTTTACACACGAGCACTAGTGTGGACAGAGCACAGGCTCACGCATGCGCTCACATTGAAACTGCACTCAATTCCGCTCTGATTTGACGAAATTCTGTGGGAAAGACTGCCCCCTTGTGTTCATCTCAGTGCAGTTGTGACCCTGCTAGAGCTGGAACATCTGGCTGCAGATGCATTTTACCATCCAATGATGGCTTCAGAGAGGGGACTTCAGCCTGCTCAACCTCTACCCAAAATCAAGGCCAGTGTAAACGAGAAAGTGCCAATGCTTCTGAGCTCGTTCAAGTCCAAGAAAGTCATTCTGGACCTCTCCTGAGGCACAGCCAAGTGAGCTAGTCCTCATGGATCCAATCAGGATAACTGTTTTGTTTTGTTTTGTGTAAAAAACAAAAAACTCCTGCTTATGAGAAGAGATCTTTGGAAGGATGGAATTCCTCTATGTCAAATGGCCTCTGGACCTCTGGCTGTCTGAATGTCACTTAAAGCAATCCACAGATAGAGAAGAGGGCACAGAGGGTACTGAAAACAGCAACGTAACTAAGAAATACAGGAAAACCCAAGACATGGGCAGTGGAAAAGGTGAGGAAGGATCTTGGAAAACCAACTAGGAGAGAAAGGAAGGCCATAGAGATTCATCTACCTCAACTTCCTTCTACACAGATGCAGATTCAGGTCTGGAAATTCCCACAAAGTGGCCAACTTGCCAGAGCTCCCACTGGTAAAATCCAGTGCTGCTTCTCCTACCAGAGGATGCCTTATTTACTAGTTTGCGATCAACTGTGAAGCACCTATAAATAATTTGGAAGACTAAGCACCCAGTATGAGAAACCTAACCTAGTGATCAATATAGAACCAAACAGTAAGCACAAAATAAATGGGAGTAAATGATTAGGGTACAAAATTAAGCCAATAAAGGTTTCATTTTTCAGAGGAAAAAAATAGTTCACTGCATATTTTAAAAAAAACCTGTTTTCTTTTCTTTTTAAAAAACTTTGGATCCTGAGAAAGGAAGGCTTATAAAAGACACCTTATATTCCTTCCTCCCTCTCTCACATCCCTCCACCTCCAAATCCCAACTCCAAAAACAGGTACAATTAGGGAGAGGCTATGTCAATGCAGGAAAAGGTCTTATCCAAAAGCCAAAAACTTTGAAAAATGGAACTAGATTAAAGGCCACCCAGGTATATTAGAATTAATTTATGACACTAAGATAGCAGTTGGTTGCTCCAGAAGTTGAGAGAGAGAGAGGGAGAAAGAGAGAGAGATCCTGGGCTTCACAAATATCCGAGAGTAAGAAGGCCAAGGGCAGAAGTCTTTGTCTCAGGGAAGACCCTCAGGCAAAAGTAGTTCTGGCTGCTGCCTTCTGGCTCAATTGGAGACAGCTAGGACTGCGGCCGGCAAAATAAGACCTTGTATGAAAATGGAAAAGGCCGCTCCCTCAAAAGAGACTAGTGCTGGGATGATTTTAACTGTTTCAAATCATTTATTTGGTAATAATAA
This sequence comes from Homo sapiens, assembly GCF_000001405.40. Classification (NCBI taxonomy): domain Eukaryota; kingdom Metazoa; phylum Chordata; class Mammalia; order Primates; family Hominidae; genus Homo; species Homo sapiens. The sequence continues at coordinate 84,141,605 of NC_000015.10, read as the reverse complement.
AGAAACCAGAACAACATAATGCTGGGTTTAAGCTGCAGTCCCAGCTTTAGCTCCCTAGTGAACTTATTTAAATTCACACACATGAATTTATTTCTTACTATGTATGCATGTATTATGCATAGATAGAAGTCTGGAAGAATACACCGATAACACCTGTAGGAGTCAGCCCTAGGAAGGCAACTTGCTTAGCTTTTTCTATATAATTACCTTTACAGTAAAAGAGTGGTCATAATTTACTTCTGTAAATAAGACGTCTTAACATAGACATTTAATGTATCGCAGGAGATAAAATCATTTCAAGTTCCTATAGAATAAATGTTTAAAAATAGCCCCCAATTATTAAAGCTAAAAGTGACAGAACCAGATTCAAAAATGAATTATTGATACCCTCAAAATCAAACAATACAGGCTGGCAAATACATCAGAATAGAAAACAGCATCCAGAAACAAACTACAGTATGTGTGGGAAACGTGGTAGTGAAACAGCGGGGAAGGAAGCAGGGGCAGGGGCAAGTTTATCTGATATACTGTGCTGGCACAACACCTATGCATCGGGAAAAAAACAAACCTGAATACCCAGCTTATGCGTTACCTGGGTCATGCCCTAGAAAGGCTTAGCCAGGCACATGAGAGTTATAGAACGTAAAACATTCAAAGAAAAACGCAAGGAAGAGTACAAATGCCAAAATAAATGGTAGAAAATAAGAGAATTTTTTTAAAAAAGAGAGAAAGCAGTAGTGGAGCTTAAGTCTATACAGCACACCTATGAGAATACTATACAAAATAACAACTTTAGGCAGAGGCAATTGAGTCTTGCCTTCCCTTGGGAGCAACCTTAGCTCAGGAGACTGGAAACCGGCTCCAAGCAGCTTCTGGGGGGTAATCTTGGCTTTACAAAAGCCTAGGACAATGTTCTCCCCTCCTGTTGACTGGACCATGGCACAGAGAAAAGGACAGAAAGATACTCAGAATATTTCTGCTTCTCTAACATCAAACGGCCTCGCCTTTTTCAGTCCAGGACATACCTGGGAGCCTCCCAGAACACAGTGAGGGCAGGAAGAACCAGTTAGTTTCAGTGTACTATCTGAGCTAAACAAAAAATCCCCAGTGATAACATCATCTTGGCTCTGGGAGTTGAATAATCCGAACACATTAAAACATCACTACCCTGATATTCTTTAATAAGAAATGTTCAGACCAAGAAAGTATTTTGCTTTCATCTAAAATTCCAGTAGATTTATACCGAAAAGCCAATGTGTTCACTTCTTTTTTTTTTCTGAGACGGAGTCTTGCTCTGTTGCCCAGACTGGAGTGTGGTGGCATGATCTTGGCTCACTGCAAGCTCCGCCTCCCAGGCTCACGCCATTCTCCTGCCTCGGCCTCCCAAGTAGCTGTGACTACAGGCACCCGCCACCATGCCTGGCTAATTTTTTGTATTTTTAATAGAGACAGGGTTTCACTGTGTTAGCCAGGATGGTCTACATCTCCTCACCTCGTGATCCACCCATCTCGGCCTCCCAAAGTGCTGGGATTACAGGCGTGAGCCACAGCGCCCGGCTGCCAATGTGTTCACTTCTAAAGAAATATTTCTATACTTTCTATCTCCCTTATGTACTTGAGATTTTTTTTTTTAAGACAGTGTTCCACTCTGTCACCCAGGCCAGGGTACAGTGGCACGATCACAGCTCACTGTAGCTCCAACCTCTTGGGCTCAAGCAATCTTCCACCTGGGTAGCTGAGACTACATGCAAGTGCCACCATGCCTGTTTTTTTATTTTTCTATTGTTTGTAGAAACGGGGTCTCACTATGTTGCCCAGGCTGCCTGAGAATATTTTAAACTTTGAAGAAATAAATGATGAACACTAAATAGCTTCTGGCTGCTCATGTATTCCCTCGCCTAAGCTTATTAAGTGATTAATTGATTCATGCATTCAACCAATATACACTGAACACTCAAGAGATCTTCACCAGGAATAATTAAGTGTGAAGATTTGGGAGGCCCAGTCCTTAGGGAATTTGCAGTTAGTCCTCTCTAAATCAGCAGGTCTGGGTGTTAGGAAGGTAAAAGCTCTGTGCTCATCTACAAAGGAGAGGGGGACTTTCTTCCCTAAGCAAAGATAACTAACTCTCCTCACTCCATGTATAAAACCAGAAAAAGGCCAAGTATTTTTTTAAAAGACCATAATGTATTTTATTCCAGGAAGAATCTACGTGCTTTCAACCCCCTACTGCTCTTAATATAATTCTGGAGGTTCAGTTGAGGATTTTCCTTGTAAATGATATCTTAAAAATATATATATATATATCCTTTTATTTTAATAAAACAAATTATACTGCAATTGTGTGGGCTGCTTTGTATTTGTGAACCATTATTTTGTCAGAATATCATTTTAGAAGAACATATGCCCATTTTTATAGTTAATAACTTCTTGCAAAAAAAAAAAAAAAGAACTCAAACTTTCACTCTGAATCTACCCCACACAGCTAATGGCTTTGTTGAACAGGCATATGGCTTGTCAGAGAAGAATCTGGGACAATATGGTTACTACTGTTTCCTTCTCCACTTTGTCTGTAAGCTTGTATTAATACATATGCCTCCCAGTAGAAAACTCTCTCCCTCCTCCTACTTTAAGCCACAGGTTCTGCATCAGCCACTCCTCCTTCTCCAAAATGTCTACTTGCGGAGTCACACTCCAACCCGAATCTGGAGTGGGGCTCCAACATCAATGTTGACAATTCAGGAGTTTTAAGGATTCACTCCTTTTGCCTTGGTTCTCAGAAAAACTAATTCCCTCTATCACCTGTGCAATTTCAAACTTCCTCTTAAAAGCTATCAAAAAGTTTTGAATCTTTGCAACACTGAATAGGAATGGAGAGGGAAAGTCAGAGTTTCAGCAACAGACAGTGAATCTGATTTCTTTTCTACATATATTGCTGGAGGACGTCTTTCAGATCAACTTCACTAGAACAAAAGAGTACTTTAGTACTTTTCCCCCAGAAAAGTACTCTTTTCCTACTTTTCTAGTAGCCTACTTAAATTCTCTGGATAAAAAAAGAACTGCATTTAAATAAATGACATATTTTTTAAAAGTGGAAAGCATTCTTTAATCTTCATAATTAAGTGCTTCACTTACCATTTTCTTTCTTTATGTGTGACTTTGGAGGTCTATTTATTAATGATAATACTTCCCAAGGAAATCAATGATAACAATGACGTTGCTTAATTAACATTTTGCCTTTTGATTTTTTTTTAAACAAAATAATGTGCATCATCCCACTGGATCTTCAGAGCTGCCTTCCATGATCCTCAGCTCACAAATAAGAAACCAAGGATCGGTGAGGCAGAAGAGAGGATCAGAGAGGTTGAAGAGAGGATCAGAGAGGATCAGAGAGGTTGAAGAGAAGATCAGAGAGGCCTGTTGCCCCGGGCTACAAGGCTAAAAAGTTAGCTGAACTAGAAATTTAACCCAAAATATTCTATTTCCAAATTAAACACTTTTTACCTCTCCACTCAATTATATGGGATAAATTCTACAAGACAGCATCAACAATGTCAAGGAAATATACTAATATTATTCCTTAAATTTTTAAAGAAAAAATTAGATAATATTTAAGATATAAAAAAAGGTAAGGCCAGGTGTGGTGGCTTATGCCTGTAATCCCAGCACTTTGGGAGGCCGAGGCGGGTGGATCACGAGGTTAAGAGATTGAGACCATCCTGGCCAACATGGTGAAACGCCGTCTTTACTAAAAATACAAAAATTAGCTGGGCGTGGTGGCGGGCGCCTGTAGTCCCAGCTACCAGGGAGGCTGAAGCAGGAGAATCGCTTGAACCCGGGAGGCGGAAGTTACAGTGAGCCAAGATTGCGCCACTGCACTCCAGCCTGGCGAGAGAGCAAGACTGCGTCTCAAAAAAAAAAAAAAAAAAGGTAAAAGAAAACTAAAACAGACAATATAGGCCCACTACTCATCTTAAGGAACAGACCTTAACCAATATTTGTGTACTTCTCTGCAATCATGTCCTCTCTCAAGATACCCATTATCTTGTACTTGCTGTTTATCTCTCTGTGCATTTATTTTTATTACATATATATCTGTTCTTAAACAATATACAGCACTTACATGGTTTCATTTTTGGATTTTTTTTTTTTTTTTTGAGAAGGAGTCTCACTCTGTCGCCCAGGCTGGAGTTCAGTGGCGCGATCTTGGCTCACTGCAATCTCCACCTCCAGGTTTCAAACAATTCTCTGCCTCAGCCTCCCGAGTAGCTGGGACTACAGGCATCCGCCACCACGCCCGGCTAATTTTTGTATTTTTAGTAGAGACGGGGTTTCACCATGTTGGCCAGGCTATTCTTGAACTCCTGACCTCACAGTCTGCCCCCCTCGGCCTCCCAAAGCACTGGGATTACAGGCGTGAGCCACCACGCCCAGCCATATATTTTTAACCTTTATATAAATTGTCTGCAACTTGCTTGTTTTTAAAATTAATTATATTTGTGAGACTGACTGAAGTTGATACATATAATGTACTTCATTCATTTTCACGAATGTATAATATTCCATTGTGCACCATAATCTACTTATCCATTCTTCTGCCAATGGATATTTAGGGTGCTTCCCTTTTTCTGCTTTCATAAACAGTGCTACTATAAATATCTTTGTACATGTCTCTTTGTTCAAGAGTGTACTTAAAGCTCCTCTAAGATACACACCTAGAAGTGGGATTGCTACACCCTGTTGTCAAGTATTTTTTAAAGTGGTTATATCAATTTACAACAACAGTTTACAAATGTTTTCACTGCTCCATATCTGTAACACAGAACATTGTCAGATTTTAACATTTCTGTCATTTTAATGGTTATGAAAGGACATCTCACCGAGATTTTAAAATGCATTTCCTTGATTACTTCACATCTAATGTCTGCCACATGTCATGTTTCAGGTCATACTAGAAACATGTTTCTCTATCCAATATCACCTTTCTCCTAATCATATACTTTACATTTTCTGGAAAGACCGAAAGACCTGCCAAGTCTTTATAATAACTGCCACTACTCAAAATTCATACTTACTGTTATAACTGAAAATCACCTTTCCCCCAAGCTATCTTCATAGTCTTTAAAAAAATACCTTTCTTTTTGGAAATTAAAAAAAAATCTACTTAACCAATTTACCCCTGCCTTACAACTTGCACTCCAATCAGACTGTATCAATTTACGGGCATAAGAGAGTATATTTCCACCTTCTTCAAAACCCTTTTGACAATCACTTGCTTTTCTGTTGGAAAAAATCAAATCTGAACTTATCAACAAGAAGACCATTGTGTGAACCATCAAGGATATCTTCCCAACCTGCATGAAACCATATAAATGTCAAATTATTTCCCCATTCTGTCATGTGCTAAAAAATACTAAGAATAGAGGTCAAATGTCTCACTATCTGTTCCTTGAGCATGACCTTTGCTTGGCTCATTACCGCCCACCTACTCTTTCCTCCTTCCTATATCTGACATTTGACCTGCTAGTGTCTTATTAGTTTAGCTAAATTCCAGGCTCTGGCCTCTCTGGCCTGCCCAGTGTTCTCATGACAACTATGCTGATAAATACTCAACTCACGAAGTATGTTTCCAGCATATCTTTGGAAGAGAATATGATCTGCAGTCTATTCATTATTATGTGCAAGTTCTAAATACAATTGTTCACTTTTTCAACTACTGTACCTGAAATAGGATTAGTAGGGCCAAAACCACAGATGGAAATGAAGAAATTGCAACAAGCCTATCAGCTGAGTTTGCAGGAGGTGGCTCTATGGCAGGGCAGACTGTCCCCTCTTTCCCAACAAGAAGCAAGAGGACCTAATGCTTGAGAGAAGATGGTCTCACAAGCATTTTCTCCAAGCTTGTAACTAGGGAAGCCTCCAATCATGAATAGCCTATAGTCCCTCTGGCACTTTACTCAAAACAGTCTTATATTTCAATGTCTATGTAATGCTCACTGGACTCCCTATCTCTACTTCTTCCCAGAACCTCATTACCGTCCAATTTAGTCAAGGTATAATCTAATGATTTGCTAGCAAATGCTCGTTGTGGCTTTTCCATGCATCTACCAGTTTTCGGAATCTTATTCTGTCCCAAACCTTCCTTCTTCTTAACAGATTGTTATGTTTTCTACATTGTTGAGTTGGGAGAGACTATAAACCTTGTATTATTAATCATTTAAGTTTTTCACTGCATCTTTTATTTTTCCTCTTTTCCTACCTCTTTTCCACTGATACAACAAGTATAATCAAACTCCAGTAAATACAAAGACACACACACACACACACACACACACTCCTTTGACTCAACTATTCCTTCAAACTGTTAATCCATTTTGCTCCTTCTTTAACTGACAAATTTCAAAAAAACTGTTCCAATTATCTCTTATTTCATCTTCCCTAATTATCTGGTCTCTACATTGTTAAATGTCATTTAAGAGTAAAAGAGGAATGTACTCTTTGAAGATGGAGGGGAAGGTAATTCCCATCAAAGAATCCTTTGTTCTTATATAATATCTACAGCAGCAATGGGCTTATTAGTAGATAAACAGTCATTAGATTATGAAACTGTATTAATCTATGTATTCAAAAGAACTTAGTCATTGCCAATTACTTCAGACAGTGAAAATGAGAATTAATGGACACATCTTAAGTTGTAAAATAAGCATTTTATCAACCTGTATGCTAACAATCTGATCTGGGTGATAGACAAGGGAACTCCCACCTTCCCATAACCTGCTCAGCAGCTTCAAGAGCTAAAGAAATCAGTGGCTTGTCACATCTGTAAAAGGCAACTGTAATCCACTGGTTGCAAAGCGTTGAATAAGAGTACACATAAAAATATGATAAACAGAATATAGCGTATCAAATCAAAGAAATTCAGTCCAAATTTTACTAAGATTCAGACCATAAATGATTTCCTTTGAGAAGAAAACAAATCAAATCTAAATTAAAAATTAAAATATAAAATCATCTATGATAAGCAGGAACCAAGACTTAAAGATAATACATAATATACTAGAAGACTGTAATATATAAAGAATGGGGTCTTTAAGGGTAGAAGGAAAGATACAATGTAACAAATCATCAGTAAGACATCAAGAGAAAAGGAAAAAACTCAAGCAATATGGAAACAAAGAGTTTAAATAAACTAAAGATACAGAAGTAGATAAATATCTCATCTGAATAAATATTATTTTGGGACCATGAAAAGTTACTTAATCTTTGTGTCAATTTTCCCATCTGTGAAATGTATGTATCTCACCTGGCAGGGAATAAAGAAGATAATCACGTCCAAAAATTTAGTATAATTTCTAGCACATAGTAAGCCCTGATATTAATTATTGTCATGAGTATTGTCAGTATTAATACTGGTCTCCATTACAAATAAACTGGATAGTCAATCTGATTATCTGTGAGCATGAAGTACCAAAACTGACATAAGAAACAGTAAAAAGAACCTGAAAGGGACAATAACAATGAACAACTAACCAAATATAGCTGATTTCATAGATGCTAATATCCAAAATTTTAGGGACCAGAAAATTCCTATGCCATTTAAACAGAATAGATAACAATAAAACCATCCCCTAATTTGTGATTTGTTTCATGCAACTAATATAATGCTGATATCAAAACTCCACAAATACAAATATACACAAAAAACTACAGACCAAACTTACAAATATAAACATTTCACTAAACTACTGACAAACTGAGTTCACTGCTCAATAACATACTTGAAATACACTCACCTAATACTGTATTCCAGAAATAAAAACTGGCTTAATATTAGGAAATGTGTTAATATGATTCATGGCATAAGTGGATCAAAAAAAAAACACCTCATATGTGTCACCTGAAAGATGTAGAACAGACCATTCACTATCTACCCACATTTTAAAAATTAACCTAGTAAATAGAAAAAGGAGGATACTTCCTTTTCATTATAAAAAGTAGACATAATCTCAGGTTAACATACACACATACACACACACACACACACACACACACACACCATATATAGATAACATGTATATATAAATTCCTCTAACTTAACAAATGAAACAAAGATTCTTATTGCAGCGCTATTTAACACTGTTCTGAAAGTTGCAGCAAATGCATTTAAACGAAGGCAGGGAAAGCTATATTCAGAGAAGGGATTGTCTCCAAGAGAAAAATATACAGGTTAAAAAACAGTATACAAAGTATGATTTTTTAAATAAAAAAAATGCTACTGAAGTGCATACTTTTAAAAATAGTTAAGACGGTAAACTTTATGTTGTTTTCTTACCACAATTTTTAAAAATATGCACATATATGGACAGAAAAAGACTGATGGTTACCCCTATAGGTAGCAATAACTCTTATTTGGCGTATCTGCATTTTCAAAGTTGAGAATAACTGACTTTTTTTTTTTTTTCTTTTTTTTTGAGAAGGAGTTTCACTCTTGTCATCCAGGCTGGAGTGCAATGGCACGGTCTCGGCTCATTGCAACCTCTGCCTCCCCTGGGTTCAAGCAATTCTCCTGCCTCAGCCTCCTGAGTAGCTGGGATTACAGGCACCCACCACCACGGCCAGCTAATTTTCTATTTCCAGTAGAGACGAGGTTTCACCATGTTGGCCAGGCTGGTCTTGAACTCCTGGCCTCAGGTGATCCACCCGCCTCCGCCTCCCAAAGTGCTGGGATTACAGGCATGAGCCACAGCACCCGGCCTTATCTGCATTTTCAAATGCACCAATATTATGGCTTGCACTATACTGAAAGTTATCTTTTAAAAAGAACTTTAAAATGTTAACTCTATACAAAACTACATAAAATAACAAAAATTTATAATAAAGAAATAAAACAAGAAAACACAAATATACAAAACTGAAAATGAAAAAGATAAAGTTTACCAGATGGAAAGAATCAAGTATTTTATGCACCAAGCCCAGTTAGTTTTACAAGTGAACTATTTCAAAACTTTTGAAGAAAAGGTAATTCTTACATCATATACACATTTCTCAAGAGCAACACTATACAATACGGTAACCACTAGCCACACATAGTTATTAAGCACTTGAAATATGGCTAGTGCAACTGATGGGTAAACTTTTAATGTTATTTGATTTCAATCTATTTAAATTTAAGTAAGTGAATGTACCTAGTGGCTACCAAATGGAGAGTGCAGCTGTAGAGGGTAAAAAAATGAAAGCTTCCCATTTTGGTATTATGATACCAAGAAAATAATGGCCATTTTAACTTATAATGCAAGAAAAGTCTGGATAAAATGCTAGTGTATTGAACCTAACAGAGGTTGAAAAGAATATGCAATGATCGAGTGCTGTTTTTTTTACGTAGGAATTCAAGGATGCCTTAATAATCAGGAAATTAAATATAATTCATGATATCAATTACAGCAAGAAGAAAAACTCTATAACTTTGTCTTCAGATGCTAAGAATGCATCAATAAAATTCAGTATCCATTCCTGATTATTAAAAAAAAAATAACTTTCCCAGCACAATAAATAAGAGACACCATGAATCGACAGGCATCAGCAAACCTGAAACTAAAACACCAGAAGTATTCCCATTAAAGTCTGGAAGGAACTAGACAAAATAGCAACTGTAATTATTATTATGTACCATATTCTTATAAGCAATATGAAAATAAAAAGAAATATGACACACAACTATTAGGAAAAAAGAGAATAAAATCATTATTATCTGTAAAAGAAAAGCCATTAAAATCAGTTGAAACTCTTAAAACTAAGAAATGACTATTAGGTTTTCACTCATTAAAATAGATTATCTCTAAATGGAAATGTTGATAATAAAGTACATTTAAAAGAAATTCACTAGTAAGTGAATTAAAAACATTATAAAAGTATCATAAAGTCTTAAGAACTGAATACTACACTAAGCTTTCCCTTGAAATAAATTACATCAAATTTGCTAGTAAAAACCCTTCAAAGGTTTCTGACTCCTAGATTACCCCACGTGACTAAGGATTCTCACACACACACACACACACACACACACACACACACACACACAGATTATCAACACTGACTTCCTATCAACCCAGCAACCAACCATGGCAGACCTAAAACCAGTTCAGAAAAAGGCTAATTAAAATTTATTATTTTCCTCATGCTGTGAAAAGAAGAATATCATGTTTCCTCTCAGAATATGTCCTTGAACTTTTAAAGATTTAACCATATGGAAGAGATCTAAAGGAGTATATGAAAAGCCTAAAGATTTGGAATCCTAATTCAATTTCCCCTCACATTTTAATAGGAGCCTGCAGCAAACATTTATTTTTAGAGATATTCTTAGTAGGGAAAAGAACAAAAGGCTATTGTGTGCTAAACATGGTGAGGTCTCTCTGGTCCCATCTATACCAACTTTATAAACATCAGGTTAGAATTAAATAACTTTAAACTTTAAATCAACTATTTCCAGACCACAAAATCTATTCTACACTTATCAGCACATATAAGTTCTCTAAGTGACTTATAGCTGAGTTCAAATGTGAAATCTGCATTTTTCAAGTGCCAATAAAAGAACTTTCCTTTGGACTTTGACTGAATAATGCTGAATTGTCCAAGAATGCCATGTAATGTTTTCATTTCCTTTTCCAACAAAAATTTTCATCTGCACTTGATAAATTTACTGACTCCGTATCATTTATGATGAAAAGCATATGGGTACCAATCATATTGGTCTCCACTATTTTCCTATTACATAGGAATTACAACTTTTTAACAAAAGTAAAAATGACGAAGTTTACAGGCGTGCCCTGATCACTATGAACATCTCTTTATATGTGTCCTGTCATGAGTCTGTTAAAATGCAAAAGGAAACAAGAAATTACCTACGATTAGCAATGTGGTCGTTTTAAAACATATCCACAAATACTTTGACATGCCTCCCATCAAAAGGCAGAGTCAGTTCCCTCCCTTTGAACATGGGCCAGCTGCAGTGACTCACTTCTAATAAACAGAATGTGGCAGAAGTGGGGCTGAAGGCTTTGAAGGCTAGGTCATAAAAGGTGATATACCTTCCTCCTGGCTCTCCCTGTTGGGTCGCTCACCTGTAAAACTTAGCCACCATGCTGCAAGGAAGCCAAGCAGCCATATGGAAAGGCCTTAGTTCTACTCCCAAACAAGGTTCCAGACAACAACTGGCATCAGCCCCCAGACATGTGCTTGAAATACCCTCCATATGACTTTAGACTCCAGGCTTTGGGCCGTCTCAATAGACAGCACGTGGGGCCAGGCGTGGTGGCTCACACCTGTAATCCCAGCATTCTGAGAGGCCAAGGAGGGTGAATCACCTGAGGTCAAGAGTTTGAGACCAGCCTGACCAACATGGTGAAACCCTGTCTCTGCTAAAAATACAGGTGGTGGGCATGGTGGTGGGTGCCTGTAATCCCAGCTACTCGGGAGGCTGAAGCTGGAGAATCACTTGAACCCAAGAGGCAGACGTTGCAGTGAGCCGAGATTGCTCCACTGCACTCCAGCCTGGGTGACAAGAGGGAAACTCTGTCTCAAAAAAAAAAAAAAAATAGACACCACATAGAAGAGATAAGCTATTCCCACCAAACCACGCCTGAATGGCAGATGCTTGAAAAAATAAGGACCATCTTTATTTTAAGTCACTAGACTTTGAGTGTTTTATTATGCAACAACAGGTAATTGGAGCATATAGATTATTTCAGCCCAATGCAGCCATCTTATTCTTTCCATTTCAAAACTACCTGAGAAGACAAATCTGTTTCAAAGAAAAATAAAAACGTGCTGACATACCTGGTCACCATCAACTCACCCTAGAAAGCCAAAAGCTGGAACCCCAGCATTTATTACCTGTAGCTGGCAGCTAGCCTTCTCTTGGGCAGTTTTCTTCTTACCCCTTAATATACCAGACTCTCTGGCCTCTTCTGTCCTGTCTTAAACTTACTCCTAGCTTTGAAAAGTTGCTTTTAATAAACACCCTGGCTTGAGACTGCTGCTACTGCTAACATATGCTACATACTTTTAATCAAGGAACAAGTAAAATTTGCCTAAAAAAGTAATTCTATGACTTTGAGGCAGGTAACCAGTTCAAGATGTTTTAATGACGCCATTAAAATGGGTTATCAATCAACCCAGATAATCATATCAAAACATTTACTCTTCCTCCTAATAAACACTAGGGAGGGAAATATCCTAATTACTCAAATAAGGTTTTTCTTTAAGAAACACAGCCTAAATGTTAAAAGCTAGAAGCAATCTTGAAGATAATCTAGTTTAGAACTTTTTTCAAGCAAAATCCAAGGAAGATCTTCATGACTTAAGTAAAAAATGTCTACCTCACTCCATCTCCACCTAGGATGTCAACCTGCCATCATATAATGACAATTTGAAACTTCAATTCTGTTTGTATTTTACCAAAAAAATTACAAATACAATTTTGTTAGTATTTTATAGCTACAGCAATAAAATGTACTCCATGCAATGTTATTTAATGTTTTATCTTTAAAGTTTAGGATTATGACAAATCCCGGTTAAGATAAACAAAAGTATCCCTGGGAATCCACAGTCTTCTCATAAAAAATTAAAAGTGGCTGTTCTATTTCTATCATAAGAAGTATTAGTAATCATTGCCCTAGTCCAAATCATTTGGGAAACAAGCCCAGTAAGGTTACATAACTGGCCTGAGGCCATAAAACTAGTTAGTGGCAAAACTATGGCCAGAATTTTGGTATACTCATGCTTTCTAGTCATGCAGGGGACTCAATCAGATTTCAATTAATAAAAGAAAAACAATTACTATATGTTTCAATTCAAAAAGCCCCATCAAAGTGGCCGCTGCATTCCAATTCCTTCAATGTTACACTCAAAATCCTTCTGGTGGACTATCTTTCTCTTTAATGTAAAGAAAACAGAACCTTAATGGAGGCACCTCAGGCATCACCAGGTGAATGGAAGGCGAATGCAGCTAAGAGTGTGGACTGGCTATTCAAAAGCCATTCACAACCCCAATATCTTTTGCCTTAACTACAGAGGCTGGAAGAGTAAAACACTCAATCCCAGGCCTCCCCGGCAGGTAGGAGTGGACATATGACAAAATTACAAAAATGAGCATATATACAGAAGTCACTAGAGAGGCATTTCTTTCCAAATAAAAACATTAATCCTGTTAGAAGGTCTTGACCCTTGTGCTCTCTTCCTGCGAGGAATGTGGGTATGATTTTCAGAGATATAAGGCCATCTTGCTTCTACGGGGACAAAAGCCACATGCTGAGCCACTGGCTCCCTGATGACACAGAAGAGTCATGACACCAAGCCTGGACTGTCCACCCTTGGGCTTTCTACTGAGTGAAGTTTAAGACTATGCAGTTGGTTTTCTGGTTACTTGCAGCTAAATACAATCCTAACTCTTATAGGAAATAAATCTGGCTTTTCCTTTTCTATCCAAACAAAGTGGTTGTCCATCTGGCTTAGTCTTATATAAGTAAATTTGGTAAACAAAGATTTAGTCACCTTCATCCTTACCCCATGTTATGCTACCATCTCACTTTTTTAAAAGGTCAATAAAAGAAGTCAAGGTATATCTCTTCTCCAAGAATAAATGAAAAATTTTAGCTTATAGTAAGTTTGTCTCCCTGTACCATATGGCAGAGCTGAGGCTGCCTTGGGAAGCAGAAGAGAGAAGTGGTTTCTCTCCTTATACACCACTTAACCTCAGTCCTGGACAGCATCTAGAAATTCAGCAACAGAAAGAAAAAAGAAAACCAGAAACTAATGTATCCCTCATTCTCATCCCGTACTAGGGAAACAACACAAACACCACGCCTTAATTAGAGAAGATCGTATAAAAACCATTCACTCAGCAGAATACCTTTTCTTTCCCTTGAGCATCATGCTGGAGATCTTATACTTCATGTTCCATTTAATTTGAGCAATACAGTAATCTCAAGGAAGGCTTATGAACAAAAGTAGGGTGTTTTCCATTCTTCCAATGTCCTTTCTAATAAAGTTGACTGTGGCAGCTTAATAAGGTATATCAATTGTTAAGGTTAAACAGCATTTTCCAAAGGGATGGAAGAAAATAGGTAACACCGATGAGAAGCTAAGCATTCTACAAATTTCATGCCAAAAAATTAAATAAAGAAAAGAATATATCTCTGTAGGTGAACGGCAACATGCTTTGGCAAATTTCTTGGATTCAAGTCTATAAAATCCAGACAAACCATTAGCTATTCTGGACCAACAGACTAGACCTTTTTAAAAAAGTTAAACCTTTTTCTAAAAAGCGGAGAATTCCCAAACCAAGCAATCACTCAATAAATAGCTCTATAGCTGACAATGACCTTAAGGTTCAGAATCTAACAGTACAATGGGATACAGTATTCTATAATACACTCTGGATGCAAGAGAAATTTCTTAATCTGAGTCTTTAAGGTTGCACTAAGAAACTGAAAAAGTGAATTCTGCAAATGAGGGGCAGAAGTCAAACAAGTGACAACACTAAGGAGATGAAGAATAATATTTACAGATATAAACTGACAATCAACTAATCTTAGCAAAGCAATACTCAAAGGATAAAAGCAATGAGTTTAAATAGACCTTTACATCAGAATAGTTTCCAACAATTTAGAATCTAATCTGTAGAACCAGAAATGCCTTAGTCATCTAGATTGACTTTATGTGAACAGGAATTTCTCCTCTCACTCTGAAATAGATGGAACTCCAGCTTAGGCTAGAGCATTTACAAATTACTTAAGCAATACATTTTAAAAACAGAACTACTATAATTCACAGCAAGTAACTGATCTCCATGTTAGTTACTCAAATGTACTAAGTTAAAGATACCAGAAAAAAAAACTATCAATCTAAAGAATAAAGTTATTCCCTTCAAAAATTTCACTAAATTTTCAGTGACATGTTAGATAATCTCCTAGAATGGAGTAAGGATAAAATAAACAGCATCACCCTACCTAGCACATTTCCTGGAGGTACCTCCTCTAGATATTCCAGTTCCCTTCCCATCAGAAGATACAGGTTTTCCAGAGCACAGTATGCCATGTGGGGGACTTGGGGGAGGCCATCTGGTGGAGCTGAGAAGCCTAATGGTACCTGGGCAAAGAAAAATGATTGAAGACAAGTTAGGAGGCATTTGGAAGCATTAACTGGTATTTGTAAAGTTATTTTTATTCATCAGTAAGATATGGTATAGCAACATTTCATGTAAACCTGAAATATGAACATTTGAAATGGTGTGATAAAATATGCCTCACTTTATGAATAAAATTTGAAATACTGAAACTTCTCAAATACTAAAAAATTGTCTAGATTCCCATTTAATCATAAGCTTTATGGCTAAGTAACATAAATTCTGTTGTGACCTGGTATTGTCACTTTAGCTGATCCTCACAGTCCCTGGTTATTTATGTGAACCATGTCATACACCAGTTCTGGTGACTACTGTGCTATCATTTGAAAACTCATTATTACTATTATCCTTTCAAGTTGTTTTATTTATAATGTTCTTCAAGTATTCAACAAGGGCTGGTGCTAGTGCCAAGTAACATATAAAAATAACTTTGGAAGGGTAGTTAGATGTGATAAAAATGCCAAAAAAAAAAAAAGGCCTAACTGCTATTATATGCTATATTGTTCATATGGAAGAGCATGCTGTGATATATTAGGAACACTAATGAGAGGACAGAGTACATTTACAGCAAAAATATACAAGTACAAGTACATTAGATTTATTAGCTCCCCGTACATCATATTTATTCTTATGGAACTATTGTCTCAAATGATTCAAATTTTGTATTGTGTGACGTTTTCAGAAATATATCCACCATATAAATGCAAGTATCCAGAAAGCATTTCAATTAACCAATCAACCTATCTTTGGTGCTCATAGGCCTGGGGTGCTGCCCTAATGCTATGAAGAGAAAAAATGGCTGACATACAACATAAACAAAGATGATTAACATCACAAGCATAGGGTGACCAACAAAAAGGTAGTATAGGCAAGTAAATTCATAAAGGTTCAGAGTAAGGAGAGGCCCCTGTGCTAGGGTAGACTCTAGAAACTTCATGAAAATGATGACCTTTCAGGCACATGTTACATCTAAATGTATGTGTTCTGCTAAAATGACAACTCTCAAAGTAGCTCTAAAGATGGGCTGGAGGGATAGAAAAATTATAAGAACTGAATAGAAAGAAATGGAATTATCTACACAATATGACCATCCACTTAAAACAAGCTACAGATAAATTATAATTAGTGAGACAGCTTAGCAAGGTGGCAAAAATGCAAGATCAATATAAAAAAGTTAATTACACTTCTATAATTAGGAATAGAAAATGCATAAATAAATAGCAATAAATAGAAAATATGTAAATTTAAAACGATTTTTAGAATAGCAACAAAATATAAGATAGTGGGTAATAAATCTAATAACAATGATCAAAACTCTTTATAAATAAAACTATAAAACTTCATGAAAGACATTTAAAATGACCTAAATGAATAAATAAACCTAATACTTTAATGGATGGAAAGATGCTGTATTATAAAATGTTGATTCATGCCAAATAGGTGTATGGACATAAAGTAATTCCAATCGAAGCCTCAACAGGGCTTTTCATAGAAGCTGACAAGCTGACCATAAACTTGATATATAGGAGCAAATAGGAACAAACAAGACACTAACAAACAAAAACATGGTAAAGGGATTTGGTCTTTTTGATGTCAAACATTGAAAAATGAAGAAAGCATCGAACAGAGACAGTTAGAGACAAACAGAAAAAATAAAATTAGTCCAGAAACAGATCTATGTACATAGGTAATAATCTGATTTCTGAAAGAGTGGACAAAGCAAATTAGTGGATAAAGATAGACTACTCAATAATGTTGGAACAGCTGGACATTTATATGAGGAAAAAATGAACTTGGATCCCTTCTTCACAAACATTGAATCAAATATTTATACGTGAAAGGTAAAATATTAAACTTCAGAAGGAAACATAAGAGAAAGTTTTGTGACTTCAATATAGACTTAATATCAATTTTAAGATTTAAAAAGCAAAACCCATAAAATAATGATAATTTGACTATATTTAAATTAAGAACTTCTGCCTATTAAAGGGTACCAAATGGAAAGTAAAAACAAGCTTTACACTGGAGAAGAAATCTGCAAAATTCAAAACTGACAAGGAATTAGTATCCAGAATATACAAAAGACATCTGAAAAGCAGTATTTAAAACAATAAAGAAGCATAACAGAAAAACAGGGAAATGACTCCAAGAACTATTAATATCTTCACATGAGAACACAAGATTGATCAATAAATGCATTAAAAGAGTAATAAGAAAAATGTAAACTAAAACTCCAAAACACCATATCATACCCATCAGACCGGCACAAATCAAAAGCCTAACAAAACCAAATTTTGGTGAGCATGTGGAACAACTGGAACTGTTAAACACTCCTATTGGGAGTGTAAATCACAGCTACTTCAGAAAATAAATTGGAATTATCTTGTTAAGCAGATTACCAAGGCAACTCTGCTATAGGTATATTCCCTAGAATTTCTTGTAAATGTGCATAAGGAGATATATACAAAAATAATCAAGGTAGCATTGCTTAGATTTGAAAAAAAAAAACAACGAAAACAGCAAATATATAGTGACCAAAAAACTGTATAAATAAAACATACATTTAAGTAAAGGAATCCTATGCCACACTGAACAATAAACGAGCTACGGGAGGAGGCATTAACACAGATTAATCTCACAATGTTAAGTTAAAAAAAGGCAAGTTGTAGAATAACTACAGTAAAATTCCATTTATACAAAGTTTCAAAAGCATGCAAATGTGACAATATTCTTTAGAAATACATACACAGGTTGTAAAACTATAAAGAAAAACAAGAGATGTGGCAGACAGACTAAAGGTGCCCCTCCCATGATGCCTGCTTCCCGGTGTTCACACCTTTGTTTAGAAACCTCCTTCCCGAGTGTAAGTGGGACCTGTGACTTGCTTCTTCTAACAAACAGAATACAGCAAAGGTGATGAGATGTCACACTGTGATTCTATACCATCATACAGGACTCTGTCTTGCTAGGAGACTCCTTCCACTCTCCTATATGGCTTGATGAAGTAAGCCTCCAAGTTGGGAAGGTCCACATGACAAGAAACTGTAGGTGGCCTCTAGGAGGTGAGGGCAGCCAATGGCCAGAAAAAATCTGTGACTCTCAGTACTACAGGTGCAAATATATGAATTCTGACAACAACCTTTAGTGAGCTTGGAAGCAGATTCTTCATCAGTCAGTCCTCCAGATGAGAATGCACCCTGGCCAACATTCTGATTGTGGCTTTGTGAGACACTAAGGAGAAGATGCGGCTAAGCCATGTCTGGTTTTCTAACCCATAGAAACTGTGAGATGACAAAATGTGTAATGTTTCAAGCTGCTACATTTGTTGTAATCTGTAATATGCAGTAACAGAAAACTAACACAAAAGATGAACACAAATTCTAGGTAGAGGTTACTTTGAGGGTAGGTCTGAAATATTTCAGTTTTTTTTTAATCAGTTGGAATTAGGTTTTATGGTGCTCTGATTACTGAAATAAGAAGCCATTTGAGCTGTCAATGTATTGTATCATTCCTGCTTAAGATGTGAGACACATAAGCAACTGATTTCAACCTGTAGCAAAGACACATTATGCAGAGATAAATTGGATTGTTCATGGAATTTGTAATGCTAAATAAATCAATGTTTCACTAAATAACAATTTCTTGCTCATTTACCTTCACAAAAAAAGAAAAAAATTAACTGATACTTGCCCCTTACTGATAAACAGCAAACTATCAATTATGTCCAAGCCAAGATAATCATAGATGAGTTTTTATACATATCACTTTCAGACTCCCATAAAACATAACCCTATACACACCAAGTGCTGCGATCTTTCTTGCTAAATTAGAACATGCCATAGCTCAACAAGGACTGCTTCACTGCCACGCAGCAATGCACTCTCCAAGGATTAAACTGCTAAAACTCATGGAATAAGCATTCAAGGCAAAGAAAAACTGATGGCAGAGACTTACTTCAACTGCTACCTCCTTCTCTCTCACTTGTAGCCAAGTACCACAGCTTCCCTGGTTTATCTACAGACAGGCTGCTTCCTGCACAGAGAGGAGCATGTGTTTTTGTGCTCATGATGCTCCACGGTGCCAGCTGACAATTTCCTAGCTTACTGCTTTGTGCTGATCCAGACTGGCTACTTGGACCTCTGGCACTGTCTTCATCCTATGACCTCTATTATTTAATTATGATATAATTACATTGTATATATCTTGCTTACTTCCAAAAATGTTCTGAGACATCTCTAGCCTGTGATCTCTGTTTTGCCCCTTGGTTCAGGCATTTTTAGATGCTGCCTGCTCATCTACTTACAGACCCTCCTGTCCAGACTCAGGGTCTGTGTGCCATGCAACTCCTGCCTATTCCCTGCTCACTGCCCACACCTTTGGCCTGAGCCAGCTAGTTTTTGGATCTTCCTATTTCTCAGAGATTGGCCATTGCCCTGGCTCCAGCATGACATCTGCTCTTATCAGTTATTTTCTCTAACCACAAGGTGATTCTTGCCTAGAAGAGAAAAGCCTTATAATTAAATAAGGCCTGAAAATTTGGTCCACATATTGATTTGGTTTCCTAAATGCTACTAATTGAGACATATATGACAAATGTTATCAAAGCAACACAAAAGGAGATACACAGTCACTCAAGTGTGCCTTTCCAGAGACAAACTAAATCTACCAACAAGATGATCACCAGTCCCAACAAAATGTGAAAAGATATCAGACCCTTGAGAAACAATATATAAATATTTTACTTTCAATTCTTACCCTTCGTAAAAACTCAAGAGGACTGTATTTGGGCCCCAAGACAAAAATTTTCTTTCCTCTTCGAGCCACACCACTGAACACCCGAGCAAATGCAATAGAAGACTCTTGGTTGTTTTCTTCCTGGAGCACAGGTTTGGGGGTCATACTTTCCACCTGTTGCTCGTCACCTGACAGAAACAAAAAGATAATTAGTGCCAAGAATGCCCTCTTAATTCAAGAACTGTCTGGAAACACAGAAGGAAGAGCGAATATGATATGTTTGGTCTAGTTTCAGAAAAAAAAAAAAGAAAACAAAATACCAAGAATGAAAAGAATATTAATAAAAACTATGATTAAAGCTTAAAAAGCTCAAGAACTAAAGGATGAGTGTCCCAAGTTAAGCAAAAATGCAAACACTTTGCAACAGAGCCTACTTAGGAAAGCTATACCTCTTGGCTCCTCTCCTTTTGGACATGTTTCAATGGCACTCCCATCTTGGGTGGGCTCCAAGGGTGCCTGTCCCTGCGCTGCTGCAAGCTTCTCTGCATGCCTTTGTCTTGCACGCTCACGTCTCTGAGCAATTTCTTCTTGAGTGAGAGGCCTACAGGATATCACAAATATGTTATCATCTGGCAGCATCAAGCATCTCTCAGTTTATCCAAGTAGGGAAACAGCAAGTACTGACGTGGCTGGGTAAGATGAAGATTGGTCCCAGCTCCATTCCAGGCAGTTTTCTCTGAGTCCTCTCCCTGTCTGTAGCAATAAGAGAGGGCCTATCAGCCTCTCTCTAATAATGCTGTGTCCCAACTATTCTGAGCTTATGAACCGACATGCAAGAGCCCAAGTCCCCATCGGGAGCAATGTACAATAGTATGGAACCTTTCTCAGATACCTATATTCCTTCTGGAAAAGGCAAAGAACAGGAAGAAGGAAGGGAAACAGTGACAGATACTAGGGTTTGGAACGACTCTGGCAGGTAAACAAGCATAAGGCCTCAATAACTGGGGTTCAAGAGGAAGGGTTCAAGGTCAGGATGAGTACTGGCAATTCATCAGGACTAGAAGGTCAAACTGAAATATCAGCCACTGTGTTAGACCTAAGAAGTACCATCACAGAAAAGGCAGTGTGTGGGTATGTATGTGTGGTTTTCCATGGGGGTGAGAATGAGAAGGGGTGGGGGAGGTAATTAAGCTCTTTTTCCTAAAGAACTACCCTCATGTCTGTCAGGACACAGAAAAGGTATTTAGAGTTTTAATACTAAAAAGGTGTTGACAAAAGGGGAACACTAAGTCGAATACAAATTCTGTTTGGGAGTTTGGGTTTGGAAGGTAGAAACCAGGCAGGTAGACTGTTTCCTAGGACTTGGCTCCCTTCCCATGTAGGGGTCCTTATGAACCTACCTGCATGCTCAACCCCAACACATGAACAAGACCAAACCCTGTCCTAAGGCTGATAGATTAACAGCATCTTTTGCCCTATACTCTGGGACTGAGCATCAAAGCACTCAGGCTAATCTTCTGGTCCTAACTTTATGCTCCAGCTCTGGAAGCTGGACAACTCTTCATGGTCCCAACACTTTGTGCCTCTCTCCTGTGTTTTCCATCACCTTTAATATTATGATTCCTGCTTTATTTCCCAATCTCAGACTTCACACCTAACTGATAACCTTCATCCCCACTTTGCCATGCCATATTCCCCTCCTCTCTCCGTAAGCACTGGAAGCCATGCAGGTAGCTATTCTGCCTACTTGCCTTCCAAATGGCCACAGACCCTTAGGGCTCCTGATGCAAAGCGGCCTAACTCCTTCTACCTTTCTATTTCATGTAAGCTAACCTGCAAGGTGACTGCTTAAATCATTGACTGTCCACTGCTATACTCTTCAGATATCCGCCTGCTGGACAAGACTTCTCTAGTCCTAGTGTCCAGGACTAGACACTACTTCTGCCTTCCTTAGCACCTGTCCCTCAAAATCAATGAGTTTAGTTCCAAGAGTAGGCCCTTCCACTCACACCCACTCTGCTGCAGGTCACTGGGCTGTGCAATAGAATACAAAAATATGAGAAACAATCCTTGAGTCTAGCTTGGTCAGGTGTCTCGTCAGGCAATCAAAATTGCTGGCACTAGGTGGCCACACTACCACTGCAAGAGACAAGCTCCTCATTATAGGAAGCTCTAAATGTCAGAACTTTCAAATATAGAATGAACTCTGCTTCCTCACAATCTCTAGCCATGGCTGCAGTTCTCTCCTCTGGAGCAACATCTAACAAACCTACTTCCCTCTCCTTTCCTTTGAATCACCAGCATTCATGCCTTCCCCACCTTCCTTCTCTTCCCCAGGCTGAGCACTCTAGCCGTTCCTTCAACCAATCCTTTGACAACTTTCCTTGTTTCTAGACTTTTGCTAAAAACTCACATGAATATCTGAAAAGTGTGAATTAAAATATAAATGCAGAACACATTTTTATTATTAGAGTAGGAAGGAAAAAATACCAGAGGTACCTGCTAGCATCTAAAGAGAAATGGTCTCTTCCAACAGGTTTATCATGATTATCCAGAGACTGTTAATCACTTTACATATATTATAGCACATAATTTATCACAACAATTAAATGAAGTAGATATCATATTCCTATTCTACATATAAGAAAAGGGAGACTGAAAACTTAAGTAACTCGACCCAAAGTCACATAGATATTAAATGGAGGAGCCATAATTCAAATCCAGATCTGTATGGCTCTAAAGTCTATGCTCATTATCACCAGGTTATGTCTTTCCTTCAAGAGGAATTAAAGATGATAACATCATCATCTTAAGTAAATGTGATTTCACTTTAGTTTTAGTGAAAAAAGAAGTGTATTTGTTCACCTTGCAGATTAAATCCTCACCTGCCTAAGTTCATGAAGTGATCTGGAATAATCAGCATGTACAGTCATTAAGTAAGCATCAACTGTATAGATGCCTGCTGTCTATCTATGTATCTACTCATCCACCCATTGAACAACTACTGTGTGCCACGCATTGCTATGGGCACTGGGAATGATGGTAGAGGGGAACAAAGCAGATAGTAATCAGCAAGCATGTGTAAAAAGTACCCACTGTGTATCCAGTATTTGTTGAGAATAAAGAAATTTAATTACAAGAAAATGGGGCCCTACTAGTGAGGAAACAGTTGTGAGTGTTAAGTTATTTAGGCTATAGTTAAACTAACCATGGATGTTACTTCCTGAAGGGACAATAGTCACTAATACTGAGATGAAGGAGACCAGAGGTGAGAATGTTGACTGAAGATTCAAATGTCAGGTTGGAAGGTGAATTTGAAGAAGCAAAGAAAAGAGGCAAGAACACAAGAACAGAGGAGAAAGTCCTGTAACAGTCCCACACTTCATTTACAACCACAGCGGCACTGTTGAGCAGTGAGTAAAGGTCAGTGTTTTCATCAAGTTAGGGAAAAATTTTTTAGGGTTTGTGGGTGCCGAATCCTGTTTCCTGCCTTACTTTTCTCCCTGGCACATATCACTAATACATTGTACTCTATACTAAAGGAAAATAATACTCTGCTATTCCTGGCTTGTATATCTAATACAATGGAGATGAAAATGCTATCAAACCAAATTTCAATGATACATTTCCCCACATTTTACAAATAAAACTTAAATGAAAACAAGTCAGCTAGAAGATAGAAAAGAACAAACTAATGATGATGACCTTACCCAGGTATACCTGAAAACACTATATTATGATGTAACAATTGTTGAACCTGATATACTGGTTAAAAACCAATGACAAAAATAAAATCAGTAAAAAAACTTCATGGAATAGAATGGATTGCACTATCAGAAATATACTAAAATCAGAAAAGCATATGATGAATTATTAAGAAAAACATTCACAGAAAATGTAATTAATAGTAGAGGCATAATAATACTATTATTCATCAGCAAGAAATGGAGGATGGGTAGAGCTAGGAATTTTAAATGCTATAAATACATGTATTTCAAATATTAACAGCAAGTTTTCCAATTCTCTGATATTCCCTATGATTCTACCAGAATCTCTCAGATACTCCCAATGGCCAAAAAAATCCAATATCCTAAACTTGTTACTACAAGAAATTGTTACTACATGTAGCACTGAAATATTATCTGGGAGTAGCCTAGATACACAATTAGACATTCATTCATTCCATTATTCACTCATTTACTTACTCAGCCACTCATTCACCCATTCACTGACCTGTTACTCCCCCATTCGGATATTCACTCATTCATTCTTCATCTACTCACCCATCTATTCCTTTACTTATCCCCAGGGCAAAAATTATTGAATACACTTAATGTCCAAATCACTAGGGAAGTACTAAAAAACAACACATAACCTTTCCCCTGAAGGACAAACAGAATTTTATCAGAGGAAAAGAAGCCTTCTCAGATGGAGGAACAGCACAAGTACAGATAGGACATTTGTTCAGACACTAGTATATTAGAGAAACAGAAATAAAAATCTAGTGGAAACATGGTTTGGGGTCAGGTCACGGTGGGTCGGAAATGCCATAAGACAGGTCAAGTTTATTTCACGGGCTGATGATCTGACCTTCAGTCACTCACATATCATTTTCATGATTTCTGCTATATCTGCATATTATTTATTTAATACTTATTTAAATGCACAAACATTTTTAACTCAATAAAACTTCAAAATCTCATCACTGTAAAAGCTTTATCACTTGACATACACAGGCAATACACACAAATACACATTAAAATAAATATGACAACTAATTAAATTAAAACTTATTTCCCTAAGTACCACTGAAATCATCGCCAACACTTTACACTTGAATCAAAACTGCTCAAGACAGTGAGAATCATTAAGGGTTTTTGAGCAAGAGACATATCTTCATAGCTGAGTCTTATAAAGATCACTCTAAAGAAAGAATGGCAAGTGGATCAGTGGAACTAAAGATGGGGCAGGAGAACCAGCTAGGAGGTTGCTGCAACAACATCCACAAGAGATGATCAGAATCTAAACTAGCGGGGGAAGCAGTAGAGACAGAAGGAGGGGAACACACATAAAAAACAGGAAATGTAGAAGAGACAGATTCCCCAAGACTCTGGAACTTGAGGAATATCCCTCTCCTACACTCATCACACCTGTGCACACATAATACACACAAGGAAGCAGAGATCCTCATACATTCATAATTACTGAGGTAGGCAGAATTAGATGAGACAAGGCAGGCTTAGATTAGAACTCGCCTGACATGTTCAATAAAAGTTAATTGTTGCTACTACTGCTAACATACTCTTCAAACTTACATCACTTCAATTCAATATTCCAGAGCTGATTTCAACAACTTTCTCCTACAGAGGTATTGCAAAAGGATATACTACTGTATAAATTGTATGTTACCCTGGGGGTTGGCTTGATATGAATTCTGGGTTGAGGAGGAAAAGCATTATCCGTGCCCCCACTACCCACGGCCCAACTGCATCCCACCAAACATACACCATATTCCTAGCCCAGCCCAACTTTCCCCTTTCCCTTACCTTGGCTTATTCTGAGGCAAGGCCTTAGCATCAACTGCAAACATTTTGGAAACAAACATGATAACTGGAGCAGTGTCCTCACTTCCACATTTCATAAAAGCTAAACAAATAGGAAGTAAAAATGTCACTATTTTTCCCATTATTAAAAAAACAGATTTTTCTGGAAAACAATTAAATGTTTAGAACATGGCATCATCGATATACACCAGAAGTCCATAACTTTTTCCAACTAAGATAAAAATTTTAATTAGAAAAGGGTAAGATTGCTAGGAAAGAATAGCAGAGCAAGAGCAAACAGACTTGGCAGAAATAAGAAAAGAAAAGCAAGCAAATTTGACAGGGTGAGGGATCTCATATGAAAGCTAAAGCTATGCAATGAGGTTAACCACCTACCATAAGCACTAATACATTTTTCACTGTCAAGTACAGAAAAGACAGAATTGAGGAATGTTACCAAAGGCCAACAATCAACAAGGTAGCTTGTCATCACGATATATAAAAATCAATAGCTTTTCCAATCCCCCACAATAACAAATTAGAAAATAAAATGGACAAAAATACTGTATTATGATATTAACAAATTCTTAGAAATAAATTAAGATTCAATACTATTAAAATGCCAATTATCCCTAAATACATAAATTTTAACACAATTTCATATTAACATATGAACATTTTCCTTAACCTATATTGGAGGTAAAAAAACCATTGATTAATGAAATTTTTAAAAACAACTCCATCACCTCACATTAAAATAATTTGTATACAAAGAATTCAACAGTAAAATATAAACAAGAAAAAAGAAAACCACAGGAAGTAAGAATCAAACATGTATCAGAAGTCTTGCCAGTGGAAGCTTTGAATGAGGAACAGAATGACATGCCCTGACTTATACCTTAAGAGGATCGCTCTGTTTTGTCTGCAATATTGAGAAAACACTAACTGGAATCAACAAGCACGGATACTAGTTATTTTTTGTTGTTGTTGTCGCTGTTTGTTTGTTTTTTGACACAGAGTCTCACTCTGTCACCCAGGCTGGAGTGCAATGGTGTGATCTCGGCTCACTGCAACCTCTGCCTCCCAGGTTCAAGTGATTCTTCCGCCTCAGCCTCCCGAGTAGCTGGGACTACAAGCGCATACCACCACACCCAGCTAATTTTTGTATTTTTAGTAGAGTCGGGGTTTCACCATGTTGGCCAGGATGGTCTCAAGCTCTTGACCTCATGATCCACCAGCCTCAGCCTCCCAAAGTACTGGTATTACAGGCGTGGGCCACTGTGCCCAGCCCGGCCGGGATACTAGTTGTTAAACAATTAAAATAACCAGGTGAGAGATGGTGGTTTCTTGGCCCAGGGAGGCAGAAGTGAAAACATTGGGAAATAGTTGAATTCTGTATTTAAGAGGAAGAATAAACAGGATTTGGTGATGAACTGGATGTTGGAGTGTGAGATAAATATAAGGGCCATAGATGACTCCAAGGTTTTTGGACTGAGTAAATGAAAAGATTGAGGTCCCCCTAACTGAGATGGAAATGACTAGGTGAGCAGGCTTGGGGATAAGATAAAAAGTCCAGTTTGGGATATGTTCAGTTGAGATGCTTCTTAGACAACACAGTGTAGAGGGAGTTCTAGATATCAGTCCAGAGTCCAGAAAACAGACATGCTCTCAAGATACATAACTGTAGGAATTATGAGTATGTAGTTGTCATTTAAAGTCTTGAGATTGGACGAGATTATCAAAAGAGGGACTGAAGGTAAAATAGATGAGGATCAAAGACTTGAACCTTGCTTGGGGCACCCCAAAGTTAAAAAGCCAGGGAGATGAGGAGGAATCACAAAAAGAGATTATTAAGGATAAGCAGCCAGGGAGACACGAAGAAAAGCAGAAGCAAGGTAACGGAAGCAATGGAAGCCTAGAAGTCAAGGGAAGAAAGTGTTTCAAGGAGGAGGAGTGATCAACTGTGTCAAATGCTAGTGACAGATCTAGTCCTATGAAGACTGAAAACTGGCCATTAGATTTAATGAACCAAAAGTCAATAGTGATGCCAAGAACAACAGCGTAGTGGTTTGAGGGTAGGGTTACAAAAGCAATAGAACTGGAGGAAAAGAATTAGAGATAAGAAAATACATAGAGGCAAATTTCATGGAACGTACAAAGCCCAGAATGGGAGCTTCTTTTCTCATGAGAAGCATGTGTACAAGAAGTCGCTGGTCTCACCCTACTGGCTGAGCAAAATGGCTGTGACAAGAAAATCTTTGGGGTGAGGGTGGGAGGCAAAACTGGTGAAATGGTCATTTGTGAAACTGTTCATCTGTGGAAGTGGACATTTGGCAAATTGGCCATTTAGCAAACTAGCATTCAGCAAATTGGCCTAGAGCAGCCAGGATGGAGGACAGTCAATGACATGGTATATTCCAACAGGTCCATCTTTCCTCACCTGCTTTCAGTGCTTGAGTTTCTGGTGGAAGAGAGTCAAAAGTTTGTGATCCTGTGCACATCAGTCTCTCCATTCTCTGGGCTGTAATATCAAGGGGACAAGGAAGTTTCTGACATACCATAGCTGAAGTCTGTTGTTTAGGACTCAAAACCTTGAGCCAGTGCCTCCCCAAGGCGAAGATTCACTGTATGCTCTAAATATGGAGGTAACAAAGTCTGTCCATACACAAAATGCATGTGTTATATGGCAACACTGCTTTATGCATCACATCTCAAAACATGCATACAATTTCAGGGAGTTCACAAACTCCTTAAAGTTCAGAAAGGATCCTCATTGAACAGGTACTTTAACACTGAGGCCCATGGAACAAATGAGAACAGAGCTTAGCAGGTTGGCTACAGGTGACCTTGAAATGAAACAGTTATCTAACACAAACATCTAAATCATCTACTTATATTTAAATCTCAGTGTAAACATTTCTATTTTTACAGATTACTAAACAAACACAAAAGAACTGTCTTTCTAAAGAAGTTCATTAGTAATGTTAAAACAAATTAGTATTAGTGTATTAATTATTAAAGTATTTAATACAGTTTCATGGTAGAACACTAAATAAGCAGAGAAGACTTATTTTGGATTGAATGTTATTTCCAGAGAATTTCTTGGTTGCCATAATGCATTGTTTTTTCTAGCTTTATCAAAACTATTTCATTAAAAACCATTAGAATAAAGGATACCAAGAGCAGCATGGGGTATGGGTAGCCACTGACTGCAAATGGCGTTGATCTGAACTTTAGGGTCTGAATGTCGTGCCTCCCAGGCTCCAATTTTTAATCCTAAAGAAGTCACTATATTATCAATTTTGTCTTTGTCCCTATAGTAAATACAAGATTGGAGGGGGAAAAAGTCATACGCATATATAAACAGGCAGTGGGAGAAAGGAACCCAACATTATTCGGCATATTTTTACCCTAATGTGTTACTTTTTCAAAAAAAGCTAAAAATGATTGAAGGGAATCCTGCCACAGAAAAAGCCTCCTCAAGCTCTACTCTTACACTTTCAAGTGAATCCTTCTTTAAGATTTCCCAGGAAGTACTTCTCCACAATCTCCTCAAGCAAGCTATATCAAGTGGTAAAGCAGCCTTACAAATAAGTGCCAACAAGTTATTATTCCACCTCAGGAACAACTTAGAAAATAAATGCACTAAAGCAAACTTGTATCAGACAAGTTATTTCCCAAGTTCCCCATTAATGATCCTAGCTATCAAGCACCTTTTCTACTTTAATAACTATTTTTTAAACCTGGGTTTGGATAAACAAAAGCCCAATGTTTCTTTCCATCCTTTTATCTCTTCTCCTCAGCACTCTATAAAATATTGCTATCCTGTCCCTCCAGTATTGCCCTTTAGCTGGATTACATAGACTTCTTTAAATTGCTTCCAAGCCCTGTAATCAGCTCATCTGTAGAAGCTCTGTTCACTTTCTCAGTCCATCTCAGCTTTCTGAAGTATGACTCATCAAACTGGAAAGTGAGACAAATTATACTGCCTAAAGATGCCTAAAGGTAAACAATGTTAAAAGAGTCTTACTTTTTCAAGACAGCATCATACAAACTCCATAGATTTTCCAGGATCAACTGTACAAATAAAAGTTTCTTTCCTTTGGCCTGTACAAAAGAATATACGGGCTTAAGTTCCTGACATTTAATAGGCATTTGTATATTCCTTCTTGACATGCTTTTATTATCAATATGTTTCATTTCTACTTGAAAATATTTATTCAAAAATAAAGTAGATGAAAGTAGTTATAAGAATGCACTAAACTGCCAATAATCCACAATTAATAATAATCCACTGTTCTTTACTCTGGGAACCATAGACTTTACAAGTGATATGACCATTCGTGGGTCATATTACCATGGTTGCCATCAAACAAATACACACAGCACACAAGCCAAGAGCTAAAACTTCACTCTGCACATGTAGCCTCTTTCCATGGACTTCAGTCTAAAATTATGTTAGAAGAAACATAAAGCATTCTTAAGTATATTTCTAAAAGTTCGCAAGGATAGGAAAATTTTGAAAACCCAAAAAAACCCATCATTTCTCTTACCAAACTATGCAAAAAGTTAATAGCAAGAGCACCTTGAGGGGTATACGCTCCCATATACATGAGGTGGGATATATTAATAAATTGATACCTCCTTTCTGAAGAACTACTGGCAACAGTATTAAGAAATTAAAAGTCATTGGCTTAGAATGCTCAGTTTAAAAAAAAAGCATCATGAAGACATAAAACTTTTGCACAAAGACGTCTATTGTAACCCTACTTACAATATCAAAGCATTTGAAAAAAACTATTTCCAATCTTCAGAATGATTACATAAATGATAGTGCTCTCACAAAATAAAATAACAGGGTGCTTACTGAATTATTTCATAGAATCATAACTATCCTGTGAGATAAGTGCTATTATCTCAATTTTACAGATGAAATAACTGAGATAAAAGTCATAGAGCCAATAAGTGGTGGAGCCAAAATTCAAACAGAGTCAACTCTCAAGGCATGCTCTTTCCCACTTAGCTATATTCACTCCCTTTGAAATATATTGTTTATAAAAAAGCTTTTAATGGCAAGGGAAGATGTTCATGATATGACAAAAGCAAAAGGGCAGCTACGTTGTATAAACAGCATATCTCAACTGAGGGATGTATATATCTATGTAAAAAGGATGAAAGAAATTACAAACATCTACTAGCAGTGCTGGCTTCGATTTTTTTGTTTGCTGTGGCTTTATACTTGTGAGTACTTTCTCAAAAGCAATGTATATTATGATTTTCAATGAGAATAAATTTATGAAATCCTGGTTTTTACGTTAAAAAATAAAGCTCCAAGAAAAGTATCCTTTGAGGGTATATGACAGCATTCCTACACCACCTCTATCTATAGAAGGGGTTTCAGGGAGCACCCACCTCTCCCGATCTACACTGCACGATGACCAGCATGCAGTGAGATAAGGCCTCAGCTGAGACTAGAAGGACAGTGTGAACCATACAGGGATGTCTAAAAGAGACATCTCTTTATGGTGACAGATAATTGATAGTTAATCTCTTCACTAGTAAATGTGTCAATTATCTGTATGAAAATGATCCTTATGCCATAATTCATTTACAATAAATGTTATTTTATTGTTAATATTGCCAAACCTCTCTTTTCATTCATATTTGGTTGACATATCTGAGCCAAAGCTTTGTATGTAGCTTCTGTCCATTATGCTTTATGTTTATCTCTTTTATTTAGCAAACTTCTGGATTTATTTTTTTAATAAAATTTCCTTTCTAAAAAATATCTCCTTAGTAGGGGATTTCATACATTTATTGGTACAATCATTTATTGGTACAACTGTTTTGATCAGTTAGATTTCTAGTGTGGTTTCTTTTCTTCCGGGATTTTTTTAAAATATTGATTTGTGTTACCAGACTGTACTACACATTCTTTTATATTTTACAATGACATGTCAGATAAATATCCCGCTCTTAATTCTGGAAGTGGTAAACTTAAAGATTTTCATAAATAAACACTCCCAAAACCTCTATCAAAATCATAAATTATAGTAAGACACTTGCCCATTTGCTTAAGCTAGGCTTTTCTGGTCCATCATATAAAATATTCACACATGTGTACACATACGGGTACACAAATCTTTCAAAATCTTGTTTCTTGTCCTTTTCATTCTTTTTTATCCCGTAGTTACTACAAAATTTGCTTAACGTCAACCCATTCCACATTACTGCTAATGCTTTTATTTATTTTTGCCATTAATTAGTTACAATTTTTAAACACTGACAATTTCTAGCACTTCTCCATTCTTGAATTCTATTTTAATTCATTTCCTCTACAGAGTAACTGCAAACAAGATTCTAAGAGACGTGCAGAAAGATTTATATTCCAAGACTACTGATCTATTTGTTGCCTATCTTGCTGAATGACAACTCAGTCAAGTATGAAATTACTGAGCCACACACCCTTTTGCCCTCCAAGCTACCCAGTGGATTAATGTTAACTACTGAATTCTAAGACACAGTTATACAAAGACAAGTATATTTAATACAAAGGGCTTTTCATTGTCTCTTCTCTCCTGTCCCTCTTCTATAAGGTTGAGGACTCAGTTCTATGTATCTAAAACAAGAACTTGGATTCTTGATGCTACCCATCCAAGTCAATGTGCTTCTGCTTTTCAGCACAGACTCTCCCAGATTAACATCAATTAACAGGATAGATTTCGGGAGAAGACCTAGGTTCAGCCTCTAGTCACACTTCTTAATCCTTTCCCACTGCAGAGTTTATAGAATCTTCTTGCGAATTCTGGAATGTGCTCATTATCCACCTTTTGTGACACATGCAGCTGTCAACTTGGCCTATTCACTGACATTTTAGAGGAAAATGGGAAGCAAAAAAAGTCTCTGGTGCTTTCATTTCCACCACTACTTTCCCATAGATTCACATATCAACTTGTTGAGAACAGACACTAGCCAATCTCTAAATCTGACCTTGTCTAATACAGGGGAACATTCATTTATTGGCTGATAGTATCTAAAAATGTCAAAAGTAAGGGCTATGTAAATTACCCTTATTCTATCCATTCAACTTCCTCCCCATTCCTTTTCCTTCCACAATAAACCTCCCCCAGTTTGTGTGATTTAGACTAAAATTAGCATAAAACATTAAATTACTTATGAAAATCACTGTAAGAAAGGGACAAGCCTCCCACCTTGTGGCTTACTAGCAGAATGCTCACAAATCAGGAAATCAACAAGTATGACCCTATTATACGACTGAATGAATCACTGTGAATGAATCTGAAGAAAGTCTTGAAATCATCTTAGCCCAATATTCTTGTTTTTTCCGATAAGTAAACTGAGGCCTAGAAAGGTGATAATGACAATCCATCAACAATATATGAAAGTGCAAATTCTCAGCAGGTTCACAATTTCTATTTTCATCATATATGCATTACTTCAATTTATTTAGCTCTAGTATCATCTTTCGGGCATCAAATGGACTAAGATATCTATAATTTATTACAAACAGAAAATTATGATATTATATTACACTGCCCTGCCCAAGACAAAATCTGGTCAAAGGGAAATTGGAGAACAAGTTCCTGTAAAAAGGAAAATACATTTTAAAAAACGGAGCCAGAGATTTGTTAGGCTACTCCCAAGCCTTGCATTCTAGTCAGCTCCTGATCCTTTCTTTCTTTCCAATTCTAAGTCATACTGATATAAATTTCATGAAGAGACTCTGTTTTCTCCTAGTGCATCATTTCTAGTTCTATGATCCCTGCAAATTACATGCAATATCAAGCCCCAACTAAAGTAAAGGTCATTATGGTCCCACTATTATTTATCCAAACCACAGACATTTATCTCAAAGTAATAATCTTTTAACTACATTTGGATTTTTTGATTCCACAAGTCAGAAATTGTTGTAGTTGAAAAATGTGATCAATTATCTACTCCATTCTGAAATCCAAGGTCACTGTTAACACGGCCTCAGCATGTACAAATTCGGGAGAGGCAATAAGAAGAAATAAGGATCCTTATACCCCATAGGGAAGACCCCAGAGAAGAACCATGTCAAGAAAACACAGGCTTCAGACTCAGGCAGACTTTAATCTTAATATCAACTCTGCCTCTTAGCAGCTGAGTGATGTTGAACAAAAGTTACTTAATGTTCTTGAGACTTAGATAATAAATACTAATATCTATTTCAAAAGAGTGTTGTCAGAGTTTTTGGTGAAATAATTTAAATAAAGTGACTAACTCAATATTTAGCATACATACATCCTCAATAAAGCTAGACTAACTTTTGCTACTGTTGGTATCAAAGTTGATATAAATATAGTTGTTCATCTATGTATAAATAACTTTAAGAAGATAAACAAAAACTAACAGAAAATAAACTGATCTAAGGAATACAGTGGGATCCTTTTGTGGTATACATTTGAATTTATTCAAGAATAAAGTTAAAGTTAAAAATCAATTGTATATAAAATCTATAAAGAAATGCAAGACTGGCTCAATATTAAAAAACATCAATCAATGTAATATACCATATTAACAAGCTAAAGAAGAAAAATCATACAAATGTATTAATACAGAAAAGGTATGTGACAAAACTTGACACATTCATAATAATGACTTTCAAAAAAATAAGAATATTAAGGGACTTCCTCAACTTGATAAAGGACATCTAAAAACAGCCTGCAGCCCTAACATTATTTCTAATGGTGAAAGGCTTAATGCTTTCCTCCTAAGACCGAAAACAAGGCAAAGATGTCCACTCTCATCAATGTCAGTCATATAGTGCTGGAAATTCTAGCCAGTGCAATCAGCAAAAGAGAAAACAGCATGCAGATAGAAAAGGAAAAAAAATACAACAATTCCTGTTTGCAGACATGATTGTCTCATAGCAAATTCCAAAATATCTACAAAGGACTTCAAGTGAGTTCAGCAAGGTGACAGTATACAAGATCAACATACAAAAATTAATTGTATTTCTATATACTAGATGAATGTGTCAACACCAAAATTAAAAATATCATTTATAATCATTTCAGAAAAATGAAAAATTAAGTGTAAATCTAACTCAACATGCATAGCACTTATATGCTGAAAACTATAAAATGCTCATAAAAGAATTTTTAAAAATTTTAAATAAATGGAGAGGCATAGTGTTCATGGAATAGAAAAGATTCAACTTAGCAAATATATCAAAATTCTCTCCAAATTAACAGGTTTACCAAGCAATTTCCGTCAAAATCCTAGCAAAATGTTTTTTCAGATATAGGTAAGATTACTATAAAATTTACATGGAAAGGCAAAGGCCTTGAGCAGCAAGAGTAATTTTGAAAAATAAAAATATTGTGGACAGAAATAATCTACCTGATTTCAAGACTTATTATGTAGCTACACTAACCAAAATTATGTGGTACTGTTGGAAAGACAGACACACAGATTAATGGAACAGAACAAAACACTCAGAAGCAGACCCACACAAGTATGCCCAGCAAAAAATTGTGCATTTTGACAAAGGCACAAAAGCAATTCTATGGAGAAGAGATAACCTTTTCAACAAAGGGTTCTAGAGTAAATGGAAATCCATAGGCCCTCTCCCCCCACAAAAGAAAACCTCAACACAAGCCTCACACTTTATACAAAAGTTAACTCAAAATGGGTCATGGACTTAAATGTAAAAGGTAAAACTAAAACTTTTAGAAAAAAATGAGAGACAGTTTTTAGGATCTAGAGCTAGGCAAAGAGTTCTTCAACTTGACTCTAAAATCAAGATCCATAAAAAGAAAAGATGATAAAGGAAACTTCAGCCAAATTAAAAACTTTGCTCACTTTGATGGCTGGGCACGGTGGCTCATGCCTGTAATCCCAGCACTTTGGGAGGCTGAGGCAGGAAGATCACCTGAGGTCAGGAGTTCGAGACAAGTCTGGCCAACATGCTGAAACCTCGTCTCTACTAAAAGAAACACAAAAATTAGTGGGGAATGGTGGTGCACACCTGTAGTCCCAGCTACTCAGGAGGCTGAGGCAGGAGAATCGCTTGAACCTGGGAGGCGGAGGTTGCAGTGAGCCAAGATTGCGTCACTGCACTCCAGCCTGGGCAACAGGGCAAGACTCTGTCTCAAAAAACAAAAACCAAAACAAACAAACAAACAAAAAAACTTTGCTCACTTTGAAAGACCCTGTTAGAGTATATGAAGTCAAACTATAGACTGGGAGAAAATATTTGCAAAGCACAAAGGACTAGCGTTTAGAATAGAAAAAATCTCTCAAAACCCAGGAGTACCAAAAAAACACAATAAGAAAATGGGAAAGGATGTGAAAAGACTTTTCACCCAAGAGGACCTACAGATGACAAATCAACACATGAAAAGATGTTCAAGGTAAACCAGCTGTTAGGAAAACGCAAATTAAAACCACAATATCATATTAGTACACACCCAAAAGAACTGCTAAAATGAAAACAGTGACAACACCAAACGTGAACATTTGGAGAAACTGGATCACTCACGCATGCATTGCTGGTGAGAATATAAAATGGTACAGTCCGTCTGGAAACAGTTTGGTAGTTTCTTTAAAAACTAAACATACAACTACCATATGACCCAGCAACTGCACTCCTGGGCATTTATTCAAGAGAAATGAAACTTATGTTCACACAAACACCTACATACGAATGTTTACAGCAGCTTTACTCATAATGGCCCAAAAAGGAAAAAAAAAACAACACCAGATGTCCTTTAATGGGTGAGTAGTTAAACTGGGGTACATCCACACCATGGAATACTACTGAGCAACAGAAAGGAACCAACTACAGTATTAATGCATGCAATAACTTGGATAAGTCTCTAGAGAATCATGCTAAGTGAAAAAAGTCAATCCAAAAAATATTACGTATTTTTTTGGTTCCATGTCTATAATATACTGTTTTGATTCCATTTCTGTAATACCCTTGAAATGAGAAATTTGGAGATAAGATAAACGGTTGTCAGGGGTTAAAAAGGGTTTGAGGGTGGAAAGGAAGTAGCTGTGGCAATATAAGGGCAACGTGAGGGAGCCTTGTGGTGATAGAAATGTTTTGTATATTGATGGCAAATGGCAAAGTCCTGCTTGGTTATTGTACTACAGTTCTACAAAATGTTATCATGGATAGGAGGCAGTTACTGGGTAAAGGGCACCAGAGAACTCTCTGTATTATCTCTTACAACTGTAGGTGAATCTATAGTGATCTCAAAATAAAAAGTTTCACTAAAAAAAACCAATTGCATATAAAATCTGCAAAGAGATTTAATCAGATTCCAACAGACTTACCCAAAGCCCCACCCATCTATTGCACTGGTAAACACCACATTTCCCTGTTCTGGAGAGGAGTAAAGGTGAGAATCATCTGTGTCCTCCAAGCCAGTGCTCCAGTCATATACTTGCTCTCCTTGTTCAGAATTTGGATTCGCTTGGGATTCAGTCTCCCTCTCTGCTCTTTCTTCTAGGACTTTAGAAGTAAAAAGAGTCCCTGTGAGCGCATTAATCTAGGAGAGATGGTGAAATGGCAGAGCGTCATTCAGATGCTCAGCATGCTCACGGCAGGAGAAACACTGTTTAACCTGTGTTAGGGCTAGAATCATCAGTCAGTTTGGGCTCATTAAGCATACACGAATGGAGGTGACATTCACAATCAGTGAATAACTTAGATGTATCCATCCTTCCTAAACTCAGCGTAACTAAATTATAAGGTTTTTGGAAGGTTATTTTGTGATTATTATTATTAGTTTAATGTAAATGTTAGTGTGTCATATCCTTAATTTGTTTTTCAGTGCTGAGGCCTAGTATCACAAAGTACTCATGATTTCCAACCCCACAATCCTAGTTTGTAACCTTAGTCCACTGCCTTGCCCATCTTTCACATTGGTTGTCTGAAATGTGCACTACTCTCTTCAGGCCCTCTTCCCAAATCCTAATCCTCAACTACTTTCACTCCCAAATAGGCAGTAATCTTATGTCCTACCTCAGAAAGAAAATGGAACCTATTACTCGGATTTCCTTCAAGTGCCCCACATCCCAATCTACAAGCTCACTTATGTCTGCAAATACCACCGACCTTTCTCCTGCCAATGCAGGGCAGGAGTTATTTTACCTGTTCCTATTTCTACAGGGAATGATATCCATCCATCATTCTTTTTCACTGTTCTACTTTTATTGTTTCCTGCCTTTAGCAAATAAATATACTCAAGTTGCTCTCATCAATGCTTTCCACTGTCTTGAGGAAGAAATTTCAAACTCCTATGCATGGCATACAAGGTTCATCAACATCTAAATCCATATCCTTTTTCCCATCTCTTGTCACTGTTTAACATGATCTAATTAATCGGCTATAAAACAATTTGCAGCTCCTTAAATGAAACATTGTACTGTGCTTTTTCTTGCCTTTATGACTTTGCCTGTCATATTCTTCCTCTTTTGAATGTCCTTTTCCTAACTGCCTACCTGGCAAACACCTACTTTACTTCCATCTCAAGGTTTCCATTCTACGATTTCTAACTCATTCTTCCCTCTTGACCCAGATTGGGTTAGATGGCCCTTATCTATGCTGTCATATCACACCCGGGGCTTATCTCATTGTTCTCCAAATAGCTCTTTGTTTGTCTCCCCTACTATACTGTGAGCTCCTTGAAAATAGGGATTCTGACCTGTCCATTTTACATTCACAATCCCTAGTGCACAATGGACATTCGATAATTCATTTATTCAACGTATATCTATGAAATATTTGCTGAATAAATAAATGAATGAATGCTTGGGTAAAATTTCCTCTAACGACAGGTAATAAAATACTATAGACAGGTAATAAGATCTTAATATTGCTTCATTTTGGAACCAAGATACAATGTTTTAAACAAGACAGCCTGTTGTCCAAGCTTTATATGATGGGTGCTTCCAAGAGATGGAAGGGACTACTGAGAACATGCTTATTCTGTTGCCTCTGTTGTAGAATAACACCAACATGTATGAATCTGAAGTGGAAAAGTTCACTTTTCTGTAGCAATGGTTCATACCCAGCTCAGTAACTTCCTTACAACTCTTCTTCGAGGCTAAATTTTTTAGATACTAACAATTAAAATACCTGTTCTAAAATACTCTTAAGGTGAGAATAGGCCTCTTGTGGGGTAAATTTCAGTTCCACTATCAAGTGATCTATCTTATTAATCACTAAAACTGGATGGATGCTTTCAAGCCAAGCTTGTCACAGAACTGCCTGTGTCTAATAAAAACAGAAAGAAAAATGTAAAACTCATGATTTGAAATAATTAGAGCACATTAGAAAATATTGATTAATAACCACTCTAGACTATGCCAGCCACACAAAGGTATTCAATAGGCATTCACAAAGTATGTATACAGCACAGTAGCAAAGGACTATAGACAAGAAATCATCATTGCCTTTATGCAACTGACAGTTAAGAAGGATAAATAAGGCTGGGCATGGTGGCTCACACCTGTATCTCAGCACTCTGGGAGGCTGAGGCAGGTGGATCGCTTGAGGCCAGGAGATCAAGACTAGCCTGACCAACATGGCGAAATCCCGTCTCTACTAAAAATACAGAAATTAGCCAGGCATGATGACACATGCCTGTAATGCCAGTTTATGTGGAGGTTGAGGCATAAAAATCACTTGAACCCAGGAGGTGGAGGTTGCAGTAAACTGAGATCGCACCACCGCACTAAAGCCTGGGTGACAGAGCAAGACTCTGTCTCAAAACAAAAACAAAAACAAAGTATGTTAAATTAAAGTCATCATCTCTAAGATCCCTTCAGAACTCTGGTGATTTAACTCCTTCACAGACTGGAACGTTACCAAATGTGAAATATAAAACCAATGTTGTGATTGTCAGTGAAATGCCTAAAGTCAGTCAGTTCCCCCTCTTTCCTCACCCTTAACCATTTAAGTATTTTCTCACCACAATCCATTACCTGTGGACAGACTCCTTCCACAGCATCTACCACAATGATGCATCCATCACAAATGCGAACAGCGGTTGATACGTCTGAGGAAAAGTCCATGTGTCCTGGAGAGTCTATCAGATTAATCAGGTACTCCTCATTACCTAAAATACAATTTGTAAACACACATTTTCAGTTGTGCAGGTATACAATGTTCTTCCTCAGGCATTCTAGAATAAGAAAGCTGAAAGCTTCTAAGAAAAAACTGAGCAGAGCTAAAGGAGTCAAACACTCAGTCAAGAGCTATCATTCCAACTTTTCCCACTGATGGGACTACTGATTCCAAATAGCATCTATATAAAATGTTAAAGGACTTTAATATTCTAATAGTTACCACTTAAGAGCTTAGTAGGAGCCAGCCACTGTGATACTCACTTTTAATGTGCTAATCACATATTATTGAATCCTTACAA
Source organism: Homo sapiens (assembly GCF_000001405.40). Lineage (NCBI taxonomy): Eukaryota > Metazoa > Chordata > Mammalia > Primates > Hominidae > Homo > Homo sapiens. The sequence continues at coordinate 84,101,721 of NC_000015.10, read as the reverse complement.
TATCCCTGTGAGATACATATTACTATTCTCCTTTTACAGTTTAGGAAATTGAAACTGAAAGAAATCAATGCCCAAGAACCTGACAGTAAAAGCTGTTCAAAGGAACAACAAAGCAGTTGGCCAAGTTCTTCCCTACAATTTATCAAAGAGCAGTGTATGAATCGGCTCAATCAAGATTTAGATTTAGACTCAGTTCTACAAAATATGTAGATTTAGACTTAATGCTACAAAAGATTTAGACTCAATTCTACCACAACTTAAGGAGCAGTTACTATGTGCCAAGCAGTGCACTATGTGCTCTCCCATTAATATCTCCTTCAATAGTCTCAACAGACAAATGTATTAAACTTATAGTAGGGTGATGGCACATCCTGAGTTGTCTGGTTTTAGCACTGAAATTCCTACATCCAATCAAAGCCCTTAGTCCCAGGCAAACAAGAAAAAAAAAGATCATCTTAGGTTATAAAGAGTTATCATTAAACATAACTTAGTATACCATGCAGAAAATTAGTTAATACTTTAGAATTCTGTACTCATTCCCCATTATTGATAAATTTGATATAATTCTCTTTTAAAGGCAGAATAACTATTAGAATGCTCAAAGATATACTTTACTTTTGCTCCTCCCCTTAACTCAGTGTTTATCAACTTGAATGCACTCAAGAATGACTACAGGGTTGAGTATCCTTTATCTGAAATCCAAAATGCTCCAATGAGCATTTCCTTTTTGTGCCATGTTGGTATTTGAAGAGTTTTGAATTTTGGAGCATTTCAGATTTTGGATTTTCAGATTTGGGATGCTCAACCTGCAATTTATGGGCCATTTAAAGGATTTTCCCCCAATATAATTTTAATGACTTCGCTTGTGCCCTAGGTGATACTGATGATAAACACCACCACAACAATAACCACAACCAGCGCTTAACATCTGTGGACTGCCTATTCATGGCTGGCATTGTTCTAAGCATAATACAGAAATTATCTGATGTTTACTTACAACAATCCCCTGTAGTAGTTACAACTATTAGCCCAATTTTATATAGCAGGTAACTAAGGCACAGAAAAGTTAAGTATTTTTCTCAAGGACATCCAGCTAGAATCCAATTCTGAGGTTGACTAAGATCACACAATTCAAAATGATAGAGCATAAGTTCAAATCCACTTAACTCCAAAGACCATACCTCTAACCACTACACTCAGAAGGCAGTAACTTTCACCTCACATGCCAAGATTCCACTGCTAATGAATTCCTAAAACACTGGGTGAAGCATTCCCAAGTGTACTGAGGCTCAGTGGGAAAGACTGCCATCAGTTAGCAACAGACTGCCTTCTTCAGTACCACTCCTCCCCGCTGCCTCCTGGTCTTTTCATGCAAACTGCTTTATGAGGAACCATTGCTCTGCTGAAACCACCAGAGAAGGCTCCAACCAGAGAAGACCATGGAGATATCCAGTGAAAATCCAAGAAGTCAAATAACCAGAGCCCTGGAGCAATGGCCCACTGGACCTCAATCGAGCCTTTCACTGTCAGATCTCACACCAGTTCTCCTAGTCAACATTTTCGATAAGTATCGTGATCTCAACCAAGTACACCAGAGAAAAAGGAGCATGTCTAGTAGTGGTCTAGGGTCCTATCATACAAAATTAAAGCTGTGAGATTCTTAGAATCACTCAGCATTTTCTCAGCCTAAGCCTTTATTCCATAGAAAAACATGCTAACGCCCTCAAAAGGTAAGAGACTGACCCAAGGTCCCAAAAGAAGCAAGCCAGAAATACACCCAGGGCTATCGAACCATCTTAGTCACTTCTCGGGTCTTAGATTCCTTCATACTTTGCAACTGGGGAAACAACACTTGCCTATTCATCTGGCTAAACTCCAGACTTTAGAGTGGGAGAACTTCAAGCACTTTTCCATCCTTTGTGATACGACCGGGACCTGATACTGAAGTTTCAGAGACTGGGTCTCCAGTCAAGTTCTTTACAGAGTCTAAAAATGCACTCGTACAGACATTTCAGGCTTCCTATACAACAGTGCTCTTACCTTTTATTGGAGTTACAGACCTTTTAGGGAATAGTCAGAAAAACGAATACCTATCTACTTATCTATGCTCCCCTAAGTACGCGTCCATTTCCAGATTCTTTGAAATTCATTCAGGAAGGGCAGGTTCAGATCTAGAGAGGAACTGAAAGCTAATGATACACCAAGTGTTTCCACCTGAAAATCTACATCCTCAAAACTAAGTGTCTGATCAAATAATACAGCTGACAAATACAGCCAGCCTTGGAGCTCACATCACACATACATACTAAAGGTTCAGAGAAGCCCTGTGAGAAGTCTGTCCAACTCTGTTTAACCTGGAGTTTCTCAAATGTATTCAATGGTGAGAAAGAGGAAATGCCATGGTCAGTTACACAGCTGACAAAGGCTTGGCTCTGAGCCAGGCCTCCCAATTCCTCTTTCAACGCCTTTTTCATCTTAACCCTTTCCAAACAACTTTAACCTAAATTTCAAAGGTTGGGGAAAGAAGTCCCATATCCATTAGAGAAAAAAAGTCCACAAGCACAGCTCTTCTGCTGTGACTTCAGCCACATTATGTCTCTTTAAAAAATGCCATTTACCACTTTTGTGTATGTGTGATCAAATTAAAAAATACATAAAAACAATTACAGGGCTTATCATGCTAGATATTATTATTATTGCTAGTGGAAATTATTTAAAAAGTAGAAAATGCATAACACTTTTCAGGAGACAAAATTTTTTAAGCATGCTAAATGATCTTTCTGATTTGTAACAAAGTCCTGAAGCTACATATTGAACTAATCCCTGCAACAGCATTCAGGGACAGAATGCTGCTGCTTTACTTCCCAGGCATTCCAAACTAAACTGCTTCATTTCAAGGCACAGATCTAATCAGTCAAGCAACAATTCAATCTTTTTATATTCCAGGGAACTGAAAAAAAAATTGGAAGACCTGAAGTTAATTATGGGAGATATCTTCCAGACAATTTCTGCTGCTAATAGGGAGTTATGGGAAAAGAATTGCTCCCTTGCCCATGGTTTTAAAGTGCCATGGATAATTGTCTCACAGAAGGTGCACATTTGTCACTAGGACCTGCCAAAACATCTCTGTATTCAGTAAAACTTCATGTAAGGAGTTTAGTGTTCAACTTCCAAAACACTGGAAATGTTCACTAACGCATACATAGAAACCTGACGAGAGAAAACTTTCCATAAAATAAAAAAGAAACACTGAAGTTATGGAAGAAGATCTGAACCTCCTGAAAGTGTCCTTTATGTTTCAGTGTATGGTAGAGTATTTTGCCTGACAACGAAAATAACAGAAATACAGGCAGAACCTGAGTTATCTGAAGACATGTTCCTAAATTCCTTATGTATGAACTTATAACTATTATATACATAAGTTGTACACCAACTGTAACCAAAAGTCTCCCTCCACAGGAAATACCACTTTTATTTTTTAATTTTTTTTAAGATACGGGGTTTCACTGTAACATTCAGGCTGGATGCAGTGGCACAATCATAGCTCACTGCAGCCTCAAACTCCTGGGCTCAAGCGATCCTCCTGCCTCAGCCTCCAGAGTAGCAGGGACTGCAGGCACACAAGGGTAATTTTTATTTTATTTTTTGTAGAGATGGGGTTTCACTGTGTTGCCCCGGCAGGTCTCAAACTCCTGTCCTTAAGTGATCCTTCTGCCTCGGTCTCCCAAAGTGCCGGGATTACAGATGTGAGCCACTGAACCTGGTTACCTTTTATATCTTAATACTATGTTTTTACATTTTAAATCAATGTATAACTTTGTAAGTTATAAATCAACTAATATGGCTTATTTGACAGAATTGTAAAGCACAACTATAAAGCTGATACAGGTAACAGGATAACTATCTTTATGAGAAGACTGCCACAAGGAGAGGTGAAGGGTGGTTGACTCTGATGGTATGTGTCAAAACTGAGATGGGGTCAGGCACAGTGGCTCACACCAATAATCCAAGTGCTTTGGAAGGCCAAAACAGGAGGATCACTTGAGCCAAGACCAGCCTGGACAACATAACAAGACCGTCATCTCTATAAGAAATTTAAAAAATTAGCCAGGCATGGTGGCACATGCCTGTAGTCTTAGCTACTTGGGAGGCTGAGGCAGGAGGACTGCTTGAGTCTAGAAGTTCTGGGCTGCAGTGAGCTATGATCACCACTGCACTCCAGCCTGGGTGATAGAATGAGACTCTTGTCTTAAAAAAAAAAAAAAAAAGTGACAGGGGTTAGGAAAATGAGAGGAAAAATGATCTAGAAACAACTATGAATAGCAAACTGATTAAGTTTTCTTTTGCTGCACAAACCCAACCCGAAGACCTCTCCAGACCTTCCTCCAACATGAAACTAGACCACGTACAGAGCACTTCTGATTACATTTGGCCTCACCCGCTTTTGGTTTTTCTCAGTATGATGCCAGTCCACACCTGCCACCCAGTACTGTGGCCACACCCTGAACTCTGACATCACTGAGAACTTCTCCACCTTTGAAGGCCTGCTGTGTAGATAGTAAATCTAATAATTACACATCCACATTGTCTTGATTCCTTTGATCATTGGCAGTTTTGCTTGGAAGGGTATAAGAATAAGAACCAGAATAAGAAACCCTGGAGTAAAAAAAAGGTTGACACTTACTTATAATATCTCTATGCCTAGCATTACCCTGGAGAGTCATAGATCAAGGATCAATTTCACACTGCTAATGCACGTCATTAGTATAAGGTGCGGGTCATATCATCAGAGTAATTGAGAGAGTAATTGTAGTATAACTTTGACTAAGAAGCGGGAAGAGGAAACATGCAGAGGAATGTGGGGCTGAAAGAAGGATTTATGTATTTTTTAAGACAAGACAGACTTGAGCATGATTAAAAGCTGATGGTTACAAGCCAGTACAGAGGGACAGGTGGAAGATACTGAAGAAAAGATCATAAACAGAAGGTAAGTCCAGAGCACAGGTTTTTGCCAGTGACAGGAGGCAAACAAAAATGCCCATACCATTACGTTTTGAGGTACAGTGGCAAGCAGGTGAGAGTTCTTCTCTTTTCTGTGAAATAGAAAGTAAGAATGTCTGCTGAGATTGTGGAGGAGGGGATGACAGGTAGGCTGAAGGAGACCAGAAGGTTTAAAATAGCTGCTGGGAAGAGTAAGCAAGACCTAATAGAGAGAGAGATGGGAAATCTGCCAGCAGTCTGGAGGACCACTTGAGAACCTAGCCCAAATACAAGGATGAAGACGTGTAGAGAATTAACTTTATCAAGGGTTAAAGTTTTATTGGGAAAAATATGACAGAAAGTCAAGAACCAAAGAGACTGAAGATGCTGGGAAGACTGTCAGTGAAATGACAAATCTGGGCTGTATGAGGCAGGAAGTGAATGAAGAAAGAGGCTGATGGGAGTCAAAAAACTAGAGAACATTATGAAGTCAAAGAATGGGTAACTCATTAGTCAGGTGAAAGAAAGAAAGCTGGGAGAATCAAAGATTGTAGAGAAGGAAGTATTTAAATTTGAAATGTCAAAGATGAATAGCTCAAGGTGATGCTAAAATCCAGAAAGTAGTCATGACAACGGGTAGGTGAAGTGGAGAACCAATGTTGTTGAGAGGATAAGCTGTTGAAGAAGTCATTCTCAGGGATGGTAAAAGCCACCTTAGAAGATTCAGGTGAAAAGAACAATTATGAGGCTGGGTGCCAAAGTCACTAATGAACAGGAAACATCACCAGGAGCTGACAATGACTGGAAAGGTGAATAATTGGATGGTCTGAGTCTTGAAAGGAGAAGTTTGAAAACAAGGGTAGAAGAATTAACTTTTGTAATCAGATCTGGGAACAAAAAGAATGGCAATCCCATATGCTAACCCAGAGATACGTGGAACATGAACGAAGGAGTAGCATTCACTTGGAAAAGGTACAAGGCAGGCAATGTCATCAGAAGACAGCCAGGCAGAAGGGGGAAACGTCAATAAAAAGACATTGAGGATGTAGCGATGTTTGTTTCCCTTGGAATGTTTTCACAGTAAGTTTTGGTAAGGAGGGGAATAATGGGAGATTGAAAGAGGCTGACAGAATCACAGAGAAACATGGGGAAGAGACTATAAGAGGGCCAGATCATGTGGCTTGCATCGTGGGCAGTGACTGAAGACCACAGGGATGTAGGTAGTGTTGGCCACAAGACGTCCATAGCAATCACTAGTGGAAAGGAGATACTCAAGCCTCAGGAGGAATTTCCTCTAGTTGTGGCCTGACTTCCAAGAGACTAATGGTCCAAGTGAATACGCTGGAAATGTGGGTTCTAGGACTACTACCACATGCTAGAAATTACTCTGTCCTTGGGAAAGTGTCTTCACCTCTCTGAACTCCATTTTTGCACATGTGTAAAATCAGAGTAATACCCATCACAGAGTTGCTGTGAAGATAAAACAAAATCAGGCATACGGGACACCTAGCTCAGAAGTGAACTATCGTGTACCTAGTTTCTTACGCCTGGCATCAACTGAATACTTCACAAAGTAAAGCATTCATTGTCTGACGAGAACAAAATCTACCCTTCAGTCAAATGAGGGGTAATGGAACTCTTCCCTCCCAGCCTCATTCTGGAAAGAATAAGGCAAGTTAGGACCATGGGTAAACATTCACACAGCCAGAAGGAAAGGGAAGCTACTGCCTCTGAATAAGAGATGACTTTCTGCTACATGCTGGCCTTGTCTGTAATTAGATGGCATGAGTCAGTGTCTCCATGGCCTAGTCTTTGGAGTATAAAACCAGAGAGCCACAGAGCTGAAATCAACACATGCGTAAATCCTCCTTCTGCCCACAACCACTAACCCTAACAGAGGTATTTACAAAGTGATCAACTTGCATATGGACCTCTTTGCAGAAGGCTGCTATATCCTTGGTCTCCACGTTTAGAGGACAACCTCACTGCATATGGCTGACTCTTGGGTGAATCCCAAGTGTACCACTAGTCTATTAGCTAGACTATATGCCTGAGGTTACTAACTAAAAGCTCATAAGCTAAAGCCCACTGCAGTGTGTTCTACATGGTGTTTTACAATTTTTAAATAAGTTGCCGTCATTTTGAAACTTGGAAGATTTTACCAAAAATCTTGATGCCAACTTTTCTTGAAAAAAAAAAAAATTCCCACAGGGTATCAATCAATCAAGTGGAGCTGAATGATACTGGCCTTTATCCAGGAATTGGGGGAGGTATTCCATGAGTGGGCATAATTCACTCTCTAGTCCTTAACAGCCCCACCCAAACTGCCTCACTTATGCAGAGGTGTCAACACCATGTCAGCAATAATATTGTACTTAATAATCACATCTGACAGGTGTTAGAATAAGTAAGCTATTTGCGGGGGAAATAAAGTCAGATATTTACCTCACAGTGTGTGCATACACATACAACTTGCATTAAATATAAAAATTGAAAATATAAAATAACTGGCGGTAAACTGACAGTGATTTCTCTTCCATTTTTGTGTTTTACTGTATATTCTATAACACATACTAAATTTTCTATAGTAAATATGAACTTGGGCCAGGTATGGTGGCTCACACTTGTAATCCCAAAACTTTAGGAAATGGGTACAAGGCTTGCATCCAGGAGGTTGAGACCAGTCTGGGCAACATAGCAAGATCTCATCTCTACAAAAAAATTGAAATATATGTGTATATATATATAAATTGAAATAGATATACATATACACAATATATACTATATATGCAATATATATATACACGTGTGTATGTATGTATATAAACTTGTAAATTTATTTAAAATATTTTAAAAGATGAATTAGATAAAAACTTCAAAAGTTCAGCAACAGCAGTATTTGCTCAGGTATAAAAAATGGCTATACAGTAGAAATGACAGCAGTATTCCTTTTGATGAATTTCAAATTATTAACCCATGTGAATCTATTTCTGTCTTCTATATCTCAATTCTAGGCTAAAGGATTCAAAGACATTACATCCCCTTAGGATATTTTACAGAACGTATATTGTTAGGAATACTTCCTAACAAGATAAATGTGTGGTATTCTTGTGGGTAGGACACAAAGAGAGGTAAGAAACAGGCAAATAACAAGATTTAATAATATGATCCCAACATTTGTAGCAAATTTTGGTCACAAACGTCAAGATAATAGAGGCTCCATTTTCTCAAAGAATAATTAGGTTCCTGGAAAATGCTGAGATAGTGTATGACCTTGATGGTTTTCAGCATCACTTCTATAATGTGCAGGATTTATCTGTTTACCTTAAACTAGAATAAGACCCTATATTTCAACCCAAATAAATATTTGAAAATACTTTTGAAAGCTCGTTAAATTAAGAGAACCAGAGAAAGAGTTTAACTTGCATTTAGTACACAGATTCTCAAATAAGAGGGGATTCAAAGTGGGTGAGAAGGAGGGGAAGGCATGGTATAAATAAAAGTCACCTGTGGAGTTTCTTCAATCATCAGGTTTCCCTCTTTTTCTCCCATCTAGGTTCCCCTTCAGACGTCCCACCTTCAGAACAGGAAATACCCCATTCTGGAGAATCAGTACTAAGATACAGATAAAAACATATCTCATCTCTCAAGTGCTCTGAGAGGATATGTCCCAGTCAACATTCCTAACTTCTATCCCCATAAGGCTCTGCACTGTCAAGTGTGATGACTGCTCGGCCCAAATTCCCTTCTAGGCAGTAATCCCATGCTCACAAGAAACATGTTTGACACTTTGTGACTCCACTCCGATCACCACTGATTGGATTAGGAGGTGACTAACCAACCCAAGCGCAGCCAATCCATAGGTGCAACCTCTGTGATGGGCTGGCATGAAAAGATAAGCAGAGCCGCATCCTGCTCTTGAGCCTGTGTGCTCAGAAACACAAGAGATTGAAGCAGTAGGCAACAGAAATAAGGTGAAAACAGACAGGATAATAGGGTAAGAAGTCAGGGCAAGGTGAATGTACAAAGATGAAGACATGACAGTAGGCAAAAGCTATGAGACAGAGAAAAGACATACAGGATAATAGTGGAGATACAAACAGACACCCAAATCCAAGGACAACAGTGGAGTTCCAGAGGCAGGATCCATAAACTTTTACTGATGTGGTCTCTAGAGCTATCTTGGATCCAGAATGAAAATCTGGCTCCAATTTTTATGAGACGTCACTCCAATAAGACTCCTGTTTTTCCATTTTCATGAATATTATTTCCAATCTCATTTCACACATATGCTTTCAATAAGCTATCTCACCCCAACCCAAGCTAGCTTGTCTCTGGTCTGTGCAATCAAGAAAGCATACCTGGCCAGGTGCAGTGGCTCCCGACTGTAATCCCAGCACTTTGGGAGGCCAAGTCGGGCAGATCACCTGAGGTCAGGAGTTCGAGACCAGCGTGGACAACATGGTGAAACCCCATCTCTACTAAAAATACAAAAATTAGCTAGGCGTGGTGGCATGCACCTGTAATCCCAGCTACCCAGGAGGCTGAGGCAGGAGAATCACTGGAACCCAGGAGGCAGAGGCTTTAGCGTGCAGAGACTGCGCCACTGCATTCCAGCCTAGGTGACAGAGCAAAAAAAAAAAAAAAAAAAAAAAAAAAAAAAAAAAAAAAAAAAAAGTGAGCCGGGTGCGGTGGCTCACGCCTGTAATCCCAGCACTTTGGGAGGCCGAGGCGGGTGGATCATGAGGTCAGGAGATCGAGACCATCCTGGCTAACATGGTGAAACCCCGACACTACTAAAAATACAAAAAAAAAAAAAAATTAGCCAGGCATGGTGGCGGGTGCCTGTAGTCCCAGCTGTTTGGGAGGCTGAGGCAGGAGAATGGTGTGAATCTGGGAGGTGGAGGTTGCAGTGAGCCAAGACTGCACCACTGCACTCCAGCCTGGGCAACAGAGCGAGACTCTGTCTCAAAAAAAAAAAAAAAAAGGGTACCTAAAATAATCTGTGAGCAGCCAGGGTCACAGAGCTCAACCAAACAGAGTTCAGACCACTCAATTCCCAGGGTCCTATAGCAAATTCTCCTACAATACTACACCAGAAAGACAAATGTGAATTGGAACAGGTGAATTTTATGGTATATAAATTAAACCTTAATAAAGTGGTTAAAGGGGTCAGGAGAGGGGGACTATAGACAAAGTATAGAGCAGAAAAACTAAAACTGACCCCAGAGGAATCTTCAAATAAAAGCACACTAATAATCTGAGTAAAGAAGAAAGCAGCCTTCAAATCTCTTGAAGTCTATAAAATGAGATAAGAAATGAATAGACCCTCAACCCCATTCTCTGGATCACAGGATGAGAACATACCCTTTAAAATGTGAGAATTGTTTTTTTAAAAAAATGAAGTGTTACTTTAAACATTAAACATTGAGAATTCATGTGCCTAAGAGCTTCAAAACTGGTTTGGTACAAAAGCCATGCCCCACAGAGTACATCTTTTGGTGGCAGTGCCAAAGATATGACACTTGTGAAGGATGAACCACAGGTAAGTCCATTAGGGAAATAAAATTTATCTTTATTATTTTCTTCTAATTACAAAAATATACATTTTGTGTAAAATTTTCAAATACCACAAAAATAAATATTTTGAAAAGTGCAAGTTTTCCATAATCATAGCCCCTGCAGAGAGCTACTGTTAAGGGTTTGGTATGTATCCTTCCAGACACCTTTATCTGCATATATAATATATTTTTATTATCCAAACACATTCATATCTTACAAAAATACTCTGCAATTTGTTTTCTGTCTCTGAACATACCATTTTCCCCTGTACAATAACATATATATTAAACATTTGTTTTAACAGCTGCACAGTATTTCACCGCTTGGATGTATCAGTTTATTGAACCATTCTCCTATTGACATTCAGGTTGTTGGTATTTTTTTCACGAATACAAACTTTTTAGTGAATATCAGTGACATGTATCTCACACACTTACATGAATATTTCTGTCAGATAAATTCCTAGAAGTGTTACTATCAAAGTAGCATCCTCATTTGAGGATAGCAAGCTGGTACTGATCATGGCAGTCTACTTTTAAGTAAATAAGACTCCAAATCTAACATGCAGGCCAGGCCATGAGGCAGAATAGAAAGGCTGAACCAGCTAAAGTCCTAGGGCTCCTGACTTTCCTTGTGAAGGAATCCATATAATCACCTGGTGGAGGGGGCAGGTGTGAATTGCCAGTTCTTCTGCCCTCAAACCAGTCAGAGGTTTCCATCTGCATCCAAGCCTGGACAGCCTAACTCTGACAACAGGTCATGTGGAGACGCCAGAATAAAATATGTGGAATATAAGCAAAGAAACTGAGGCATGCAATTAATTCAGAAAGACAGAGGAGGACATGAAAGATGCAAAGCTGTGTTTCTTTAAAACAGACTGACTTACCTGTTGCATAATGTAGGGAAATGGCACTGGATTTCATAGTGATCCCTCGGATCTGTTCATCTTCTCTGCTGTCCATGTACCTTAACTGGAAAAATGCAACATATGCATCTTCACTTCCCAAAGAATTAAAATGTAACATTAAAATTTGCTAATTTAGATTTTTGTTTTAAATACTTAAATTTTTTATTTTTATTTATTTTTGTAGTGACGGGGTCTCGCTATGTGGCCTGCACTAGTCTCGAACTCCTAGCCTCAAGTGATCCTCCCACCTTGGCCTCCCAAAGAGCTGAGATAACAGATGTGAACCACCATGCCCAGGCAATACTTAAATTTTAAACTATACAGCGTCTCTTTTTTTTTTTTTTTTTTTTTTTTTTTTGAGACAGAGTCTTATGCTGCTGTCCAGACTGGAGTGCAGTAGCGCAATCTCGGCTCACTGCAACCTCTGCTTCCCAGGTTCAAGTGATTCTCCTGCCTCAGCCTCCCAAGTAGCAGAGATTACAGGCATGTGCCACTACACCTGGCTAATTTTTGTATTTTTAGTAGAGACAGGGTTTCACCGTGTTGGTCAGGCTGGTCTTGAACTCCTGACCTCAGGTGATCCACCCACCTCAGTCTCCCAAAGTACTGGCATTACAGGCATTAGCCACCTCGCCTGGCCCTCTCTCTTTTTTTAAAGATGATGAGGGGATGGAGAAGTGAAGTTAGTTGGCGGGAAGGGAACATGACAAATGAAAAACATTACCACTAGGAACTCATAAATGTATTCAACTACTGCATACCCTCCCCAGAGTGTTGCTCATCCAACTATCAGCCATGAATGATGGGGCAGGTCAAGAACAACTTACAGACAGTAGCATTTGGGGGAATTCTTTCTAAACATCAATAACACAGCCATTCTTTTCCTATTTATAAGCTGTTTGACAAATTCTGAGCAGAGACTGAAACAGAGGTCTCTAGAGGCAAGAGAAGTGTCTTTACCCCTTTCCCAAATTAACAGATTTTGAATATATCTTTTTTTAAAAAAGAATACAGTAGAAAATATTTGTAATATGACCATTTAATTGATAATTTTCCCAGTGATACCCACCAATGAGTGTCTACATCTCATTTTCTAGGCCTTGCAGTGCATCAGTACTGACAGTGGTGTCGTTTAAATGAAGATCCCATCCCTTTCCAACTCCTTAGCCCTAAGCACCAGACTAACCTCCTCCTCCTTTCTCCAGAATGATTTTCCCTTACCCTTCCTCCATTCTCTCCACTGTCAAACTTTTGAAAAATTCTTAACCTGTCTATTTTCTCCTTTCTTTCATTCAAAAGCACCAAGAATTATCGGTTGATATGAACTGCCACATTTATTCATCCACATTAATTCTGAAATTTTCAGAAAGGCTTCCATTTCCACAGCTCTGGCAAAATCAAAGTCCTAAAAGCTATCAATGACCTCTGGCCAAACGCAATAATCATTCTCAATCCTCATTTTTCTTGATTCCAGTGCAACATGACAGTTACCCTTTGTGTGCATGTGTGTTACATGCATATGTGAAATTCTTCCAAGAGTCTGAAACCTCTTAATTTACCTCCATCTCTCCTCAGATCCCACTGCTGGTTTCCCTTCACCTCTCCAACCTCTCCATCAGTCCTTCCTTCAAAAAGTCTCAGTCCCTTGTCAGTCTTCTATAATGTACGTTTTTAAGCACTGAGTTGGTATGAAACATGTGTAATACATAAATAACAACACAATGAACCCCTGTGTATGCACCATCCCATTTCAAAAGGAAAAAAAAGTTTGTTACTTTTGAAGTACCCTGTGCTCCTGGCTTATAGGTAACCACTATCTTGAATTTTATCTTGTTCATTTCCTTATTTTCTTTATAATTTTTAAAAATGAGTGTGTCACTAAGCAATATATCATGTAGAGTGGCAAGTTTTAAGCCTTCTATAAGAATCATACTTAATATATTATACTGTCATGTTTTATTTGTTCAATATTGTTTTCCTGAGATTCAGCCATATTGATGTAATTCATTCATTTTTATTACCGTAGGACTTCACCTCACAAATCTACCAGACCCATTCGTCCATTGCATTACTGATGGACATGGAGACCAATTCCAGTTTTTTGTAACTATTACTGTGCTGATATGAACAGTTGTTGGTCTCTTGTACACTCCCTACCAGTAGAATTTCTGAGTTATTAAATCTGCACATCCTCAACCTAACTTGATATTTCCAAATTATTTTCCAAATAGTTGGACTGATCCACGGTGGAATAGTGCTTTTTTTGATACATAACTTCAACAGCTGATATTGCTGGACTTTATTTTTTAAGATGGGTGATAAATAGCATCTCATGGTTTTAATTTACATTTCCCCTATTATTAATGGGATTAAGTATCCCTTTATAAGTTTCTTGTATTGGCCATTTAACATTCCTTTTCTGTGAACTGCCTATATAAGGCTTTTGTCCACCTTTCTACTGGTTGTAATAAAGATTTATTTTGTTTTGGATAGGAGTTATTTATAATCTCTGAATATTAGTCCTTTGTCAATTATATGTGTGTTATTAATATTTTTCACAGTTACCAGGCTTGTTTTTTCCATTTCTTTCTGGCATCTTTGATAAATATGTTCTTAATTTTAAGTAGTTTATTAACCTTTCATAAAATTGTTTGCACATTTTTGTCTTAAGAAATCTTCCTTTAAGGTCATAAAAATATTAGCCCATATTATTTTCTAAAAGCTTTACAGTTTTGCTTTTAAATATAAGTATCTTAACTGTGCAATTGATTTGTGTGTGGTGTTAAGTAGAGGTCCAATTTTTTTTTCCACATGGATAACCAATTGCCCAAGAACCATTTGAAAGGTTCATCTTTTTCCCACAGATCTGAAATGCCAGCCTACTATTCTAGGCCTACTATTCTGAGCCATCAGTCAATTTCATGCCTCAGCCGATTCCAGGCCACAGGTTACAATACATCAATACATTCATAATACGTCTTAGTTTTCTCCAATATCTTATAGGTTTTGTTGTTATTGTTGTTGTTTTTGTTGTTTTTGAAGAGATGGGGTCTTGTGCTATCCACCAGGCTGGAGTGCAGTTGCTGTCACAGCTCACTGCAGCCTCAAACTCCTGGGTTCATGCAATTGTCCTGCCTCAGCTTCCTAAGTAGCTGGGATTATAGGCCTGAGCCACCATGCCCAGCACAGGTACATTTTTTATGCTATTTAAATGGTTTAATGTATTTAAATTTCTGTATATTATCTATTTATTGCTCATGTATTCTTTTCAATGGTTTTCATATCCTGAAACCTGCCAAATTGTTACTAATATCCTAGCAATTTATCTACATTTCTTCTTCCTGTCCAAAATTCACACTTTTAATTTTTCTTTCCAGCTTTATCACTGCAACTAGAACCTCCAGTACAATGTAAAGTAGAAGTTATAACACAATGAGCAGAAGGGTGTGACGGCCATACTTGCCTTATTCCTGGCTATGAATAGAAAAGTTTTAACACTTCATCATTAAGCTCAATCTTCATTGTAGGTTTTTTACAAATATCCCACATCAGATTACAGAGGTTCTCTTCTGTAACTACATTGCAAAGAGGTTTTATCACAATAGATATTGAATTTTACTATGTCTTCTATATCTGTTGACATGATCATGATTTTCTTCCTTTAATCCGTTAATATAGTGAAATTACATGTTAAACCAATCTTGAATTCCTTGGGATAAACTCGATTTGGATATGAATAATCATCTTTTTATACTATGCTGAATTCTGTTTGTTAACGAGGATGATAATTTTTGCATCCATAATCACAAGGTTGGTATGCAATTCTCCTGTCTTGTATTATCCTTAACAGACTTTTGGTATCAAAGTTATGCTATCTTCATATGATTTGGAGAATACTGCCGATTGTTGGGTTTTTCTCTGCTATATTTTGCAACGGTTTAAGTAGGACTGAAATTATTTGTTCTTTGAATGTTTGGCAGAACTAGAGAGTTAAACCATCTGGGTCTTTTCTTTATGGAAAGATTTTTAACAGCCAATTCAATTTCTTAAATGACTATAGAATAATTCAAGTTTCCTATTTCTTCTTGACTCCACTTTAGCAAGTTATGTTTTCCAGACATTTTTCCATTTTAGCACTTTTAAGTTTACTGGCATAAAGTTGTTCATTATATCCTATTATTACCGTATTCACTTCTGTAGCATTTTTCTTTCTGGGTATCACTTATTTCTGCCTCCTCTCTTTTCTTCTTGATCATCTTGCTGGTGTTTTGCCAGTTGTGTTACCCTTCTTTAAAGTCATTCATTCAAAAGTATTTATTTATATATACTATGCTTTGTATATGTCCAAAGTACAGTGAGCCACATTGGGAACATTAGCAGGTCAAAAGTGTCAAATGTTCCTCAACAATGTCAATGAAAAGCAAAACAAAAAAGTTTTCTAGTCAAGACAATCAAAAATTGTCTATATTGCTAGTAATTGTTTACATTAATAAACTTTATATTTTTAGAGCAACTTTAAGTTCACGGAAGAATCGACTGAAGTTTCCCACATACTCTCTCTTCCCACCAACACATAGTTTCCCCATTATATCTATATTGTATTAGTATATAATGTGATACATTTGTTACAACTGATGAACCAATATGGATGCATTATGATTAATTAAAGTCCATAGTTCACATTAGGGTTCACTCTTCATTAGTTATGTTAATCTTATCCAAAAACAAACTGTGGCTTCACTGATCCTTTCTATAAAATGTCTGTTTACTATTTCAGTAATTCATGCTTTATTATTTCCTTTCATCTACTTTAGAGTTATTATACTTTCTCTAAATTCTCAAGTGGGGAAAATATAAGCATTTCATTATTTCACTCAACCTAGTTTTTTTCAGCCTCCTCTAGATAGTATCTTGGGCCAGCTTCCCTCCCAACCCACACATCAATTCCCAAATCGACCTTCAAGTCTACTGGATCTACTCTGTGGATTCAATTTTGCTTCTCCATCTCCTCTTCTCTCTATTCTCTGTCACCTGATAAACCCTGTTGTTCATATCCTAAATTCATTATAGAAATGAATATATTTTTATTTTTCTACTGCCAAGTAAATTATTCCAAGCCCTTTCAACTCATAGCTACAAATAAAGATCTCTTTATCTCCTCAAACACTATTTTCAGGCTATGTATGGTGGCTGACACCTGTAATTCCAGCGCTTTAGGAAGTCAAGGCAGGAGGATTGCTTGAGCCCAGGAGTTCAAGATAAGCCTGGGGGAACATGGCAGAACCCTGTCTCTACAAAAAAAATTAGCCAGGTGTGGTGGCGTGCACCTGTAGTCCCTAGTACCCGAGAGGCTGAGGTGGGAGGATCACCTGAGCTCAAGAGGGCGAGGTTGCAGTGAGCCGTGCATGATCACACCACTGCACTCTAGCCTGGGCAACAGAGTGAGATCCTGTCTCAAAAACAAAAACCAAAAAACCCATTCTTTTCATTATTTTCATCACAATCTTCAGGCATAAGCAGCTTTCCTTTGATACTTAGGTTAACTTTTAAGGTCTTCTATCATCTTATACATTCTCCCTGCCAGTGTGTTTTCTCTCTCATTAGTCTCTAGGCAAATGCTCCACTCAAAGCACAACACACAAATTAGCCTTTATCCATGTTATTTCCCACCACCTGATAGCTTTTCTGTCTTCTCCTCAAACCACCCAATTCGTTCACCTACAAAGAATCTTTTGCTGTGAAATCTTCCACAATTGGGTATCATTTGCTTGTTGCAAAAACTCACTTTTGCACTTACAAAATATTAATATAAAGCAATACAAACAATATAGAAGTAACTGTTTTTCTTGCCAGCAATTTTATCTTGCAAAATGGATTGGCAGCTTTTATATGCAAGAACTATATTTTATACCCTTTTGGATCGCTAAAGAACACAGAAAATAGTTCATCACATTGTTGACAGCTAATACTGAAATGCAACGAGTATTTATAAAATAATAACATACCTTGCCTGCTAGGTGGCTGGAGATGATTCCATTGCTAGATATAAGACAGTCAGCCAGAGTAGTTTTTCCTGTTAAAACAGCAACATCGATTCAAATCTATGTCTTTTTAAAAAGGGGTCATGGGATGGATCATACCTATAGATTTAAAATCTGGTCATAACAATTGGTTTAGTAAAGATTTTCTATTTACCTATGCTAGGTGAAAAAGACAAAAGAGTTTGATTAGACTCTTGAACAGACTATCATCTGGAAGGACACAGATGCTAGCACTCTCTAATGCTGGAATCTTATCTCCAACCCTGTGGATCTAATCAACCTCATCTGAAAGTTGTCAAGCAACTTTTCTTAAAGTAGAGAATTTTTCTTAAATTGAGGCAGACTTTATACAGAGAAAAACACACTTTTCCGTGATAGGGCAAACCACCAAACCAATCAAAATATAGAATACCTGATGAGTTTTACACAGTTACTATAATTTGTCCTCTAAGAATTTGATCAAGTTTATCACAATTACTACATCAATTATCCCATATCCAGAACCATGACCATGTTTATCAAATTAAGCCCCTGACAGCACAGAATGACAAAATGCAGTAATTTTTTTTTCTCTGAAACGCATACTGGGTAAAACATCATCAATAAACAATTGAACATACTCTTCTGCCATACTTCCCCATGCATGGCCTCAGCTGGAATTTGCTAGTTAAACTGTCTCAAGAAAACACTTATTTATCAAAGAAATTCAGGAACTTTACCCATATCTCTTACTGTTTGTAATATAGCCCGTGGAGGCCATAAACTATAACAACCAATGAAACCTAGTATCCAAATCTAAACATAGGAATCTACTTTATAGCAAAAGAATCTTTGTATATATTTATAGTTACCTTTATTAAACAGACTACATACAACTAAACTCTATGCAATTTTGTGTGGTATAAACAGGTGATTCTGTTTAAAGAATGTTATGGGTATGCATAATTACTACAACTGGGTTGGAGTAAGCAAATGAGGGTTTTTTCCTTCAAGATAAGTCTTTATTGCACTTTAGGAACTTCAGCAAAGCTATGCAATCTCTGTATAGTTCAAACCAGAGACCAATGAGTAGGAGAACTGAAGATATTTAACACTGTGTTATCTGTCTGCCATGTAAATATGTATTAGCATATAATCCTAGAGCATCACTTTCCTGCAACCCAATAAAGCCGAATTTATTCTAAGTACATCAAGTATATACTTCCCTAGGAAATAATTATCAAGCAAGCAGGAACTTTGCTTTACTCACAGCGGTATCCCTAGGACCAGAACAATGCTTTGTCATATAGAAGACCTTCAGAAAATACTTGTTGAATGAATCACAGGTTTTCTAGGATAGTACCAGTTTAACATAATTTTAAACAATACATTTAAAGTAATTTGTTACACCCCACTGACTTTCCACTTGATTAAATTCATAAAGAAAAAAAACCCTTTTATCAGCCTTCACATTCTCAAAATGTGAGCAGTAAAATTATAAAAACTCATGGAGGCAGGGGTTACTCACTGGATTTGTACTAAAACTCATTCTCAGCTGGCTTCACTTGTAAAGTGATCCACTATCTGTCTGTCTTTCAGTTTCCATACTCACATCACTTCAGCTCTTCTATCAATGACAACAGCCACCTATCCTCTGACTTTGGATCCATCCTAAGCATGTCCACCAGTCTAATCTTTCTCATGTTTTATTTGATTACATCAGTCCTGCTCCATGTTTCCCCTCAAAGGTTCCCTACTGCCTAATAGTAGACGTTAATAATCGTTTTCATGGTGAAGCATTTGTTCCCCCTCAAAGGTTCCCTACTGCCTAATAGTAGACGTTAATAATCGTTTTCATGGTGAAGCATTTATGTTCCCTCTCATTATTATCACATTTAATCCTATAGCCTATAAAGTGGGTATAGTTTTCATCCTGTTTTACAGATGCTGTATAATGAAGCTCAGGAAGGCAAAGTACGTAACTTGAAAATGGAGATCTGAACTCAGGTTGTCTAACTTCAGAGCTGGAGCACTTAACTCTTAGCCTAGTTCCTATGAAATATGACTCAGCCTGCTTCTTCACCTCGCCGACTAGTCCTTCACCTTTAGGATGGTAAATAGACTTTATTTCACATGCCCATCCCAATCACTTTGCTATGGCTACCTAAACTACGAAGGGGTTTGAAGAGGAGGCTTAGCACGAGGGAGCGCTATGGGGTTACAGCAGTATCGGTCAGAAGCACACACACCACGCGTTGGCTATCTCTGCCTTTCCCAGATGCTGGGCTTTGACCACTTACATTTCCTTCACCCCTTGATGACACATTCCCACTTGTAATGTTTATCTCCATTTGTCATCTTGAGCCACCTTCAAGTGTCATCTCTAATATTAATTATGTTGTGAGGCCTTTTCTTAATCCCTCATTTCTCAATCCTCTAGTTCTCCCGACATTAGAGTCTACTTTTTTCTCATGTTTGTCTCATTTTCCTCTGCTCCCCCTTAAATCCTCCTCTACAGCTCCAGCCTGGGCAACAAGAGGGAAATTCCGTCCTCCCCCAACAAAAAAAACCTCCTCTACAGCTGGGCTGGTGCCCTACTCATAAATCTCCACGTTCTGACATACTTGGCAAAATATCTTGAACTTAACAGACGTTTGATAAATATCTGATGAATTAAACAGGATTGCATACCACAGACTCTAAAGACGTTATGTTAAGGCTACAGACATTTTATACGTAAAGCCATTTCGAAAACAAAAAATTCAAGTTCTGGTTTAAAAAACAACATGACATAATATATAGAAGAATGCTACTCACTAGGTAACCGTGTTCATTTCAAATGCCTTATAGCAAAGCAGGCTTCCCTAACATCACAGAAAACTTTTAAAGGAAAGACTTGCTTCTTAGCAAACACCACTCTCAGCTGCCCACAGCTTC
Organism: Homo sapiens; assembly: GCF_000001405.40. NCBI lineage: Eukaryota > Metazoa > Chordata > Mammalia > Primates > Hominidae > Homo > Homo sapiens. The sequence goes on along the minus strand of NC_000015.10, from coordinate 84,081,315 downwards.
ACTCCACTGAGGCATACAGAGACACACCTCCCTTATTTATCAAAATAAGCCATTTAAAAAGTATTCTTACCACGGTCAACATGAGCCAAAACACAAATATTCCTGATGTTGGCAGTGTTTTTCTGGAGTTGAATCATCTTATCCAAACTGTTGAGCACCATGATTATTTCCTGTGTCAAAAAATTAAATATGTATTACAAATGGCCCAGAGGCTAAAGGTTGGGGCAAAAGAAAAAAATAATAATAAACGCTGGGAGGTGGCAAGGCTTCTCAAACCCCTTAAACCAAGAACCCAGTGAATGTTTATTGATGAGATAGACCACCAAGGCCTAAGTCCAGTTCGAGCACTAAAGTCAGTATCCTACCACGATTATACTTAAGGAGTTTGCTCATCCTTCCGGATCCGAAGGCTGCGATGAATCACTCAGCTCGTGGGGGCTGGGTGCACAGTGACACCAGTAACCCTGCCGGTGGAGGAGTACTCCAGTAAACATCTCCAGGCCAATGACCACGTACAGGAAGGGTTGCATCCAGGAGGGAGAGAAAATGCTGAAGAAGATGCTCCCTTTCTCTCTTCAGTCTTCCCTCAAGTCCCTCATTCTGACATTCTCGCTCGTCCTCGCGCGAGGTCAAATACCCAGCTTTATTCCTGCCCATAGAGCCCCAACAAAGTTTTGGGTCACGTGCTTACTATCCAAGCAGGTGCACTGTCGGTCTTTCATTCCTTTCTAAATAAAAAGGAAAAACCTCTACACTACATGCCCTTCATTTCTGCAGGGTCCCGGATTCGTTCTATTTGAGGATCCCGGGTCTACACAGGCGACCGCCTCGGCCCCAGACTGGAAGCGACACTCCAGGGACCAAAGCTTCCAGCCCGCGCTCGGCCCCAGCCCCTGTTTCCGCCTCAGAGCCGCAGCGAGCAGGGTCCTGCGGCACCGCCCAGAGACTGGCCTAGGAGGTTCCAGCCCCCAGCGCCAGCACACACTCACCGGCTGCAGCAGCCCCACCAGCCCTGCTCCTTCTCCCGGGTCCCGGCCACACCAAGAGCTTCGGAAACGCCGAGAACTCTGCGGGTCCAGAACGCCCGCGCGGACGCTTCTCTTACGGCGCCGGAAGCCGGCGCCGAGTCTGTCACCGGGCATCCCTCTGTTGCCTTGACGACGGCGGGCGCTGTAAGAGTGGAGAAGCTGCAGGTGCTGAGGCGCGGTGAAAGAAACCCTGGGAGCCAAGAGCACGAGGAGCTGGTGTCTGTGTCACATTTGTACTTGCGGGTAAGAAACCGCTGGTGTAGCGGCGGGCCAGGGCTTGGGAGCCGACCTAGGGCCTAGGTGCACGGAGCGGGCTCCTCGGGAACCCTGAGAGTGGCCGTCCCCCGGAGATGAAGGGACGAGGGCGCAGCGACTTCCGCACTTATCCCGCCCCACGAATACTCGCTCCGCACCCGCCGGCTACCCGGGGATAAAACGTTTGTTCGTAGCCCCTGAGACTCCCAATCAAGGATGCAAAGTAAAATGCCACCCGGGCCAGGTAAATAATATATGTGAAGCAGCGACGGGATATAACGCTGGTGAGTAGTGGGATGTGATCCGACTGGGAGAGTGCATTTCCACCCCATAATCCCCCACCACAAAGATGAGAAAGAACAGTGCTCAAGGCCCTGAGTCTGCAACCCATATCACATTTTCTTTCATCTGCACCTTTCTATCCTCCCAGCCAGACCATATTCCCATTCCCGTCCAGGCAGCAGTTCTTTGGGATCCGCCTGACTGAAAGGCAGTACAGTAGTCCCCACCCTGAAACCTAGAATCCAACTGTGAGTCCTGCCTAACAACCTTCCATCACCTATGAACACAGTCTTCTCCTTACTTAGCTTCAGCTGACCCAGGGATTAGATCATTATTTGCTAAATAAATATGAACGTGTCAATCCCTTTGTATTTGTAATCCTCTTCAAAGAAAACACCTTCATGTTGATGGAAAGCAGTTTTTTTGATAGTCTCATAATAAACACAGTTTGTAATTAGACGTAGATTAAAATATCAACAAATTAACTTTGGGTGTATGAATCTGCAGACTGGGGTGCAGGAGAAAATTTTTACTTTTTTTCTAATTCATATTCAACGTAAGTTCCTTTAACTGTTAGGAAATTCAGTCTTCATTATGTTGAGGGCTACCCTTAGAATGGTGTGATTTTACTTTTTGTTTGTTTGTTTTTGGTTGTGTTTTTTTTTGTTTTTTAAGGGTTTTGTCTTTATTTTCTGATAATGCAATAAATAAATACACATGAGGTGTCATAAAAATTTGAGCAAAAATATCTATAATATTGTAAAACGCCTTCATAATTCTATCTTCCACAGATAACAAATGTTCTTTAAGACTTGTTTTACATATGCATTGATTTTTTTCTTTTATTTTCTTTTTTTTTTTTTTGAGACAGAGTCTTGCTCTGTTGCCAGGCTGGAGTGCAGTGGCACAATCTCGGCTCACTGCAATCTCTGCCTCCTGGGTTCAAGCAATTATCCTGCCTCAGCCTCTCGAGTAGCTGGGATTACAGGCACGCGCCACCGCACCCAACTAATTTTTGTATTTTTAGTAGAGACGGGGTTTCACCATGTTGGCCTCTATCTCCTGACCTCATGATCTGCCTGCTTCGGCCTCCCAAAGTACTGGGATTACAGTCATGAACCACTGCACCCAGCCTGCATAGATTTTTTTTTTTAACAAAAAAGGAGAATATTCTGAGCATACTATTCTTTTTTTTTATTCCTTTGAAGGTTTTTTTTTTTATTATTATTATACTTTAAGTTCTAGGGTAAATGTGCACAATGTGCAGGTTTGTTACATAGGTATACATGTGCCATGTTGGTTTGCTGCACCCATTAACTCATCATTTACATTAGGTATTTCTCCTAATGCTATCCATTCCCCTGCCCCCACCCCATGACAGGCCCTTGTGTGTGATGTTCCCCGCCCTGTGTCCAAGTGTTCTCATTGTTCAATTCCCACCTATGAGTGACAGCATGCAGTATTTGGTTTTCTGCCTTTGTGATAGTTTTCTCAGGATGATGGTTTCCAGCTTCATCCATGTCCCTTCAAAGGACATGAACTCATCCTTTTTTATGGCTGCATAGTATTCCATGGTGTATATGTGCCACATTTTCTTAATCCAGTCTATCATTGATAGACATTTAGGTTGGTTCCAAGTTTTTGCTATCGTGAATAGTGCCACAATAAACATATGTGTGCATGTGTCTTTATAGTAGCATGATTTATAATTCTTTGGATATATACCCAGTAATGGGATTGCTGGGTAAAATGGTATTTCTAGTTCTAGATCCTTGAGGAATCGCCACACTGTCTTCCACAATGGTTGAACTAGTTTACAATCCCACCAACAGTGTAAAAGCATTCCTATTTCTCCACATCCTCTCTAGCACCTGTTGTTTCCCGACTTTTTAATGATCGCCGTTCTAATTGGTGTGAGATGGTATCTCATTGTGGTTTTGATTTGCATTTCTTTGATGACCAGTGATGATGAGCATTTTTTCATGTGTCTGTTGGCTGCATAAATGTCTCCTTTTGAGAAGTGTCTGTTCATATCATTTGCCCAATTTTTAATGGGATTGTTTGTTTTCTTGTAAATGTAAGTTCTTTGTAGATTCTGGATAGCCCTTTGTCAGATGGGTAGATTGCAAAAATTTTCCCCATTCTATAGGTTACCTGTTCACTCTGATGGTAGTTTGTTTTGCTGTGCAGAAGCTCTTTAGTTTAATTAGATCTCATTTGTCTATTTTGGTTTTTGTTGCTATTGCTTTTGGTGTTTTAGTCATGAAGTCCTTGCCCATGCCTATGTCCTGAATGGTATTGCCTAGGTTTTCTTCCAGGGTTTTTATGGTTTTAGGTCTAACATTTAAGTCTTTAATCCAACTTGAATTAATTTTTGTATAAGGTGTAAAGAAGGGATCCAGTTTCAGCTTTCTACATATGGCTAGCCAGTTTTCCCAGCACCATTTCTTAAATGGGGAATCCTTTCCCCATTTCTTGTTTTTGTCAGGGTTGTCAAAGATCAGATAGTTGTAGGTGTGTGGTATTATTTCTGAGGGCTCTGTTCTTTTTGTTTTGTTTTGTTTTGTTTTTTGAGACGGAGTCTCGATCTGTCACCCAGGCTGGAGTGCAGTGGCGCAATCTCGGCTCACTGCAACTCCGCCTCCTGGGTTCACGCCATTCTCCTGCCTCAGCCTCCCGAGTAGCTGAGACTACAGGAGCCCACCACCACGCCCGGCTAATTTTTTGTATTTTTAGTAGAGATGGGGTTTCACCGTGGTCTCGATCTCCTGACCTCGTGATCCACTCGCCTTGGCCTCCCAAAGTGCTGGGATTACAGGCGTGAGCCACCACACCCAGCTGGCTCTGTTCTTTTCTGTTGGTCTATCTCTCTGTTTTGGTACCAGTACCATGGTGTTTTGGTTGATGTAGCCTTGTAGTATAGTTTGAAGTCAGATAATGTGATGCCTCCAGCTTTGTTCTTTTTGTTTAGGATTGTCTTGTCAATGCAGGCTCTTTTTTGGTTCCATATGAACTTTAAAGTAGTTTTTTCCAATTCTGTGAAGAAAGTCATTGGTAGCTTGATGGGGTGGCATTGAATCTATAAATTACCTTGGGCAGTATGGCCATTTTCACGATATTGATTCTTCCTATCCATGAGCATAGAATGTTCTTCCATTTGTTTGTGTCCTCTTTTATTTCATTGAGCAGTGGTTTGTAGTTCTCCTTGAAGAAGTCCTTCACATCCCTTGTAAGTTGGATTCCTGGGTATTTTATACTCTTTGTAGCAATTGTGAATGGGAGTTTACTCATGATTTGGCTCTCTGTTTGTCTGTTATTGGTGTATAGGAATGCTTGTGATTTTTGCACATTGATTTTGTATCCTGAGACTTTGCTGAAATTGCTTATCAGCTTAAGGAGATTTTGGGCTGAGACGATGGGGTTTTCTAAATATACAATCATGTCATCTGCAAACAGGGACAATTTGACTTCCTCTTTTCCTAATTGAATATGCTTTATTTCTTTCTCTTGCCTGATTGCCCTGGCCAGAACTTCCAACACTGTGTTGAATAGGAGTGGTGAGAGAGGGCATCCCTGTCTTGTGCCAGTTTTCACAGGGAATGCTTCCAGTTTTTGCCCATTCAGTATGATATTGGCTGTGGGTTTGTCATAAGTAGCTCCTATTGTTTTGAGATACATTCCATCATTACCTAGTTTATTGAGAGTTTTTAGCATGAAAGGCTGTTGAATTTTGTCAGAGGCCTTTTCTGCATCTATTGAGATAATCATGTTGTTTTTGTCGTTGGTTCTGTTTATATGATGGATTACGTTTATTGATTTGCATATGTTGAACTAGTCTTGCATCCCAGGAATGAAGCCAACTTGATCATGGTGGATAAGTTTTCTAATGTGCTGCTGGATTCGGTTTGCCAGTATTTTATTGAGGATTTTTGCATCAATGTTCATCAAGGTATTGGTCTAAAATTCTCTTTTTTTGTTGTGTCTCTGCCAGGCTTTGGTATCAGGATGATGCTGGCTTCATAAAATGAGTTAGGGAGGATTCCCTGTTTTTCTATTGATTGGAATAGTTTCAGAAGGAATTGGACCAGCTCCTCATTGTACCTCAGGTATAATTCGGCTGTGAATCCATCTGGTCCTGGACTTTTCTTGGTTGGTAAGCTATTAATTATTGCCTCAATTTCAGAGCCTGTTATTGGTCTATTCAGAGATTCAACTTCATCCTGGTTTAGTCTTGGGAGGGTGTATGTGTCCAGGAATTTATCCATTTCTTCTAGATTTTCTAGTTTATTTGCATAGAGCTGTTTATAGTATTCTCTGATGGTAGTTTGTATTTCTGTGGGATCTGTGGTGATATCCCCTTTATCATTTTTTATTGTGTCTATTTGATTCTTCTCTCTTTTCTTCTTTATTAGTCTTGCTAGCGGTCTATCAATTTTGTTTATCTTTTCAAAAAACCAGCTCCTGGATTCATTGATTTTTTGAAGGGTTTTTTTGTGTCTCTATCTCCTTCAGTTTTGCTCTGATCTTAGTTATTTCTGGTCTTCTGCTAGCTTTTGAATGTGTTTCCTCTTGCTTGTCTAGTGCTTTTAATTGTGATGTTAGGGTGTCGATTTTAGGTCTTTCCTGCTTTCTCTTGTGGGCATTTAGTGGTATAAATTTCCCTCTACATACTGCTTTAAATGTGTCCCAGAGATTCTGGTATGTTGTGTCTTTGTTCTCATTGGTTTCAAATAACATCTTTATTTCTGCTTTAATTTCATTATTTACCTAGTAGTCATTCAGGAACAGGTTGTTCAGTTTCCATGTAGTTGTGTAGTTTTGAGTGAGTTTCTTAATCCTGAGTTCTAATTTGATTGTCCTGTGGTCTGAGAGAGTTTGTTATGATTTCTGTTCTTTTACATTTGCTGAGGAGTGCTTTACTTCCAACTATGGGGTCAATTTTGGAATAAGTGTGATGTGGTGCTGAGAAGAATGTATATTCTGCTGATCTGGGGTGGAGAGTTCTGTAGATGTCTATTAGGTCTGCTTGGTGCAGAGCTGAGTTCAAGTCCTGTATATCCTTGTTAACCTTCTGTCTTGTTGATCTGTCTAAAATATTGACAGTGGGGTGTTAAAGTATCCAGTTATTATTGTCTGGGAGTCTTTAAGTCTCTTTGTAGGTCTCTAAGGACTTGCTTTATGAATCTGGGTGATCCTGCATTGGGTGCATATATATTTAGGATAGTTACCTCTTCTTGTTGAATTGATTCCTTTACCATTATGTAATGGCCGTCTTTGTCTCTTTTGATCTTTGTTGGTTTAAAGTCTGTTTTATCAGAGACTAGGACTGCAACCCCTGCTTTTTTTTTTTTTTGCTTTCCATTTGCTTATTTGATCTTCCTCCATCCCTTTATTTTAAGCCTATGTGTGTTTCTGCACGCGAGATGGGTCTCCTGAATACAGCACACTGATGGGTCTTGACTCTATCCAATTTGCCAGTCTGTGTCTTTTAATTGGGGCATTTAGCCCATTTACATTTAAGGTTAATATTGTTATGTGTGAATTTGATCCTGTCATTATGATGTTAGCTGGTTATTTTGCCTGTTAGTTGATGCAGTTTCTTCCTAGCATCAATGGTATTTACAATTTGGCATGTTTTTGCAGTGGCTGGTACCAGTTGTTCCTTTCCATGTTTAGTGCTTCCTTCAGGAGCTCTTGTAAGGCAGGCCTGGTGGTGACAAAAATCTCTCAATATTTGCTTGTCTGTAAAGGATTTTATTTCTCATTCACTTATGAAGCTTAGTTTGGCTGGATATGAAATTCTGGGTTCAAAATTCTTTCCTATAAGTATGTTGAATATTGGCCCCCGCTCTCTTCTGGCTTGTAGAGTTTCTACCGAGAGATCTGCTATTAGTCTGATGGACTTTCCTTTGTGGGTAACCTGACCTTTCTCTCTGGCTGCCCTTAACATTTTTTCCTTCATTTCAACCTTGGTGAATCTGACAATTATGTGCCTTGGGGTTGCTCTTCTCCAGGAGTATCTTTGTGGTGTTTTCTGTATTTCCTGAATTCGAATGTTGGCCTGCCTTGCTAGGTTGGGGATAATATCCTAGATAACATCCTGAAGAGTGTTTTCCAACTTGGTTCCATTCTCCCAGTCACTTTCAGGTACACCAATCAAACGTAGATTTGGTCTTTTCACATAGTCCCACATTTCTTGGAGGCTTTGTTTCTTTTCACTCTTTTTTCTCTAAACTTCTCCTCTCACTTTATTTCATTAATTTGATCTTCAATCACTGATACCCTTTCTTCCACTTGATCGAATTGGCTACTGAAGCTTGTGCATGCATCACGTAGTTCTCGTGCCATGGTTTTCAGCTCCATCAGGTCATTTAAGGTCTTCTCTACACAGTTTATTCTAGTTAGCCATTTGTCTAATCTTTTTTCTAGGTTTTTAGCTTCCTTGCAATGGCTTCGAACATCCTCCTTTAGCTCGGAGAAGTTTGTTATTACCGGTCTTCTGAAGCCTCCTTCTGTCAGCTCGTCAAAGTCATTCTCCATCCAGCTTTGTTCCATTACTAGTGAGGAACTGCGATCCTTTGGAGGAGAAGAGGCACTCTGGTTTTTAGAATTTTCAGCTTTTCTGCTCTGGTTTCTCCCCATCTTTGTGGTTTTATCTACCTTTGGTCTTTGATGCTGGTGACCTACAGGTGGGATTTTGGTGTGGATGTCCTTTTTGTTGATGTTGATGCTATTCCTTTCTGTTTGTTAGTTTTCCTTCTAAGAGTCAGGTCCCTCAGCTGCAGGTCTGTTGGAGTTTGCTGGAGGTCCACTCCAGACCCTGTTTGCCTGGGTATCACCAGTGGAGGCTCAGTTGGAAATGCAGAAATCACCATCTTCTGTGTGGATCACGCTGCGAGCTGCAGACCGGAGCTGTTCCTATTCGACCATTTTGGAACGGAAAACCCTGAGCATACTATTCTACAATCCAGTTTTTTACTATTTACAATCTCACCATCTTCCAGTGACCATGCATAAAGGCCACCCTCATTCTCTTAAATAACTCTACTGTATACTATTAGCTTATGTGATATATTGGTCAAGGTTCTTAGTTATGGATAACATAATCTCCTCTTGTTAGTTTAGGCAAAAGGGAATTTATTAAGGAGTATATATATAGTTCACCTGGAAGAACTTAAGAAATCATTTTCAAAATAAGCTTCCACAAAAATTTTACCACAGACCAGGACTGACAAGGGAGCCACTGCCTCTGCCATAATCAGAAACTTGCAACAGAGCTGTAGAGTCCAGAATCACTCGTCTCTTCCAAGGTCAAGAAGCTGCCAAGTTAGGAAACCAGCTTGCAAATCAAGATGCCACCTAACAACTTCTAGCTCCAATCTCTTGTTGCCTCTATTACATTCCATGCAAGCAAAATAAATGTTGTGCTTTGACTCTCTCCTTATGTAGCTCTCTTCTGAATCAAAGTATCATGTGAATACATATAGTAGGTGAAACCTAAATTGTATGTGGAACCTTTCTGCAAGAGCATGGGAAATTCCCTATTAGCTTTTCAGCTTCTATAGTGTAACAAGACACTAAATTGTTTGAGACACTTAATAGTTGTGTTTCTACCACATAGGGATAGACCATTATTTATTGATTGTTTTTATAAACACCATTACAGAGGAAACAGTTTTTTTTTTCAGTAAAGCTCTAGAATTTAGAAATTGTGAGTTTATTGGAGGTCTCTGATTAAAATGCAATTACAACACAAAATGTTTTTTAAGGTTAATCATCTTTCAGTTTGTTTTTTGCACAGGCGACATCCTTGTCCACGTGGAACCACAAGGATTTATGAAAATTCTGGGGTGTTTTGCCCTACAACTGAATATTTGGAAAAATATCCTATGTATAACAATGTTCTTCCACCTCAGAGTCTTAAACCCAAGCAAGAAATTCGAGCATGCCGTGGTAAAATGGAAGGAATAACTACATTTAAGTAAACATTTAGTAACTATTTGCTTTACTTATTTTTCTCGCAACTATTCTGGTGTCAATAAAATTTTCTAGCTATTTAATTACTGTTTCATTGATTTAAGTTGAACCAATCTAATAAGTAAGAGACTAGTTAAGTCACAACTTGAAAAAAACAGAAAAATGAGAATTAGGTTGACAAAGTGTGAGAAGAAAAAAGGGATATAAAAAGTTCTATTTTTTTTAACTTCCTAAAATATCTCATATTTATCTATTTTCCACTGTTTGTCACCACCACCTAGAGCAGGGTGTCCAATCTTTTGGCTTCCCTGGGCCACACTGGAAGAAGACTTGTCTTGGGCTACACGTAAAATACAATAACACCAACCATAGCTGATGAGCAAAAAAAAAAAAAAATCACACACAAAAAATCTCATAATGTTTTAAGAAAGTTTACGAATTTGTATTGGACCTCATTCAAAGCCATCCTGGGCCACACGCAGCCCATATGCCGCAGGTTGGACAAGCTTGGCCTAGAGGAATGCAGTCACTTTCTAAGTATCATATGTGAATCTACTCTAGTTTTTGCAGTTTGATCTGTTTTCAATACTTCAGCCTGCCCAAATGCAAACCAAATCCTATCACTTTTCTGCTTAAAATACTCTTAAACTTTCCCATTGTGTTTAACACAAACCAGAATCCTTACCAAAACCATGTAGAGGCATGGTTTGCTCACTACTTACTTCTCTAATTCATTTTCACTGTAGCGTCCTTTTCACTCTTTTATGCTCCATCCCATGGGCCATTTTTCATGTCTTTGAAAAGTGCCAGGTTTCCTTGTCTCAGGGTCTTCCAAGATACTATTTTCCCTACCTGCAATTTTCCTTCCCTCTCCTAGCTAATGCTCATTCAATCTGCAGATCTCAACTAAATTATCACTTGAAAAAGCCTTCTCTGACACTTTTCAGATTAGGTAAAAGTCTTCTATGTAAGCTCCCAAAGCACCTTCCTGTTATTTATCATTAGATTAGTTTCAGTGTTTCATGAAAGCAGAAACTAAGTCTATTGTTATCTCAGCATTCTATTTTTAGAAAAGGAATACAATGCCTACTAGCACATAGTAGGTACCCAATATTTTGTTCAGTGAGTGATGAACAAAAATCCTCTTAAGTCTATACTTTTCATTTGGACTTACCTTTTTTGATCTCTCTGTATATTGTCAGTTAGGTGGATTAAGTATTATATTTACTTATTATTTTATTTAAACTGTTAATGTATGTATTGTATTCAAGGTACAATCTTGGTGTTAAGTATAAAAATGTCAGTAAGTTTGTGAACCCCAAATATCTGAGATAGGTCTCGGTTTATTTAGAAAGTTTATTTTGCCAAGGTTGAGGGCGCATGCCGGTGACACAGCCTCAGGAGGTACCAATAATATGTGCCCAAGGTGTTCAGAGCACAGTCTGGTTTTATACGTTTTAGGGAAACACACATCAGTCAACATATATGTAAGATGAATATTGGTTCTTCCGGAAAGGCGGGACAACTCGAAGCTGGGAGGGATCTTGCAGGTCATAGGTAGATAAGAGACAAATGGTTGCATTCTTTTGAGTTTCTGATGAGCCTCTCCAAAGGAAGCAATCAGATATGCATTTATCTCAGTGAGCAGAGGGGTGACTTTGAATAGAATGGGAGACAGGTTTGCCCTAAACATTTCCCAGCTTGACTTTTCCCCTTAGCTTAGTGATTTTGGGGCCCCAAGATGTATTTTCCTTTCACAAGTTGAAGTTCCTGCTTTCAAGGAACTCAGACATATTTCTATAATTTGGAGTTTTAAAAATGCTCTGTAATAGCTTTAGATTTTGATGTTAGCCATTTTCATTTCATTTCAGATGTAGCTCATTCCTATTTAGCAAAGGTGGAGACTTTCAAACTTTTAGTCTAGTATTTATATTTTTAACATTTCAGGCATTCCTTGCAGTAATAATAGTTTGGTGACTCTAGTTACTAGTATAGGGGTATGGCTCTTCCACAGATGGAAGATTTTACTTAGTCCTCAGATTTTGGTATGCAGTAGTGCCATCTAGAAGTGTTAAAATTGCAGACTCCAGAGCTCCATCTAAAAGAGCCAGTAAATAGAGTGGGTCTCAGGAAACTGCATTTTTAACCAGCATTGGTGGTGATTCTGTTGCCACTGATTCAGTGCAGCAGGTCAGGAACTGGACTGCTCACTGAGGATGACATGGAACATAAAACAGAGAGGGTCTTTGCTTTACTGTTGTTTATAGTCTTGTGGGAAAGTCCAGAAATAAAAATATCAGATAAATAACTAAGATAATTATGGATTATGATAAATGAGATGAATAAATTGAATAACTGGTTGAGATTGATGAAATGGGAATGGTTCTTTTGTCTTCACTTTAATTTATTAATATTTCTTTCCTGATGCCTTAATGGTTCATATTAGAGATTTGAAATAAATTTTACAATATTTGTATTTATTGAACAAAGATTTTGCTTTTAACCAGTTCTAAATGTAGAAATTGAGAAAATTTAACCTGCCATATCTTTCTTTTAAAAGGCAGTTGCTTTTCAATTCTGGATTTCCCCTATTGTCTTATTCAAGCAAGCTTTAATAGTTAAAAAAAAAAAAAAAAAGAAAGCAATGTCCCAAAGGTCCAAAATGCCAATAAAACTAAAATATTCTTTTCTTAAATTTTCTTCTCTTCACTTAGTAAGACATTGGATCTTTTCTTTGTATTTTCACTGGGAAACTAGCAGTATCTCTAAGTCATAATCTAGGAGCTTGAAACTCTTGCTTGACTCCCTCATGTTGACTGTGTTGACTAAGCAGTAGAAAATGGATTTATCCCTACAAACAAAGAAGCTTTCTGTACCTTTGTATAGTACAGGAAGTGACTGTGTAAAGAGGTGTCTGAACTTGTACAAGATTTTGGATCCTTTATAGCAGTACAATTGTAGCTCACTTAGATGACTGCCAGAGTTGGCAGGAAGCCTGCCCTGAACGAGTAGGATTCTAGACACATCAAATGTTTCAGGATATATCAGATGAATAAGACTGCATTCACCCTCTATTACTACTCCATAGAAAGCGGCTTTGGGTTTGGAGGTATACTTTCTAACACTTGTCTAACCAGAGAAACTGAGAGTTCTAAGCTTTTGCTTTGCTTTTCCCTTCCTGATTCTCTCACTTCCTGACTGCATTTTAGCCCATTCCCCTCTAGCTTGTATTTGGAAAGAGCAAAGAACAACTCACGTGTCTTGAGAAGCAGAGGTATGTGACTTTTACTACTCTTCATCCATTAAATAAAAAGTTATTAAGCATTTATTAAGCATCAAGCACTATAATAGACACCTGGGATACAGCGGTGACCAAAAGCAGTCATGATCTCTCTATTGACAGATATTACAATCTATTAGAAATGGCAATCAAAAACATTACTCAAAATAACTCTAAAATTGCAACAGTGATAAAATCTGTGAAGGACAGGCACAGGTACCTTGACAGCCAGAACAAGAGTTTGACTTTATCAGGGGAATGAGAAAAATGAGTCAAAACCTGAAGGATGTTAAATTAACTGGATTAAGAGGGGGAAGGAAATGCATTCCAAGCAGAGAGAGAGAGAGTAGCATGTAGCAGGAAGGAGCATGGGAAGGAGAAAATTATCAAAGAAAGCCAGCTGGAGCAGAGAAAGCAAGAGGAAGCACAGTGAGAGTTGAGGCTAGTGAAGAAGGCCAGGCAGAGCCTTTAAACCATGTTCCATGTTGTCTATGTCCTTACAGTAATAAGCCATGAAGGTTTCTTTTCTGGCTTGTTTTTTTTGGTGGAGGGTGGAGTTGGGGAGGAAGGGAGGTAAGGAAGCGGCTAGGGAGAGGAGGGCAAGAATGACCTGATCAGATTTACATGGGAAAGAATTACTTCAGGTGCCATGTGGAGAAAAGACTGGAGGGAGAACTAGAGTGGATGTGGGTAAATGAGTTTCAAATTTATTAAAGAGATTCAAATAAGCTCTTGCAAAAACTGCATATTATGGTAGTGGCCGATGTGGAGAAAAGTGGTTAGATTTGAGAGATATTTATGAGGCAAAATTGACAGTAGTTGATGATGGACTAGATAGGGGAGAGAATTGAGGTATAAAGGGTGAGTCCTAGATTTCTGACTATGAGTCTGAAACGATGGTGATAGCGTTCACTTAAATAGAGAAAAAGCAAAAAGGACCACATTTATTGAGGGGAAATAGCGAGTTGATTTGGGACATATTAAGTTTTGAGTTGTCATTGAATATCCAAGAGACCATCGGAGATACTGGTATGGAGCTCAGAGAAGAGGTCTAAGCTGAGATGTAAATTTGAGGGTTATTTCGATCTAGGTAGTAATCTAAGCTGTGGGAGTAGAAGAGTTATCCTCAGGAGTGAACAGTGGATGAGAAGAAGAATGTGTAGGTAGGTCCAAGTCTTGAGGAACGCTAACATGTATTTAATGACTGAGTAGAGGTAGATGAAGGTGCATAGGAGACTGGAAAGAAATAATCAGGAAGTCGGGAAGAGAAAGTTTCCTAGAAACAGACAGTGTGGACAATAATGTCAATTACTGTCGGAGAGGTCAAGTAAGATGAGGACTAAAAATGTTCGATGAATTTAATCACATGGAAGACACTGTGAACCTTAGAGCTGTATTAGGGAAGTGGCAGTGCTGGAAACCAGACTGAAATGGATTGGAGCAGGTGAGAAAACAGTTAATTAGTCTAAGAAGTTATGTTGTGAATAGAAGAATTCAGTGAGGGTTTTGGGTTTCTTTGGGAAACTTACAGACATACGCAGCAAATATTGATTAACACAAGATAGTTTAATCACAAAATGAGTCATGTGCCAATAGAGTCCAGAAGAAAAAAGCAATCCATGAAGTCTTGTGGTAGTAATAGTAGTGGCTACCATATTGATCTTACCATGTACCAAGCAGTTTCCGGCATCACACTTTGTGATTTCATATTATATTACAAAGCTATAGTAACCAAAATAATAGGTAGTACTGGCATAAAAATAGACATATAGATCAATGAAACAGAATAGAAAACCCAGAATAAACCCAAGCATATTACAGCCAGCTAATTTTTGACAAGGGTGCCAAGAATACACAATGGAGGAAGAATAGTCTTTTCAATAGTGTTGGCTTGCATGCACATAGGCCACAGACCCTATAAAGCAACTACACAATCGAGACTACAAAGGAACTATGTATGACCGGAACAAAACCCCACATATCTATCTATCTATCTATATCTATATATAGATATAGATATTTTTTGAGACAGAGTCTCACTCTGTCACCCAAGCTAGAGTGCAGTGGCACAATCTCAGCTCACTGCAACCTCTGCCTCCCGGGTTCAAGCAATTCTCCTGTATCAGCCTCCTGAGTAGCTGGGACTACAGGCACCCACCACCATGCCCAGCTAATTTTTGTATTTTTAGTAGAGACCATATTGGTCAGGCTGGTCTTGAACTCCTGACTTCAGGTGATCTGCCCGCCTCGGCCTCCCAAAGTGCTGGGATTACAGGCGTGAGCCACCATGCCTGGCCCCCACGTATCAATATTAACCTTGAATGTAAATGGCCTAAATGCTCTTCTTAAAAGACCCAGAGTGGCAAATTGGATTAAAAAAAAAAAAAAAAAAAAACCACCCTTCCTTCTGCTGTCTTTGAGAGACCCATCTCACATGCAGCAACACCCATAGGCTCAAAGTAGAAGATGGAGAAAGATCTACCACACAAATAGAAAACAAAAAAAGCAGGAGTTGTTATTTTTGTATCAGATAAAATTGACTTTAAACCAACAACAGTAAAAAGGGGCAAAGAAGGGCGTTAATTACATAATAATAAAGAGTGCAGTTCAATGAGAACACCTAACTATCCTAAATGTATTATATATGCACTCAGATTTATAAAACAAATGTTTCTAGACCTAAGAAAAGACTTTGACAGTCACACTAAAACAGTGGGAGACTTCAACACCCCACTGACAGCATTAGACAGATCATCAAAACAGAAAACTAAGAAATTCTGGACTTAAATTCAACACTTGACCAATTGGACAATAGAGATCTACAGAATACTCCACCTAACAACCCCAGAATATACATTCTTCTCATCTTCACATGGAACATACCCTAAGTTTGACCACATTCTCAGTCATAAAGCAAGTCTTGATAAATTCAAAAACATTGAAATAATACAATTTATCTTCTCAGACCACAGTAGAATAAAAATAGAAATCAGTACCAAGAGGAAATCTCAAAACCACACAAATACATGGAAACTAAACAACTTGCTCCTGACTGACTTTTGGGTAAACAATGAAATTAAGGCAGAAATTTAAAAAGTATTTGAGGCCAGGCATGGTGGCTCATGCTGTAATCCCAACACTCTGGGAGGCCGAGGTGGGTGAATCACGAGATCAGGAGCTCGGGACCAGCCTGGCCAACATGGTAAAACGCTGTCTCTACTAAAAATACAAAAAAGTAGTTGGGCATGGTGGCGGGCGCCTGTAATCCCAGCTACTTGGGAGGCTGAGGCAGGAGAATCGCTTGAGCCCGGGAGGCAGAGGTTGCAGTGAGCCGAGATTGTGCCACTGCACTCTAGTCTGGGCAACAGTGCAAGACTCCATCTCAAAAAAAAAAAAGTATTTGAAATAAATAAAAATAGAGACACAACATACCAAAACTACTGGGATGTGGCAAAAGCAAGGGTAAGAGGAAAGTTTATAGTGCTAAATGCCTACATCAAAAAGATAGAAATATCTCAAATTAACAACCTAACCTAGCAACCAAAAGTACTAGCAAAATAAGAACAAACTAAACCAAAAGCTAGCAGAAGAAATAATTAAAATCAGAGCAGAACTGAATGAAATTGAGACCCCCAAAACCGTACAAAGGATCAATGAAGCAAAAAGTTCACTTTTTGAAAAGATAAACAAGATTATAGACCAGTAGCTAGATTAACAAAAAAAAGGCATCCAAATAAGCACAATCAAAAGTGACATCACAACTGATCCCACAGAAATACAAAAGATCCTCAGAGAATATTATGAACCACACAAACTAGAAATTCTAGAGGAAATGGATAAATTCCTGGAAACACAAATTCCCAAGATTGAATCAGGAAGAAAGAGAAATCCTGAACAGATCAATAACAAGTAAGGAAATTGAATCAGTAGTAAGAAACCTACCAACCAAAAATAAATAAATAAATAAATAAAATAAAACAGCCCTGGACCAAATGTGTTCACAACTGAATTCTACCAGACATACAAAGAACAGCTGGTACCAATCCTACTGAAAGTATTCCAGAAAATTGAGGAAGAGGGACTCCTTTCTGACTCATTCTATGAAACTAGTATGGTTCTGATACCAAAATCTGACAAAAACACAAAAAAGAAAACTACATTTTCCCTGAACACAGATGAAAAAATCCTCAAAAAATACTAGCACACCAAATCCAGCAGCAAATCAAAAAGTTAATTCACCACAGTCAAGTGGGTTTTATTCTTGGGATGCAAGGATGGTCCAACATATGCAAATCAATAAATGTGATTCACCACATAAATAGAATTTAAAACAAAAATCATATGATCATCTCAATAGATGCAGAAAAAGCATTTGATAACATTCAACATCCCTTCATGATAGAAACTCTCAACAAACTAGGCACTGAAGGAACATACCTCAAAATAATAAGAGCCATCTATGAGAAACCCACAGCCAACATCATACTGAATGGACAAAAATCTGGACACATTCCCTTTGAGAACTGGAACAAGACAAGGATGCCCACTCGTATCACTCATATTCAACATAGTATTGGAAGTGCTAGCCAAAGCAATCAGGCAAGAGAAAGAAAAGGCATCCAAATAGAAAAAGAGGAAGTCAAATTCTCTCTCTTGGCTGACAGTATAATTTATACCTAAGAAACCCTAAAGATCCTGCCAAAAGACTCCTAGACCTAATAAACGACTTCAGCAAAGTCTCAGGATACAAAATCAATATACAAAAGTCAGTAGCATTTCTATACACCAATAATGTTCAAGCTGAGAACCAAATCAAGAACATAATTCCATTTACAGTAGCCACACACACTCACAGTACCTGGGCATACATCTAACCAAGGAGGTGAAAGATCTCCACAAGGAGAAAGAAATCATAGACTACACAAATGGAAAAGCATTCCGTGATCATGGATAGGAAGATTCAATATCACTAAAATGTCTACTACCCAAAGCAATCTATCAAATTAGCAATATCACTTTTTTGCAGAATTAGAGAAAAACGATTCTAAAATTTATATGGAACCCAAAAAGAGCCTGAATAGCCAAGGCAATCCTAAACAAAAAGAATAAAGCCAGAGGCATTACATCTCCCAACTTCAAACTATACTACAAAGCTGCAGTAACCAAAACAGCATGGTACTGGTACAAAAATAGACACGTAGACCAATGGAACAGAATGGAGACCTCTGAAATTAATCCAGACACCTACAACCACCTAATTGTCAACAAAACTGGCAAAAATTAACAATGGGGAAAGGACTCCCTATTCCATAAATGATGCTGGAAAAACTGGCCAACCATATGCAGAAGGATGAAACTGGACACCTACTTCTCACTATATACAAAAATTAACTCAAGATGGATTAAAAGCTTAAATGTAAGACCTCAAACTATAAAAATCCTGAAAGAAAACCTAGGAAATACTCTTCTAGACATTGCCTTAGGCAAAAAATTTATATCTTAAGTGCTCAAAAGCAAATGCAATAAAAATTGATAAAATGGGACTTAATTAAATTAAAGAGCTTCTGCAAAGGAAAAGAAACTATCAACAACATAACAAACAAGCTACATAATAGGAGAAAATATTCACAAGCTATGCATCCAACAAAGGATTAATATCCAGAACCTATAAGGAAGTTAAATAAATCAACAAGAAAAAATAACATTAAAAGGTGGGCAAAGGACATGAAAAAATTCTCAACATCACTAACGATCAGATGAAAACCACATGAGTTACCATCTCAAACCAGTTAGAATGGCATTCAGCCAAGCAATCCCATTACTGGGTATATACCCAAAGGAAAATAAATCATTCTATCTGCACTTGTACGTTCACTGTAGCACTTTTCACAATAGCAAAGACATGGAATCAACCCAGGTGCCCATCAATGGTGGATCAGATAAAGGAAATGCAGTATGTATATACCATGGAATACCATGCAGCCATAAAAATATGAAATGTTATTTGCAAGAACAAGGATACAACTGGAGGTCATTATTCTAAGTAATTTAACACAGAAACAGAAAACCAAATACTGCATGTTCACACTTGTAAGTGGGAGCTAAACTTTAGGTATACATGGACACAAAGATGGAAACAATAAACACTGGAGATTCCAAAAGGAGAAAGGGAGAGGAGGGTGCAAAGGTTAAACAACTACCTGTTGGGTACTGTGTTCACTAATTGGATGATGGAATAATTAGAAAGCTAAACCTCAGCATCACATAATATACCCAAGTAACAAACCTTCACATATAATCCCTGAATCTGAAATTAAATGAAATAAATGGTATTGGGAAAACTGAATATCCACATGTGAAAGAATGAAATTGGAGTCTTTTCTTATTCCATACACAAAAACCAATTCAAAGTGAATTGAAGACTTAAACACAAGACCTCAAACCATAAAATTCCTAGAAGAAAACATGGGGAATTTCTTTGACTTTGACCTTGCCAATGGTTTTTTGGATATGACTCCGAAAGCACAGGCAACAAAAACAAAAATAGACGAATGGATTACACCAAACTAAAAAGTGTCTGTACAGCAAGCAAACAATCAACAAAAAAAATGCAACTTATGAATTGGTAGAAAATATGAGCAAACCATGTATCACATAAAGGGTCAATATTAAAAAAAATAAGGAACTTACCCAACTTAATAGCAAAAAAAAAAGTGGATTAAAAATTGACCAAAATACCTGAGTAAACATTTTTCCAAAGAAGACATACAAATGGCCAATAGATACATGAAAAGGTACTCAACATCACCAATCACCAGATAAATGCAAATCAAAACCACAACCACAATGAGATATGATGTCTATTATAGAAAAGATAAAAGATTACAGGTGTTAGGATATGGAGAAAAAGGAATCCTTGTACACTGTTGGTGGGAATGTAAACTTGTATAGCCATATGGAAAACAATATGAAGTTTTCTCAAAAATTAAAAATGGAACTTTCATATGATCCAGCAACTTCCCCTCTGGTGTATACCCAAAGGAAATGAAATCAGTATCTTGAAGAAATAGCTGTACTCTTATTTATTGCAGCATTATTCACAATAACCTAGATAAGAAACAACGTAAATGTGCATCGATCAATGAATAAATAAATGTGATGTGTAAATATATGTCTGAATATATATATAGTACACATATATTCCATTATATATTATGTAATAATATATATAATAATAATGTATACATCTAAAAGAGTTGAATACATAGAAGCACAGGATAGAATGATGGTAACCAGGGGCAGGGAAGTGGGGGAAATTGGGAAATATTGGGCAAGAGGTACAAAGTTGAAGTTGTATAGGATGAATAAATCTAGAGATCTAATGTACAGCATCATGACTCTAGTTAATAATACTGTACTGTATACTGGAAATCTGCTGAGAGTATATTTCAGGTGCTCTCACCACACACATGCACACACATGCATACACACACAAAGGTGACTGTGAGGAGATGGATATGTTTTTCACTTTAGTAATCATTTTACTGTGTGTGTATATATAAAACCTCATGTAAATCTTAAATATATACAATTTTTATTTAAAAATAAAATATGGACTATATAAAAAGAAACTTTATAATTGTGAATTTAAAAAAACAATAGCATGAAAAATGAAGTTGCCATACTATATGAGATATCATGAGGGGAAGACATAATTCACTGGAAAATTAGTGGAACAAACAGTACTTCAAGAATTTATACTTGGTGAGTTATCACTTCAGGCCAGGCTGGGAATGCATCAGAGACTAGTAAGTACTGACATATAGAAACAGGAGGAACTTTCTAAAAACTGGTATGAAATGAGTAAAAAAGCATAGAACCAAAAAATAAAAGTTATTCAGTACACATGGTGAGGACCAGAAGGTTTCAGGGATGAGAGATTGGGGTGTAATTCTATAAAGGTAGACTGAGATCAGTTTGGGAAGAACCTTGATTGCCAGGCTGAGGGGCTTGACATAAGTATAGATTTTTAAAAATCTTCTTTTAAGGGCACCAGACAGCTGTAGAAGCAAAAAACTAAAACTTCAGAGAGATAGGAGCCCTTCCTCAGTGAGTTGATATGGCCAGCCATTTACTTCTCTGGGAACACTTGTCAAGTCTAGGCCTATGCTGAGGATTGAGCTTGGCATAAGCAGAGAAACTCTAGTAGGGGAAAGAGAAAGCAGTGGAACACTTGAATGTGGGCTGATAGGACTAACTGAAATCTAGAAGAGCCCTAGATACATGGCTGGTTTTCAATGTGAGACATTCACTGCGTGTTTGCAGGGAAGGGAGTGTGGTGTGCTGAGAGGCTGGGCCAGAAAAATCCCACAGGAATATCCCACAGTCTTATTTGAGAGTAAATGCTTAGAAGAGAGTTCCACTAGAATGAGGGCCTTACTACAAACACACCTCAAGCCTTGTTCTTGAGACATTTGAAACTAGAGTAAGACTATGTCTAACTAAAGGTGCCATTGAGCCCTAATCTAGCTCAGACTCTGGTAAGAATGAGGTGATCTGCCCTGTATTTTACCATAGGAAAGAACAAATTGTCTCTGTTGAAAATAACACTGATTTTAGTTTTTATGATTCTCTTATACACAACATCTAGCATATAGTAAAATGTTATGAGGCCTATGAAGAACCAGGAAATATTTGAAGAGATAATGGTCAAGACTTTTCCAAAATTGATGAAAGAATCAGCCCACAGATTCAAGAAGCTCAGCAAACTCCAAAATAAACACATAGGAAACCACCCTAGACAACTATTGTCAAACTTCGGAAAACCAGGTAAAGATAAAGTCTTAAAAGTAGCAAGTGAAAAACTATACGTTATCTACAAAAAGAAAAAGTTATATCTGACTTTTAAACAGAATGATACATGACTTTTCAACAGAAGCTCTGGAAGTTAAATGACAGTGAAATGACACTTTAAAAGTGCTAAAGGTGCCAGAAGGATCTAGAATTTTAAAGCCAGCAAATCTGAGAATTATATATCTAGCAAAAATGCCCTTTAAAAATTTAAGCAAAGTAAAAATGTTTTCAGACAAAAAAGAAAAAGCTGAGATGCCTACTACAAATGTATTAAAGGGAATTGTTTAGTTAAAAGGAAACTTACTCCAGATAGAAGCATGAAATGCAGGAAGGAATGAAGCACACAGAAAGGGTAAATATGTGGGTAAATATAAAAGAATATTGACAACTGGAAGTCAAAATTACTATATTATGTTTTTACACAAATATGAAAGTAAAATATGTTAGAACAGTGGCACAAAAGGCAAGAGGAGTTAAATAGAATTAAATTGCTTACAGGTTCTTCCATGGTAGACGTGGTAAAAATGTCCATTTAAGTTTGAGCCAGAAAAATCTCATGACAAGTCAAAAATTCATTTTTATTTTTAAAACATAGAAAGATAAAATTCTAATAGTAAAGTAGAATAATAAAAATGCCATTTAGTAATACAAAAGAAGGCAGGAAATAAGGGGTATGGGAACAAAGAAGGGAAAAATCAAAAGCAAATAGCAATACAGTCAACTTAAGCCCAGCTAGATCATTACATTAAGTGTAAATGAACAAAATATTTTGATTAAAACTCAAAGAGTGATTTTTCACACATTAAAAAGATATTATTTTTAAAAATATGCCAATAATTTACAACTTACATAAAATGGATAAATTTTTTGAAAAATGCAATTTACCAAAAGTAACCCAAGAAGAAATAAAAATTCAAAATAGCCCTATATCTGTAAAGGAAATTGAATTTGTAGAATTGAAGGTGTAATTTTAAACCTCACCATAAAGAATTCCAGAATTTTCAGATTCTGTGTAGGATGCAGGAAGTCAGAAAGATTATGTCCCCAACATAACAATAAGAAAAAGCCAGATAATCTACAAAATCATAAATGTGTATGAATCCTTTAGAAACCTGAGATCACAGGTTAACCAATTAGCCTGACATTAAGGAAAAACAACTTCCACCCAGTTGAGACAGGAGGCAAGCACTGTTTCACCCAAAGCAGGGCATGGAATGAAGACTAGCTGTTACAAAAGTGGATAAAATAATTCATTTACATCTTTAGTTGCTAAAGACTTGAGTGTGAACTACTGTGAGAGTATAGAAGCTCTGAGAACTTCAGACACTAAAGGGGGAGTTCAAAACCACTCATAGACTCTTCCCTATGGATGTTCACTCTGTGATCATCAGAAAGATTGGGAGAAAGGCTGGAGGCCACAGAAAGTTTCCTTTGTAGTGCGGGCATGGAGAGAAGAATGGTTGTTGTTGCGAAAGAAAAAAATAGCAGGAAGCTCCATTTGAATGACTCTAACCTACAGAACAAAAGCATTAATCCACTGCGGGAGAGACATCACTCTGACAACCCCAATGAATAGCTGAAGATGTATTGTACCTTGAGGAAAGATAAAGGAAAAACAACAACAAGAAGCAAAATAAAACCAAACCTTGAACATGAAGAAAGAACAGGAAACTGTCTCGGGACCAACAATTAGAGACCTACTACATCAAGTGAAGGAGCAGGTGCACTGAGAGAGCCCTGCTTCTGAGGCCCGGGGGCACAGGGACTGCCTAAGACTGAAGCTGAACCAGGACAACAGAGAAACCACCACACACTCACCCTCCATTTCCCAAACACAAAATTCTAAATGTGTATGCCCTTAACACTTGAGCTTCAAATACACAAAACATAAACTTATAGTACTAACATAAGAAATGTAAAAACATGCATTTGTAGTTGGAGACTTCAACACTCTCTTTAAGTAATCTATAGAATATAGACAGGAAATGAATAAGGATATAAAGACCTGAAAAACACTATCAACAGTTGTCCAAATTGACATTTGCAAAGCACTTCTGTCAACAATAACAGAATACACATTCTTTTCAAGTGCACATGAAATGTTCATTCAGATAAACTATATTCGGAGCCATAAAACAAACCTTAACAAATATAAAAGAATTGAAAGCATGCAATGTGTGGTTTTGATCATAACAGAATTGAATTAAACATCAATAATAGAAAAAAAGTGGGAAAATCCCCCAATATTTGGAAATTACACAGCAAATTTCTAAATAACGAATGGTTTTAAGCAAAAGTAAAAGAAATTAGAAAGTATTTTGAATTTAATGAAAATATAGTATACCAAAATCTGAGAGATGCATCTAAAGCAATACTTTGAGGAAAATTTATAGCATTTAAGGTTCATATTAGAAAAGAAAGTCTTAAATCAACAGTCTAAACCTTCATTGTATGAAACTAGAAAAATAAGAGCAAATTAAATCCAAAGCAAAGTAGAAGGAAATAAATGAGGATAACAGCAGCAATCAATAAATTTGAAAACAGAAAAACAATGAAACCAAAAATTGGTTCTATTAAAAGATAATAAAGTTGATAAACCAAAAGAGAGAAGACACCAATTACAAATATCAAGAATGAAAGAGAATAGCACTACAGACCTTATAGACGTTTATTTTACATTGTGGCCTCTTCTTTTTTCTTTTTCTTATTTTTGACAATTTTATCAGGTTGCCATTCATTCCATGTTTGCTTCAAGAAGGAAGACATTAATATTTAGAAGGTAATATCAACAGTATTTGAAAACTACTTGAAAAGGAGAGAAGGAAATGAGGGAGAAAAAGTCAATTAAACGGAACCTTAGCCTGACTTGCCAAATTCACAACAGAAACTTTGTAGGTATGTTATTTTCTGGGGAACGTGAGTCTGAGTGAGATAATTAATTGGGGCATGCTAAGTTTTCATTTATCTGAGGGACATCCAAATAAAGATGTCTAGTAGGTGGATAAATATGTGGGTTGGTGTTTGAAGGGAGGTCTGAAGTAGAGATTCAAGTTTGGGAGTCACCACCTTACAGGTAGTATTAAAACCATGGGAGTAGATTGGTGATATGTAGATTGAAAAAGCTGAGGCCAAGGATGATGTCCCCTGACTTTCTAAAAGTAGTTTCCAATTCCTTGGTACCACAAGACACCACAGGGAGCAGTCCCAAGTACCAGGAAAAAGAGCTAGCATAAGCAACTCAAGACTTTTGTCCTCAAAGAAGAACCTAGAACAGCTCACTATATTAAAATGGGGTTGGAGCTGTGTATACAAATAGTGGGCAAGTGCATTCAGACACTTCTTGGACTTAAACCTGTTCAGAAGAGAATAAACTTTCTATCCAGATTTTAGTGGCTAGACATAAAAAGTGAGCTGAGGAAACATCTAACAAGGGCAATAGTGGAGCTGCCACATAACCAAACTGTATTTTTAGACGTGGACAGCATTGTTTGTTTTCTTGTTTGTTTTTTCCATAAGTATCATAAAACACTAAAAACAGATGATAAAGATTATGATGTTTTAAAGATGCTGCTAGAATGTTATCAAATATTCCATAACAGATAATAAATATTCCAGGCATATGAGCATAGGCATATTTATAGGGAGAAAATCAATTTTCTGCAATTATGTAGAACTTACATTCATACTATTGTATGCTATCACATCCATCTCTCAGTGTCCAAATTCTTGCTTCCATTTTGAAAACCAAAGCTGGTTTGGTGAGGGAGAAATATTCTCTTCTGTTTACTCTCTTATAATGAAAATCTTTTTTCTCTTGTGTGGTAGCAAGAATTCTCCCTATATGATTGTGTGGAACTATAAACCTTCGATAACATCTCTGATTCCTTTTAGTTAGTGAAAAATAGTGTTATACTTTTATACTTTAGTCTGCAAAGAAGAGAGATTCCCTCATGATACCTCAAGAAAAAAAGGCTCTGGTAAAGCTTCATGTGAACTGAAAATGGAAAGCTATCAGGTGCCCAGGGAGCTTGAAGGAAGAGCTTTTCCCTTCATCTCCGCAATGAGCTACATGATTTCTCTCACAGCATCTTCACTTCCCTTCACTCATCTGCTCTGATTGCTGCTTTACTAACTGGCCACCTCTGCCTAGTTATCATTTCTGTTTCTTTAAAGGTCTGTTTTGAATGTAACTTCAGCTTTCCATAGTTCTTCAGCTCTACTTCCTGGCATCCTTTTCAATTCTCCCATTTCTATCTCACTCATTATTTTCAATTTTAGGTTTACAAGAATAAGAATGCTTGATCTAGCTCATCTTTTCTGTCAGTTTGTCTTAAAGGTCTCTGCTAGCCTAAAGGTCGCCTATTCTTGAGTCAGGTGCAGTCTCTCATCCAGACATCAGTAACTTAATCATTTAGTCCAAAACTTGGCCATTTTGGCAAAAATGGCTAAGCATTTTTTCTCTTCAAAGAAGATATCCACATAATAAGTTTTCAAAGTTTGGCCTTTCCTGTAAATATTGCATAGACTTTAGTCCAGATTTTAGTACGTTATCTTGTGTAATAAATTTCTACCTTTTATAAATTAACTTTTGGTATTTAGAAATATATATTTTGGCGTGAAGTCTATTCTATGATATTTCCTAGCTTACTATCTTCCTCATGGAGAAATAGAAAACACAAATAATCCTTAGTTGAAATATAAACATTTTAGTTTTAGTGAAGTGTACCATTACCAACTTGTAATGGTGTTACAAGTCATCATTCTGTATACACTAGCGTGACCCAAAATGCTCCACAGTCTAGGTAAACTACAGGAAGTAAGCTTAAGGTTATTTAACTTCCAAACCCCAGATCTCTGCTCTGATGGTCACTTGAAATTCTACAATTTCAAACACCTCTGAAGACATTCAGTTAAGGCCTCTGGCCTCTAGATGGCCCTCTATCTTTTGGGAATGCCTTAAAGTCCATTTCATGAGGGAAAGTTGAAGCCAGTGATCTTTCTGGGATAGCACAAGTTACCCTGTATCTTTGCTCAAGGAATTCTTTCTGTAGGCTTCCTAGAGGATACCAGAATTAAATTTTTCTCCCCTTTGAAGAGTCTCTCCAAAGCAAGGAGTAATACCTGTATTACTTTTGCCCACCCATGAAGGGCACTTGATTTTATTTCAAGCCCTGGCTTTTAGACGTACCTTAGCATTTTGTGAGTTGTAATTAAAATCCCAACCTCTTCCTAGGAATACAACCATAATCTCCTAAACTCTGTCCTCACCTCCAACACAGTCCTTTTGGCTTTCAAGAACTATCCACAATCAGGCTCAGATGTGCTTTTCCTTTGTTATGTAATCAGATGAATCTGAAAGTGGAAAGTTACATGTATTAAAGTGAGGAGATGGGTAGAGGAAGGTGGAAATGAAGAAAAAGAACAAATCTGAAAGGAATCAGAGAAACTGTATTCTGATACTATTGTTTAGATTTCTAAAGGAAATGGAAAGATGTTTGGCAATGAGAGAAGTCAGTTATGATTTTTAGAAGATGGTTGTTTTCTTCAGCATTTAAAACTGTTTTTGCTTTGATATAATTTTGAAGACGATTATAAAGCTTGGGACCTTCGTAAAAGTGAACTTTATAAGCCAGAACGAACTTACCACCCCCCTACTGTGAAATTTGGAAATTCAACTACATTCCAGGATGACTTTGTTCCTCAGGAGATAAAGCCTAGGCAAAGCTTTAAACCCTTCTCTGTGGTCAAACGTTCTACAGCCCCTTTTAATGGTATTACAAGTAATCGCCTTGATTATATACCTCATCAGCTTGAACTCAAGTTTGAAAGGCCAAAAGAAGTTTACAAACCAACTGACCAACGCTTTGAGGATTTCACAACTCACCGGTATGACTTTTGGGGTCTTATTTGGTGAAACTGCAAAACTCTGCAGACCTGTACACACCAGAGTGACCCAGAATGCTCGGTTTGAAGGAAGCACTGAATTCCGTGAAAGTTTTCAACCATGGGAAATCCCACGACCGGAGGTCAAGAAAGTACCAGAGTATGTGCCTCCTACAGGTAGCATGCTGTTAAACAGCACAAGCCATCTTGACTATGTTCCGTATCAGGCCAACCGTGTTGTTCCCATCAGGCCAGTTTCTCGTAGAAGAAGTAACAGTTTTCCTTTCCAAGGAAAAAGCACCATGAAAGATTTTCCAGCATGGGAAAGTTGTCGTCAAGGACTTATTAAGAAGCAGCAGCAGATTCCCAACCCATCTGGAAAATTTGATGGTTTGAGCACTTTCAGATCTCACTATTTGCAACATGAATTGATTCCAACAGAGAGTTGCAAACCTTTAAATATTGCTTTTAAGAGTTCTGTTCCATTTGATGATGTAACCATGTACTCTGTAGAGTACACACCGAAAAAACAGGAAATTTGCCCAGCTAGCTATCCCTCTCCTCCAGGTTATATTTTTGAAAATACAAATTCCCAAGGTCATAAATTCTTCTGCAAGATTACTCCCGCAGTGAAGGCCTTCTAATAACCAAATTGTGCTTAAAAGGAAGCTACTAATAAGTTGTTGGTTTTCCAAGAGAAAACTCAATTTTTGTAGTGAAAAAAATTTATGATATAATAAATCTTTTTTGTTTGTTTGTTTTTGAGAGGGAGTCTCGCTCTGTTGCCCAGGCTGGAGTGCAGTGGTGCAATCTCAGCTCACTGCAAGCTCCGCCTCCTGGGTTCATGCCATTCTTCTGCCTCAGCCTCCCGAGTAGCTGGGACTACAGGTGCCCGCCACCACACACGGCTAATTTTTTGTATTTTTAGTAGAGATGGGGTTTCACTGTGTTAGCCAGGATGGTCTCAATCTCCTGACCTCGTGATCTGCCCGCCTTGGCCTCCCAAAGTGCTGGGTTAACAGGCATGAGCCACTGCACCCGGCCGATATAATAAATCATTTTTTATATTTTTAAACAAGAAAATTGGAAAATGTATCATAAATCAGAATCTTAAAACCATTTTGTATTGATATTTTAACCAAGATTGTTCTTTAATATGCATTTTGGAAGGTTGAATAATATAGATTCCCATACGTACCATTTTAATACTCAACATACTGCTTAGTAGCTTGTCCCCAGTCTATCATTTGTAATTCTGTTTATAATTATGGCAATTGTATGGTTATTCACATAGCAGCTGTCATTTATCAAGCACATCAGGATTATCTAGAACAACATTGAAAATGATACATGGATTCCTCTTCCAAGGCAACAGGATTCATTTTACTCAGACTTCACGGCATCTACATAGCATCCACTGAGTCAAGTTTTGGTTGGTGGTATACAGACTGCTGCACTGCTCCTCACCATGTTCAAGTTAGTAAGAGCCATTGTGGTGTGGCAAGGAAAGGCTCTGTGTGCTGGGAATCGAAGGACTTGAGTTCAAGTTCTGACTAATAATTATTATTATTTTTAGAGACAGGGTCTCACTGTCACCCATGCTGGAGTCCAGTGGCATGATCATGGCTTACTGCAGCCTCAGCCTCCTGAGCTCAAGTGATCCTCCTGCCTCAGCCTCCCAAGTAGCTGGGACTACAAGGGTGTGCCACCACACCCAGCTATTTTTTTAATATACTTTGTAGAGATAGGTTCTTGCTATATTGGCCAGGCTGCTTTTGAATCCTGCCTTGGCTTCCCAAAGCAGTGGGATTACAGGCATGAGACACTATACCCAGCCTAAGTTCAAGTTCTAATAATATAGATTTCTATTTGTACTACCTTAGGCAGTGACTCATATCTCTGAGACTCAGTGTCTTTGTTTGTAAAATGATGTCTGTTTTCAAAAACGTTTGTTTTGAGCATCAGACTATATGGTACATTTTAATCCTTAAAGTAAAAGTATAAATGTAGGGGATTGTTAAAAAAAATCACTCAGTCTCTTTTTGTACTTGTTTTCTCCTTTTCAAATTAGGATAATTACTTACCCAATCCTCATTTTCTGGCCTGTATCAAGGATTGTAAAATAACCTAATTTGTTTTGAGCTATGAGTAGTATGTGAGGAGTCTTGTCCTTTAAAACTTCATGAGCACCTGAGAAATTCTTAACAGAGAATGGAAAGCTTGGAATGGGGTAAATACAGTGGTTTGAATAACAGTATTTGCAGAAAGGAAAAAGTATTATTTGCTAGGGTAGTTTTAGGAAGACTGACAGCTCTGAAGAAATCTTTAGGGTAAATGTAGGTAATTTTGCACCTAATTGCCAGGCCAAGTCACTGTTTAGAGGAAGAACCAGCCCCAGCAGGGGGCATAATCACCTGGTTCACCTCTTCCGGTGTGAAGATAAGTGATAAGGTAAAGAATGATGCCAGTAAGTATAGTAGAAACACTCTATTGCATTTATAAATGCTAAAAATTTCTGAATGAATTAAACTCTTATTGGGTGGTTTCTTTTTTTAAAAAAATTAAATAATTGCATTATGGGAGAATATGATTTATTTTAGCATAAAGTGAATTTTAGTCTTTTATGGCTTCAGAATTATTTTAAAATGTATTTTATTGAAAATCATTAATATTTGGTTATTTTAATTGTTCAAAAGTAACTTGTTCTTATTTACATTTATTAGTAAAAGTATGGTGTGTGAAACTTTATATTTCTATGCAACATTAATAAAATCAATAAAAGGAACAGATTTTCAAGATTTCTGTACCTATTTTTTTTTAAAGACAGCATTTTAATAAAGTCCTGTCTAGGTTAACCTATACATAAGTAGATGTTCTTATTTTTAAATACAAAACAATAATGTATAACCAGAATTAAAAATAAGGAAATACTACAGCACTCTGTCATCCCGTCCCATATTCCGATGCTGGATATTCAAATCCCTTCATAATTTAATGGGGGTGGTCTCCTCCCTGGACAAAGGTCACCCTTAATAAGACATCTACTAGAGTTTCCAGAGGCAAATTGCCATCATAAGGATTGAAGATGAATAATGGCATTTCCCCATAATCTAACACTCAGTATAACAGGTGTGAAAATAATAGAGATTGAAACAGAGAACAATGTAAGACATTCAGCCTAGGAGTTCAGGAAAGTCTGCCTTAGGGAGAGGATAGACAGGTGAGCTGAATCTTGAAAGATAAGTAGGAAATTGCCAGATCAAGAAAAATGGGAAGGTGGGAACAGCATAAAAATAGTTACAGAGGGACCCTCTATCTCTGTGAAAGAGTTAAAGGGACTTCCAAGCTATGTTGGTGGAAAGCTAGCAATCCCTGAGTCATTCTCCTGTTAGGCCTCCTTGAAATACTATGCAGGAACACACACAAAAAAACATTTTAACAGGGCTGGAAACTAGTAATATTACTTAGCAATCTGCCAGATTCCACTACGCCAAACTTGGATAAATCTAATGAAGAAAGGAGGAAAATTCAGAGAGAAAAGTCGGTAGATTTCTACCCCAGCCCCATCCCATTCCCACCCTATCTCTCTGGAAACCCTTGTTGTGTAAAACGAGACCACAGACTGAAATTAGAAATAAAGGCTTTATGATTTATAAAAACTGCACAGACAATGTAAGGAGTGAACCCTAACCTACACTATGGACTTTGAGTGATAATGTGTCCATGTAAGTTCCTCAACTATAACAAATGTACCACTCTGGCTGGGGGTGTTGATAGTGAGGAAGGCTGTGCATGTGTGTGGGGAGGGGCATATAGGAACTCTGTACTTTCCACTCAGTTTTGCTGTGAACCTAAAACTGCTCAAATAAATAAAGTCTATTTTGAAAGTTTTCTTAAAAGCCCTTCAAGGCAGGAGGGAGGTGTTCAGTCAGAGGCTGGGAAACCCACATCCCAGCTTCTGAATATCTCACATTTGCAGGTTTGCTTCTATACAAAACTATAATCTAAGGCCTTCTCTGAGAATCGCTGTGTGAGAAGATCCTCATGATACTCAGGAAGCAGAGGGGAGACCTCTGAAAGTTAAACAGAGTCGAGGAAGTGAACCTTGCAATCATGAGTGAGTAACTTCAAAAACGCTGTTTAAAAACATGCTGATAACATGCTTTTGAAAGGGTTGCGGTGTCCAGTGAAACATCAGGACTCTTTCATTTTGTTCAGGTTTTTGCTTTTTTTCCCTGTCATTCAATGCTCTTTTGCATGCAAGTGCAGATTTTCACCCTGTATCAGACACAGGACTTTCATCAATACTATCCCTCCCCAGCCTTCTCATAAACACAGCACACAGCTTGATAGATGCTCTCTAGGGTGGCCAGGGGCATTTCTCCATCCCATCCAATATCTGTGTTAAAACTTCTTTTTCTTTTCTTTTTTTTTTTTTTTTTGAGATGGAGTCTTGCTGTGTCACCCAGGCTGGAGTGCAGTGGTGCGATCTCAGTTCACTGCAACCTCTGCCTCTTGGGTTCAAGCGATTCTCCTGCCTCAGCCCCAAGTAGCTGGGACTGCAGGTGCATGCCACCATGCTCGGCTAATTTTTGTACTGTTAGTAGAGATGGGGTTTTGCCATGTTGGTCAGGCTGGTCTCAAACTCCTGGCCTCAAGCAATCCAACTGCCTCGGCCTCCCAAAGTGCTGGGATTACAGGCGCGAGCCACCGCACGTGGCCAAGACTTCTTTAATTGTAGCCATCATGGAACTATAATGACTAAGAAGGAAATGTGGCTGGGAGTTGCTTACAGACAGTAAGCAAGCAATAGCAAAACCAAAGCAAACCAAACCCAACCACAAAAACATAGGTAAAAGTTCTAAACAGATACTTCACCAAAAAAGATATACAGATAGTGTCTTAATTTGCTAAGACTACTATGAAAAGTACACAAACAGGGTGGCTTAAACAATAGAAATGTATTATCTCTCAGTTCCAGAGACCACAGATCCCAAGATCAAGGTGTTGGCAGGGCTGGTTTTGAGGCTGTGTGGGAAAATCGGTTCTGTTTTTTTGTCCTAGCTTCTGGTGGTTTGCTGGTGATCTTTGGTGTTCTTTGGCTTGTAGAGCTCTGTCTTTATCCTCACACAGCATCCTCCCTGTGTGCATGCGTCTGTTTCCAAATTTCCCCTTTTTATAAGGACATCAGTCACATTGTATTAAGGCCCATCCTGATAACCTCACCTTAACTTGATCTTTTGCAATGACCCCATTTTCCAATAAGATTATATTCATAGGTAGTGAGGGTTAGAATTTCATTTTTGGAGGAGACACAATTCAACCAGAAAAGACAGTGAAGAAGCACATGAAAAGATGCTTAACATCAATAGTCATTATGGAAGTTCAAATTAAAACTGCACTAAGGTACCACTACATACCTACTGGAATGGCTTAAAGAAAAACAAAAACAAACAAAAAAACCACCGCACACACCAACCTGATAATACCACATACTAGCAAGGGTCTGGGACAACAGGAACACTCACATATTGTTCATTAGAATGAAAATGGTACAGCTACTTTGGAAATCAGTTTAACAGTTTCTTATAAACATGCACATATCATATGACCCAGCAAACTCACCTCTAGGTGTTCTTCAAAGAGAAGTGAAAATGTAGGTTTATGCAAAAATGTGTATATGAACGTTTATAGAACTTTATCTATAATCACCCCAAACTGGAAACAACCCACAGGTCTTTCAACTGGTAAATGAGTGAACATCTATCCATATATAAAGCCAGTTCAAGGAACAAACAACATTTTGTTGTTTCAACATTTGTTGATTCACCCAACAGCATGCATGGAACTTAAATGTATTTTGGTAAGTGAAAAAAGCAAGACCCAAAAGACTACATGTTATATTATTCAATTTGTATAAATTTCTGGAAAAGGCAAAACTGTAGGGACAGAAAATAGTAAGTGATTGCTAGGGGTGGGGGTAGAAGCAATTGACTACAAAGAAGCAGGACAAAAGAATGTGGGGTGGAGTGGAACTAAGAAACTGGTGGTAGATATACAACTCTGCATTTGTCAAAACCATTAGAAACCACCAAGTTAATTTTACAGTATGTAAATTATGAAAACTGACACCCAGGATGTGGCATTGAGAAGAAAGGAGATTACCTAAGTGATTTTGGACAAGTGATCATATTGGCTACTATAAAGCTAAAGACAAAAATAATTGTATATGAACATTGTACTCTAGTTTTTAATTTTTTTCTCTGACAGAGGTATGTGTTATCAATTCTAAACTATGAGTATAATAAGGTTGAACTGAGAAAATATAGTGTAAATAATGAGAGCCAGGCTTCTATCAGAGAAATAAGTTACAAATAAGAAAAAGATGCAGACAGCACCATTCACAATAGCAAAGTTATGGAATCAACCAAATGCCCATCAATGATACTCTGGATAAAGAAAATGTCATACATATACACCATGGAATACTATGCAGCCATAAAAAGGAATGAGATCATGTTCTTTGCAGGGCCATGGATGGAGCTGGAAGTCCTTATCCTCAGCAAACTAATGCAGGAACATAAAACCAAATACTACATGTTCTCACTCATAAGTGGGAGCTGAAAAATGAAAACACATGGACACCGAGGGGAACAACACTTACTGGGGCCTGTCAGGGGAAGGCGGTGGGGGAGAGCATTAGGGAAAAGAGCTAATGCAGGCTGGGCTTAATAATTAGGTGGTGAGTCGATAGGTGCAGCAAACCACCATGGCACACGTTTACCTATGTAACAAACCTGCACATTCTGCACATGTACCCCGGAACTTAAAATAAAAAGATGCGGATTATAATGAACCCTATGGTGTTGAAATAGTGTGCAGGGTCTCAGTATGAATTCATAGATACACAAAAAAATAGATGTGTGTGTGTGTGCATTCACAGGTTGGTATATATGCTCTGTATATATAGGCAGTTTAATCAGAGATGGAAATTGTAAGAAAGAACCAAAAAGAAATGCTATAGATTAAAAACACTGTAACAAAAATGAAGAATGCCTTTGACAGGCTTATTAGTAAACTGGATTCTGCTGAGGAAAGACATCTCTGAGCTTGAGAATATCTCATGGAAATCACCAAAACTGAAAAGCAGAAAAAGACTGAAAAAAATACAGAGTATGCAAGAACTGTGAGACAACTGCAAAAGATGTAACATACATGTGATGGGAATTCCAGAAGCAGAAGAGAAAGAAACAGGAGAAATAGTTGAAGCAATAATGGCTGAGAATTTCTCTCAATGTGAGACACCAAACCACAGATCCAGGAAGCTCAGAAAACATCAAGCAGGATAAATGCCTACAGAAAAACTACATGTAGCCACCTAAGTTACAAACTATGAAAAAAAAATTAAAAGATGACGAGAATATTCTGAAGGAACCCAGAAGAAAAAAAAAACCACCTTACCTATAGACAAGTCAAGATAAGAATTACATCTAACTTCTCAGAAATTGCGTAAGCGAGAGGAGAGTGGAGTGAAATATTTAAAGTGTTGAGAGAGGGGAAAAAAAAGCATCACCAACCTAGAATTCTATATTCTGTGAAATTACTCTTCATAAGTGAAGGAGAAATAAAGACTTTCTCAAACAAAAATTGAGGGAATTCGTTGCCAGTAAACCTGCCTTGAAAGAAATGTTAAAGAAAAGTTCCTTGGGAAGAAGGAAAATGATACATGTCAGTAACTTGGATGTATATCAAGAAAGGAAGAGCATTGGAATAAGAATAAGTGAAGATAAAATGAAAACTTTTATTGTTCTTCTTAATTTATTTATAATCAAATATTATTGCTAATTATTATTTTGAATAAACGATCTGTTTCAATAGAAGCACACTTTAACACATTTTTTTTCTTTATTATACTTTAAGTTTTAGGGTACATGTGCACAACGTGCAGGTTAGTTACATAGGTATACATGTGTCGTGTTGGTGTGCTGCACCCATTAATTCATCATTTAACATTAGGTATATCTCCTAATGCTATCCCTCCCACCTCCCCCCACCCCACAACAGGCCCCGGTGTGTGATGCTCCCCTTCCTGTGTCCATGTGTTCTCATTGTTCAATTCCCACCTATGAGTGAGAACATGCGACGTTTGGTTTTTTGTCCTTGTGATAGTTTGCTGAGAATGATGGTTTCCAGCTTCATCCATGTCCCTGCAAAGGACATGAACTCATCCTTTTTTATGGCTGCATAGTATTCCATGCTGTATATGTGCCACATTTTCTTAATCCAGCCTATCATTTGTTGGACATTTGGGTTGGTTCCCAGTCTTTGCTATGGTGAATAGTGCCGCAATAAACTTACATGTGCATGTGTCTTTATAGCAGCATGATTTATAATCCTTTGGGTATATACCCAGTAATGGGATTGCTGGGTCAAATGGTATTTCTAGTTCAAGATCCCTGAGGAATCGCCACACTGACTTCCACAATGGTTGAACTACAGTCCCACCAACAGTGTAAAAGTGTTCCTATTTCTCCACATCCTCTCCAGCACCTGTTGTTTCCTGACTTTTTAATGATTGCCATTCTAACTGGTGTGAGATGGTATCTCACTGTGGTTTTGATTTGCATTTCTCTGATGACCAGTGATGATGAGCATTTTTTCATGTGTCTTTTGGCTGCATAAATGTCTTCTTTTGAGAAGTGTCTGTTCATATCCTTCACCCACTTTTTGATGGGGCTGTTTGTTTTTTTCTTGTAAATTTGTTTGAGTTCATTGTAGATTCTGGATATTCGCCCTTTGTCAGATGAGTAGGTTGTAAAAATTTTCTCCCATTCTGTAGGTTGCCTGTTCACTCTGATGGTAGTTTCTTTTGCTGTGCAGAAGCTCTTTAGTTTAATTAGATCCCATTTGTCAATTTTGGCTTTTGTTGCCATTGCTTTTGGTGTTTTAGACATAAAGTCCTTGCCCATGCCTATGTCCTGAATGGTATTGCCTAGGTTTTCTTCTAGAGTTTTTATGGTTTTAGGTCTAACATTTAAGTCTTTAATTCATCTTGAATTGATTTTTGTATAAGGTGTAAGGAAGTGATCCAGTTTCAGCTTTCTACATATGGTGAGCCAGTTTTCCCAGCACCATTTATTAAATAGGGAATCGCTTCCCCATTTCTTGTTTTTGTCAGGTTTGTCAAAGATCAGATGGTTGTAGATATGTGGCATTATTTCTGAGGGCTCTGTTCTGTTCCATTGATCTATATCTCTGTTTTGGTACCAGTACCATGCTGTTTTGGTTACTGTAGCCTTGTAGTATAGTTTGAAGTCAGGTAGCGTGATGCCTCCAGCTTTGTTCTTTTGGCTTAGTATTGACTTGGCAATGCAGGCTCTTTTTTGGTTCCACATGAACTTTAAAGTAGGTTTTTCCAATTCTGTGAAGAAAGTCATTGGTAGCTTGAAGGGGATGGCATTGAAACTATAAATTACCTTGGGCAGTATGGCCATTTTCACGATATTGGTTCTTCCTACCTATGAGCATGGAATGTTCTTCCATTTGTTTGTATCCTCTTTTATTTCATTGAGCAGTGGTTTGTAGTTCTCCTTGAAGAGGTCCTTCACATCCCTTGTAAGTTGGATTCCTAGGTATTTTATTCTCTTTGAAGCAATTGTGAATGGGAGTTCACTTATGATTTGGCTCTCTGTTTGTCTGTTATTGCTGTATAAGAATGCTTGTGATTTTTGCACATTGATTTTGTATCCTGAGAGTTTGCTGAAGTTGCCTATCAGCTTAAGGAGATTTTGGCCTGAGACGATGGGGTTTTCTAGATACAATCATGTCATCTGCAAACAGGGACAATTTGACTTCCTCTTTTCCTAATTGAATACCCTTTATTTCTTTCTCCTGCCTGATTGCCCTGGCCAGAACTTCCAACACTATGTTGAATAGTAGTGGTGAGAGAGGGCATTCCTGTCTTGTGCCAGTTTTCACAGGGAATGCTTCCAGTTTTTGCCCATTCAGTATGATATTG
Organism: Homo sapiens; assembly: GCF_000001405.40. Lineage (NCBI taxonomy): Eukaryota > Metazoa > Chordata > Mammalia > Primates > Hominidae > Homo > Homo sapiens. The sequence goes on along the minus strand of NC_000015.10, from coordinate 84,043,739 downwards.
GCTGTGGGTTTGTCATAGATAGCTCTTATTATTTTGAAATACATCCCATCAATACCTAATTTGTTGAGAGTTTTTAGCATGAAGCGTTGTTGAATTTTTTCAAGGTTTTTAACTTCTTTGCCATGGGTTCAGACTTCCTCCTTTAGCTTGGAGTAGTTTGATCGTCTGAAGCCTTCCTCTCTCAACTCGTCAAAGTCATTCTCCGTCCAGCTATGTTTTGTTGCTGGTGAGGAGCTGCGTTCCTTTGGAGGAGGAGGGGCGCTCTGATTTTTAGAGTTTCCGGTTTTTCTGCTCTGTTTTTTCCCCATTGGTGTGGTTTGATCTACCTTTGGTCTTTGATGATGGTGACGTACAGATGAGGTTTTGGTGTGGATGTCCTTTCTGTTTGTTAGTTTTCCTTCTAACAGTCAGGACCCTCAGCCGCAGGTCTGTTGGAGTTTGCTGGAGGTCCACTCCAGACCCTGTTTGCCTGGGTATCAGCAGCGGAGGCTGCAGAACAGAGGATATTGGTGAACAACAGATGTTGCTGCCTGATGGTTCCTCTGGAAGTTTTGTCTCAGAGGAGTACCCGGCCGTGTGAGCTGTCAGTCTGCCCCTACTGGGGGGTGCCTACCAGTTAGGCTACTCGGGGGTCAGGGACCCACTTGAGGAGGCAGTCTGTCCGTTCTCCGATCTCCAGCTGCGTGCTGGGAGAACCACTACTCTCTTCAAAGCTGTCAGACAGGGACATTTAAGTCTGCAGAGGATTCTGCTGCCTTTTGTTTGGCTGTGCCCCACCCCCAGAGGTGGAGTCTACAGAGGTAGGCAGGCCTCCTTGAGCTGCGGTGGGCTCAAACTGAGCTTCCTGGACGCTTTGTTTACTTACTCAAGCCTCCGCAATGGCGGGTGCCCCTCCTCCAGCCTTGCTGCCGCCTTGCAGTTTGACCTCAGACTGCTGTGCTAGCAATGAGCGAGGCTCAGTGGGCGTAGGACCCTCTGAGCCATGCGTGGGAGATAATCTCCTGGTGTGCCGTTTGCTAAGACCATTGGAAAAGCGCAGTATTAGGGTGGGAGTGACCCGATATTCCAGGTGCCATCTGTCACCTCTTTCTTTGACTAGGAAAGGGAATTCCCTGACCCCTTGCACTTCCCGGGTGACGCAATGCCTCCCCCTACTTCGGCTCAGGCTTGCTGCAGTGCACCCACTGTCCTGCACCCACTTTCCGACACTCCCCAGAGAAATGAACCCGGTACCTCAGTTGGAAATGCAGAAATCACCCGTCTTCTGTGTCGCTCATGCTGGGAGCTGTAGACTGGAGCTGTTCCTATTCGGCCATCTTGACTCCACCCTCTTCTTCACTTTAACACATTTAAAAGACTAGAAATCATACAATGTCTGCTTTCAGGCCGTGGTGGAATTAAATTATAAATCAATAACAGAAAGGTAACTGGAAAATCTCAAAATATGTGGAGATTAAACAACATATTTCTAAGTTACATGTGGATCAGAAAATCTCAAGAGAAATTTTAAAATATTTTGAACCAAATGAAAATGGGAACACAATTTATCAAAATTTGTGGGATACAGTAAAAACAGTGCTATGGGGAAATATAAGGCATTGAATACATATATTAGGAAAGAAGACAGATCTTAAATCAGTATTCTAAGTTTACACCTGAAGAAAGTAGAAAAGAAGAGCAAATTAAATCCAAAGTAGGTCAGGTGCCATAGCTCACGCTTATAATCCCAGCACTTTGGGAGGCCGAGTGGGGTGGATCACATGAGGTCAGCAGTTTGAGAGCAGCCTGACCAACATGATGAAACCCTGTCTCTACTAAAAATACAAAAATTAGCTGGGCATGGTGGTGCATGCTTGTAGTTCCAGCTACTCAGAAGGCTGAGGCAGGAGAATCGCTTGAACTCAGGGGGCAGAGGTTGCAGTGAGCCGAGATTGAGCCACTGCAGTCCAGCCTGGGTGACAGGGCAAGACTCCATCTCAAAAAAAAAATCAAAAAAACCAAAGTAAAGCACGGTGGCTCATGCCTGTAATTGGGAGGCTGAGGTAGGCAGATTGCCTGAGCTCAGGAGTTCAAGACTAGCCTGCGCAACATGGCAAAACCCTGTCTCTACTAAAAATACAAAATGTTAGCCAGGCTTGGTGATGCATACCCATAGTCCTGGCTACTTGGGAGGTGGAGGCACTAGAATTGCTTGAACCTGGGAGGAGGAGGTTGCAGTGAGCCAAGATCACACCACTGCCCTCCAGCCTGGGTGACAGAATGAGAATCTGTCTCCTAAATAAATAAATAAATAAATAAAATAAAATAAATCCAAAGTAAGACAAAGAAAAGAAATAATTAGAGCCGAAATCAATGAAATTGAAAACAAGGAATCAATAGAAGAAATGAAATGAAATAAACACTGGTTACTTGAAAAAAATCAATAAATTCAGTAAGTCTCCAGCAAAGCTAAGAAAAAAAAAACCAGAAAGGATACAAATTACTAATATGAGAAATGAAAGAGGAGACATCACTACAAATACTATGGGGATTAAAAGGATAATAGAGGAATACCATGAAGAACTCTGCCTACAATTTTATAACCTAGAAGAAATAGACCAATTCCTTGACACAATCTGTCAAAATTCATACAAAGAAACAATGTGCCAAAACTCACACAAAAAGAAACAGACAATCCAAATAGGCTTATTTCTATTAAATAAATTGAATCAATAATTGATAATCTTCAAAACCAGAAAGCACTAGGCCAAGACAGGTTCACTGGTTAATTCTACCAAACATTTAAGACAGAAATAGCAATTCTCTACAATCTCTTGAGGACAGAAGCAGAGTTAATATTTCCTAACTCATTCTATGAGGCCAGTATCACCCTAATACCAAACCCAGACAAAACATTACAAGAAAAGAAAACTGGCCTGGCATGGTGGCTCACGCCTGTAATCCCAGCACTTTGGGAAGCAGAGGTGGGTGGATCACCTGAGGTCAGGAGTTTGAGACCAGCCTGACCAATATGGTGAAACCCTGTCTCTACTAAAAATATAAAAATTAGCCGGCTTGGTGGCGCAGGCCTGTAATCCCAGCTACTCAGGAGGCTGAGACAGGAGAAATGCTTGAACCCAGGAGACGGAGGTTGCAGTGAGCCGAGATCGCACCACTGCACTCCAGCCTGGGCAATAGAGGGAGGCTTGCTGACAGAAAGAAAGAAAGAAAGAAAGAGAGAGAGAGAGCTACAGACCAATCTCTCATGAAAAAGGAAGGAAGGAAACTACAGATCAATCTTTCATGAAAATAAATGCAAAAATACTCAACAAACATTAGCAAGTTGAATCTAACAATTTATAAAATGAATTATACACCATGACTAAGTGGGATTTATCCCAGCTCTTGTAAACTATGGACTTTGGACTATGATGATGTGTCAATGGAGGTTCATCAATTGTAACAAATGTACCATTCTGGTGGGGGATGCTGATAATGGGGGATGTTATATATGTGTTGGGACATGAGGTATACATGGGAAATCTCTGTACCTTCCAATCAATTTTGTTGTGAAATTAAAACTGCTCTAAAAAAAGTCTTTAAAAAATTAAAAGGCTATTAGTACCGCTTGCTCTTCCAACTACCCCTTACTTCAATACCTGTTTCAGGTTGTCTGTTTGGGACTTCTTTCTTCTGCTGCTCTTGAGATTCTTTTAAAAATGATTCACAATATGTAAATGAGTAAAATGAGGGCATTAGAGTGAATCTTTGTGAGATCTGCTCTGAGTCTTGTAATCCACACTCTGAAGGACAGTCCAGGGAATCAAACCCACTGGGGTGGCTCTTGGACTGATGAAGGGGCAGCCACGATGACAAGACCGAAGGCTACCAAAAAATAACACACATAAGCTGCCTACATTTATAAGGATGCCACTGAATAATCAAAGTAAATTTATTTCTGAATTACATAAGGATCATGAAACAGAAACATTAACTCTCATGTTATAAAAACAGTAGTAAAATACAGTACACAGGAATGTCAATTGAATGACAACAATGAAAGTACAATAGCAAATGAAAAATAGTAACTTTTAACTTTAAATACAAAGTGAAGCAATTTAATATGAAATTTTGTTAATAAGAAAAATATATGTCCCATGTCTTTATTACATACTGTACAAAATAAAATATTGCACCTTTCATATAATAAATATATACAAAGAGTATGTTACAAATGATCTTTCTTTTAATTTAATAACCTTCAACAATCAGATGTGATTGATGATTAACAACTAATGGGCTGGTGTGTCCTCCTCACTGTCCCCCATCCATTCCCAATCACCAAACCCTCCACATACAGTAGTGCTCAACCCAGTGTCAGTGAAGCTGAAGTTAGAACAAAAGAGACCGTGTGCTCAGAATATGGTAGAGAAACTCAGCAAGCTTGTCCACAGACACATCCAAAGCCAAAATGCACTGTTCAGTTATTACTGACCAGGAACTAGGCTCAGCAGAGCCTGTGGCAGGTAACTTTGTTGCCAAGAAGATGTAGGCAGCAGGTGTACAGGCAGCTGAGACCCTGAATAAAGAAGTATGACCACTTATTTGGACTTGTGTGCCATCTAAAGACACAACTGGTAGTATACAGGGGAAAGACCCCATAACCAAATCAGCTTCAGAACTTACAATTTAATGCTAGCCTGAACTCACTTCAGCAACAACGCTTACTCCAAACCTAACCTCCATCCTGACACTATCACTAACACCAGCACTGGCCCCAATCTAAACCCAATCCAACCCTGACCTAACCTGGTCCTAACCCTAACCCTTAAAGACAACTCTAGCCTTAACCTTAACTTTCTTTCTCACCTAACCCAATTCTAGCTCTAATCCTAAAACTGAAACTAACCCTTACCCTTTTCCTCAAATCTTAAACTAAATTCTGATTCCAACCCCTGGTCCTTAGTGTAACTTCTAACCTAAGTCACTTTGGATTTACTGAAAAATCAGCCCAAAACAATTATTTACTATAAAAATTATTTTCAACTATCGTGTTTCTTATTTGGATTACTTTCTTATAAATTTTCCAAAATAAAGTTCTCAGGAATACTACTTTATGCATAAATTAGGTCTAATAAGGCTTTGGTTTTCTGTTTGTGTGCAATAGAATAGTGCTTAGAAAAAGTTTCATTCACAGCTCTTAAAAGAAAGCTCTGAATATACTACGAAATCAGTAGAAAAGGTTAACTTTCCCTCTTCTTTGACTTCCGAGATGCCTCATTAGGTCATAGATAAATTTCTGTAGTTGTATAAATGACAGCAATATCTACTCTGTGTTTTCTTCCATGGGTGTTCTAAAAGCAAGGACAAGATGCCATGCTTCCATGAACCCTTAGGTCAGTCAGTGTGACAGCCTATCCAGAGAGATGGTTTCTTTTTCACAGACTAAACCAAGGATCTATGAAAATGCCATTAATGCCAACATCTTAACAACTACTGGCCAGAGCTTCTAAAATGCAAATACCTTATAAAACTGTTGAAAACCTGCAACTTGAGAGAAGAGGAAGTCATGGGTTGCTGTGTTTCCCAAGTTTTTAGGATGTACCACTCTGTGCTAGTCTACATATCACAGGAAAGAGGCAGCACGTGAGGATGCACTCATAATCTTGGTGATTTCTCGATTCAACTGACATGATGAGGTCCCAAGTGCAGTGGCATGCATGCTATAGTATTTTGTTCATCCTTGAATACATCATTTTAAAAAATTGGAATATAAAACTACCATTGGAAAATTTCACTTTACACCTTAACAGTGGTGTTTTTGCATCAACCTCTGTTTGATCCATAGAATCTAGTCTTTTAAGAAATACATGTTTTTGAATCAGCGACATGGGGAAAAGAGCTTTTATATTCTACTTTTATCTTCACAGCAGCATCATGACCCCTCCAAAGGTTTATCCCTCTTGACATGACTGGCAGCACCTTTGTTTGTAGCGGTCTAGAGAACACAAATTAAGATGTTTTACAAACATACAGTAGTGAGTTGTGTCTGTGCAGTCTCCTGCAAAAAAGAAACAAATATCTGTAACATATAGCTTATTAGAGACCTAATTAAAAATTATTTGACTTTATGAAAAGCCATAAATTGAGATCACAGAGTGAGGTGAAGAAACCAGCTTTGGGTTAGGGCCATTGTTTTGCATGAGAGTCAGAAGTGCATTGGATTCCCTTTCAGCTCAGCCAAGTGACCTCTTGCTGCTCTCTGGACCCTCCCAGTCCCTCTGGCCCATGCTGCTCCTTTGAGTTCTCAGAGCAGCAATGCTTAACTTTTGCAGGGTCATGGACTCCTTGAAAAACTTATGAATGCTACACACCTACTCCCTAGAAAAATAAACCTACAGTTTTTACATATAACTTCAGGACATCAGCATACCTACCCAAGCCCATCCATGGAATCTTTGTCTTAGCACGTAAGACTACCAGGCAGAAGAGAAGTGTGTGGAGAGACTGACAGTGCTTGTCGGAAAGGCAGTAACCAATGATGCTGGCATGCTACTAATCCAACTGCCTTTTCTCTAGAGAACATGCAGCTGCACCCACATAAAGGAGTTCATCCCCTGATGTCCCAAGCTACCAAATCCATTCTGAATAGCCCCTCAGTTGGGACACTGATGAGGTAATCACTAGCAGGGTTTGGTGCCGTGATGGTAGCATCAGGATCTGATGCCATCAAGGCCTCTGGGGCAGTGGAGATACCTGGGAGGTGTACGTACTATCACAGGAGGGCCCAAGACAGTGCCGCCAGGAAATTGGTTTCTTTTTCTGTACACAGTGTCTCTTGGCCACAGGTTTGCAACTCCTTGTGTGGATACAGTCGACTTTCCGAGACTGGAAACCCCTGCCACAGGCTGCTGTACAGGGCTTCCAAGGGCCTGTGTGCCAACACACATCACAGGCCCCTGATGTGCAGTTCCTTCTTAAGGTGGGTCTGAAGTGAAAAATAAAACAAAACGGAAAAACAAAAAATAGGAGAGGCAGGGTGTAACTTTTTGCTGGGACCAAGCCTTTTTACCTTACTCTATACTACGTATTAAAGGTTGGATGGAGAGTCTAAGACCAAGACATTCCTCTGCTTTTATGCCATACAGGCTAGAACGACAGTGACAACATTCTCCACCACCTGGGGTGGAGTGCGCCTGCTTAGATGTGCTCTGATGAAGAGGGCATGGCAAGCAAACCATGTGTTTCCACTGACTTCCAACACCAAGTCAAGGCACACACATCCTGACTAGCTGGAAGAAATCAATTTTGGCAAGGAAGAGAATTATTTACTATAATGATCTACAATAAGCCACCTCAAATTCATTAACAAGACTTCAATTTTCTGTTTGTAAGCGCTCAAAACATACTGCGGTGTATGACTTTCTATGTGAGCAACCTTGTCTGCTAAAAGAAGTACTCTTTTTTACATTTAGGTCACACCAAGACTTGCAGTCAGAAACTACTGAAGACCATATGAGAATAAGAATCTATCTCTGATTTCCTTGCCTTTTAAAACAGAATGGAAAGTTAATACCCTCTGATTTTTGAAAAGACACATGCTAAAGAGGATAGAGCCAAACTTAGTGGGCCCACTTTGGGGTATCTGCCCTTGTTCCCTAAGGCAGGGCTCCTGAAGACATATTTGCACTGCTTGAGAGTGTCTTCCCAGTTCCAAAGATGACTGGAAGAGGGCCCTAACTTGAGCTGGTTGAAGAAATGTATTTCTCTTAGGATTTGGAGGTTGCTAGAACCAGGCATGCAAACCTGAAGTGTGGAGTATTAGGTGGCTATATTCTTCCACATCGGCCAGAAATATAGAAAAAAACCAGTTTTCATAAAGAGCAAATAATGAAGCAGAAACACACAGAACTGCAGAGATGAGAGAAGAGAAAAAAAACAATGACTTCCCATTTCTTAGTTGTAGTCCTTCCTGAGGTCTGACTGCATGCTCCCTGTTCTCCCTTTGGATTCTATGAGATATTTTTGTTATCCCATTAAAGGTTCCTTATCAGGGCACATAAATCCATAAGGAGTGTTTTATGGGAAATGTAATAAAATGGAGAAATTTGTGATATCCAAGAACTCTGAGAGTATTGCACGTAGTTGGAAGTAATCCTATCATTAGCCAGTAGGAGGAGACTCTATCAAAGGGTTTACTTAACACAGTGCTGTCCTACCAAACTGTTCATACGATATATGGAAGAGGTGGGTGTCCTGTTAGCTGCTTTTGTTTTCCCCAGTAGGTATGAATCTTAGGGACCAAAAATTGAGTCACTTTGAACAACAGAGAAGAGACTGAGTACTCCTCAACCATCCCTATATAGAGATCAGCCTTCCACTGAAGAAACTTGAACAAATATTCAAATAATATATTTAAAAGAATACCAAATTATTGTGCACAAGTTTTGGGTGGTCTTGTCTTATTAATAAATCCCTCACCCTTTTTTGCATAAATCATGCCAAGTTGACTTTTGCTTCTAGCCCAAAGGATTGTAAAACAGCCCCTTTTGCTTTGATGAAAGGCAGGGCCAGTGGGAAGTCAGACAGGACTATTGAGCTTTCTAAATACAAAGAATGAGAGGGGCACAGGGAGCTATGGACCAACACAGAAGCTGAAGCCCAGGAAAGCTAAGAGGCTGCTCACTAAGGATACAGTAGAAAAAATCATAATAAATAAAAAGCAAGGTCTGTCCAGTAGAGGGCGTAACTTCCTCCTGGCCAGGGACAGGACTCAGGACAGAGACACCTGAGCCAGGTGAATGCAGTCTGGGCACCTGCACTATGCACATAACTGGGGTTCATGTGTTTTTCTACATGAAGCATGAGTGTAGAAATGGTAGCAGAAATCATAAAGGAACCCTGTTTCTACTAGCTTTTTTCAATTTCTCACTTCTATTCAGTCTGGCTCCACTTCTGCCTCAAGTAACTCCTTTCACCATCAGCCAGATGGAACTGCTGATTCTGACGGCAGTAGATCCCAAGCCTGCCTGGTTATTCGAAGCAGGCAGAAGCACACAGCTTTAAAATGCTGTAGATGGCCAGGCAATCTCATGAAGGTTCTGATTCACTGCCTGAGGTGAGGCCCAAGCATCTTTATTTTACAGAAATTTCCTAGGTGATTCTGATTTCAGAAGTTAGAAATCGCCACTTTGAGAAACCAACTTTCTGTGTCCTCAGCATTCTATAGGTCCCCATGTTGTCACCTTGCCATAAGTCTGGGCTAGCTCCACCCTGACAATTCCCATTCCCTCTACAACTTTTCAATGGAAGCCACAGCTCCCAAAACCTTCCCAGGGCATATAGTAAACACTAGCAGACAGCCTGCCCACCACTGATCCTCTGCCCACGCCACTAATGCTACTCCTTCTACAACACTCTCTAACATTTCCTGAGGCCCTACTATGGCAAATGGGGGGTCTCCATTGCTCCCTGTCCACCCACTCAAAAGTGAGATCTAACACCTCACCTACCTACAGAGAGCCCATGGTCATAAACCAATCCAGCAGAAGAGGTCTGTGGGGAAAAGGGGGCTAAAACACTGCAGAAGAAACCCTCGACAGCTCTCTATACTAACCAACTTCATCCCTCATCCATAAACCACCAGATATCTGAGGAAAAAATATTAACACCATGAAAGAAAAGCATCAGGTTATAAAAACAGAACAGCCAATCCTGGAGGAAACAGAAATAAAAGAGAAAATGAATGGTAACTTGACTCCCTGCCACTCTGACTCACCCCCAGCTCTAGGAATTTTCTTCCATTATTAAAAAAAAGTCTACCCTTTAATTTCACTTTCATATCTCTTGGTCTAAAACCCAATTTAATCAGATTTTGAGCCTCTTGATAGATCCTTCTATACTCTTTATCTTCCGTATTACATTTTCTGCCTCTTATTTTTTGCTACCTTTGATTGGAAAGTATGTGACATATCTGAGAAACTGACAGAAGGACAGTGTGGCTGGAACATGAAGAGTGAGACAGCATGAGATAATGGATGAGGCTGTGAAGAAAAGTAGGACTTGAGCACGTTTTTTTGTTTGTTTTTTGGTTTGTTTTTTTGAGATAGAGTCTTGCTCTGTTGCCCAGGCTGGAGTACAGTGGTGTGATCTTGGCTCACTGCAGCCTCCACCTCCCAGGTTCAAGCAATTCTCCTGCCTCAGCCTCCCAAATAGCTGGGATCACAGGCATGTGCAACCATGCCCAGCTAATTTTGTATTTTTAGTAGAGACAGGGTTTCACTATGTTGGCAGGCTGGTCTCAAACTCCTGACTTCAAGTGATCTGCCTGCCTCAGCCTCCCAAAGTACTAGGATTACAAGTGTGAGCCACCATGCCCAGCCAAGCATGTGGTATTTTATAGGTCACATTGAGGATTTGGTCAATCTTCCTAAGAGCAAGTAAAACCTCTAAAGTAATTTTAGTCTAGCAGGGAGATGGGTTGTGGTGGTGGTAGGATCAGATTTGCATCTGGGAAAACTCACTCTGGCTGTACTGTGGAGACTGGGTTGGAAAGGAGCATGGATGGATGAAGGGGGACCAGTTGGACAGCTGTGACAGTATACCAGGTGAGATACGATGGTGGTTTGGCCAAGGGTAATGGTGGCAGAAAAGAAAAAATGAAGATGAGTTCAAGAAAAAAAATATAAGGAATAAAAAATCATATAAAAAAGTAATCAGGAAAGTACACATTACAATGAGATAAATTTTCATCCATCAGATTGGCAAAAATTTTAAAAGACTGCAAACCTATATCATGTTGATGAAAAGGGGGCAACTCTCACATATTGCTGGCATAGAAATTTTGATGGCAATTTGATAGCATCAAAATGAGCATTCCTACCAATTCAATTCCATTATCTAAAAATCTACTCTATAAAAATATTACCCTTTGTACCCAAAGATATATGTTCCAGGATATTTACTGAAGCTTAGTTTATAATAGCAAAAAGTTTGAAACTATCCAATGTCCATTAGCAACAGAATATTAAGTACAAAATTTAGATAGAATATTGAGTAGAATAGAGTATTAAGTACAAAATTAAAAAGAATAAAGTTAATCTTTACTTGATGGGAATTATCTATAATATATTCTTAGGTAGAAAAAGCAAGTTTCAGAAAAATATGTATGTGACCCATGTATGTATTTGTGCTTTAAGTATATCTTTGTGAATGCAAAGTAAAGCACCTGGGATGATGCATATCAATCTGTGTGTGGTCTGTATCTTCTCAGGAAAATAGGAAACTTAGGTTGTCTGTTGAGAATGAGAGCAGCCGTTCCAAACATTTTCCATTTGAGGAGAATGGTTTTGGCTTGAAATCACTTTGTGGGGAATAGGAAATGCAACTGACCCTACATTGCCAAACCTTACTGAAGGCTCAAAATGGTAACCCAGCCAACTGTCAAGGTCATCTCATTTTCTCCAGCAAGACTCAGGACATGGAAAAGGAAGAAATAGCCAGATATTGAGCATCTTCCATGACCCAGGCTGCCTCGTGTTTCACACTAAGCTAAATCATTAAAACTTTCTAAACATAAGTTCACATGGATGATAATATCCCACTTTGCAGATTAGGTGGCTAGGCAGTCCAGGGTCACACAGTAAGTGAGTGATATAATAGAACTCCCAAGCCCCCGATTAGTGTGCCTTCTAGGCTCTCTCCCCACTTTCTGCTGGCTGGGGTGCTGTTCTCTTGGATGGTAGAGCTGCCAGATGGAGGGCATCTGGATCTCTGGATGACCCCATGAAAAAAGCTCTTCTATCCCTAAACCATCTACCAGCTCAGACTTTTATAAAAGGAGGAAAGCAAACTCCACCCTTATTTAACCTCCTCAACAAGATTAAAGTTTATTTTACTATCTGCCAACCACTGTGACAATATCCTAATCAAAACATTTTCTAAACAGAGAAATAAAGCAGTTCATTAAAAGCATTAAGAAGATTTAATCTGTAAGCCTAAATGGAATATTATTAGGCTTGATTAACTTAGTATATAGAGGGAGAAGTATCTCCGTTTTCTCAATGATATCCTTTTCCCCTTTTACCACATAGAGTGGTGTCCCTTTATTGTTTAACATCCAAACAATTTATAGTTATAAATAGTGCACATTAACTAGTATTTCAGTATAATATATACTATTGAAGATGACACTAAATAAATCATAATTGAAAACTGTCAATTATGAGAGTTGGTAGAAACTAGAAAGGATTCCATTTTCAGGCAGTTATAATCATTGTCCTGAGTGAGTCAGGAGAGAATGTGTGCTGCTCTGGGGTGGGGCCCCTACCTCTTTCTGTCATCACAGTTGGAGTCAGAGCTGTTGTGTTGACAAGCTGTGTGACGCTGCTGCATCCTCACAGCACGGCCCATGCAACGTCCAGGACACTGGAACAAAAAAGCACAGTGCAGTGTAAATCCTGCAAGCTCATCCATGCTGTGTGTACTAAGATCATGTACTGAGGCAGGATAGCTGAAGACCTATTACAAGGGGACTGTAACCAACTGTCCCCAGGGGGGAGTTAAAGAGGATTAGGGTACAGCTCTGTGGACCAGACACCTCTTTTTCAGAGTCAGGAAGAAACTGCCTAAGCTTACCATCCCCTCTGTATTAGTCCATTTTCACACTGCTCTAAAGACATACCCGAGACTGGGTAATTTACAAAGGAAAGAGGTTTAATTGACTCACAGTCAGCATGGCTGGGGAAGCCTCAGAAGACTTACAATCATGTCAGAAGGTGAAGGGGAAACAAGGCACCTTCTTCACAAGCGGCAAAGAGGAGAAGTGCCAAGTGAAGGGAGAAGAGCCCCCTTTATAAAACAATCAGATCTTGTGAGAACTCACTCACTATCATGAGAATAGCATGAGGGAAACTGTCGCCATGATCCAACTGCCTCCACCTGGTCTCTCCCTTGACATGTGGGGATTGTGGGGATTAAAATTCAAGATGAGATTTGGGTGAGGACAAAAAGCCTAACCATATCATTCTGCCCGTGGCCCCTCCCAAATCTCATGTCCCTTTCACATTTCAAAAGCATTCATGCCTTCCCAACAGTCCCCCAAAGTCTTAATTCATTCCAGCATTAACCCAAAAGTCCAAGTCCAAAGTCTCATCTGAAATAAGGCAAGTCTCTTCTGCCTATGAGCCTGTAACATGAAAAGTAAGTTAGTTACTTCCTAGATACAGTGGAGGTACAGGCAGTGGATAAATACACCCATTCCAAATGGGAGAAGTTGGCCAAAATAATGGGACTATAGGCCCCATACAAGGCCAAAATCCAATGGGGCAGTCAAATCTTAAAGTTCCGATATGATCTCCTTTGACCCCATGTCTCACATCCAGACATGACCCCGTGTCTTCCATCATGCTGATGTAAGAGGTGGGCTCCCATGGCCTTAAGCAGCTCCTCCTCTGTGGCTTTGCAGGGTACAGTCCTCACTCCTGGCTGCTTTCATGGGCTGGTGTTAAGTGACTGTGGCTTTTCCAGGCACACAGCACAAGCTGTCAGTAGATCTACCATTCTGGGGTCAGAAGGATGGTGGTCCTCTTCTCACAGCTCCACTAGGCAATGCACCAGTGGAGACTCTGTGTGGAGGCTCCAACCCCACATTTCCCTTCTGCACTGCTGTAACAGAGGTTCTTTATGAGGACCCTACTCCTGCAGCAAACTTCTGTCTGGACATCTAGGGTTTTCCATACATTCCTCTGAAATCTAGGCAGAGGTTCTCAAACCTCAATTCTTGACTTCTGTGCACCTGCAGGCCCAACACCATGTGTAAGCTGCCAAGGGTTGGGGCTTGCGCCCTCTGAAGCAATGGCCTGAGTTGTATGTTGGTTCCTTTTAGCCATGGCTGAGACACAGGGCTCCAAGTGCTCGGACTGCACAAAGCAGCAAGTTCCTGGGCTCAGCCCAGGAAACCACTTTTTTCTCCTATGCCTCAGGGTATGTGATGGGAGGGGCTGCTGTGAAGACCACTGACGTGCCCTGGAGACATGTTCCCCATTGTATTGGCATTTTGCTCCTCATTCCTTATGCAAATTTCTGCAGCCAGCTTGAATTTCTCCTCAGCTCCTCAGAAAATGGGTTTTTCTTTTCCATTGCATCCTCAGGCTGCAAATTTTCCAAACTTTTATGCTCTGCTTCCCTTTGAAACATAAGTTCCAATTCCAAGTCATCTCTTTGTGAATGCATAAAACTGAATGCTTTTAAGAGCATCCAAGTCACCTCTTGAATGCTTTGATGCTTAGAAATTTCTTCTACCAGATACCCTAAATCATCTCTCTCAAGTTCAACATTCCACAGATCTCTAGGACAGGGGCAAAATGCCTCCATTCTCTTTGCTAAAGCATAGCAAGAGTCACCTTTGCTCTAGTTCCCAAGAAGTTCCTCATCTCCACCTGAGACCATCTCAGCCTGGACTTTATTGTCCACACCACTATCAGCATTTTGGTCAAAACCCTTCAACAGATCTCTAGGAAGTTCCAAACTCTCCCAAATCTTCCTGTCTTCTTCTGAGCCCTCCAAACTGTTCCAGTCTGTGCCTGTTACCCAGTTCCAAAGTCGCTTCCACATTTTTGGGTATCTTTATAGCAACATCCCTCTCTCTGCTGTACCAATTTACTATATTAGTTCATTTTTACACTTCTATAAAGAAATACCTGAGACTGAGTAATTTACAAAGGAAAGAGGTTTAATTGACTCACATATCTGCATGGCTGAGGAGGCCTCAGGAAACTTAAAATCATGATGGAAGGCAAAGAGGAAGCAAGGAACTTTCTTCACAAGGCAGCAGGAAGGAGAAGTGCCAAAGGGGGAAAAGCCTCTTATAAAACCATCAGATCTTGTGAGAACTCACTCACTGTCACAAGAACAGCATGGGGGAAACTGCCCCCATGACTCAATTACCTCCACCTGGTCTCTCCCTTGACATGTGGGGATATTGAGGATTATGGGGATTATAATTCAAGATGAGATCTGGGTGGGGACACAAAGCCTAACCATATCACCCTCCTTTCTCCCACAAAACTTAGACCACCTCTGGGGAGAAGGAAAAAATGACAGGGCAAATCTTGAATCAATTGGGTTTAAGTCCGGAAATGACTATGCTTAAAACCATAAATGTCTGCCAAGTTTGGGTTTTTCTGCTGTGAGCAAAAATGAAGACTTGTGTGCTAAGGTGGGTTCAATTACAGGAAAAAAATTTTAAAATTTTGACATTCAGTTCTTAAAATTTTTACTTATTTATAATAATACCTATTAATTTGTCCTTATAATTTATTTTATGCTTAAAAAGGTCTTTACTGTCATGATAGTTCTACTTGCATTTACTTACTGATACACTTAGCTCTTTAATCAAGTTAGAATTTATTTTGGTGTATGTTCTGAGTCTGTGCTCTGATTTTACTTATTTTTCTTACATTAGCTAGCCGATTTGTCTTATACTGCCTTTTTTCTTTTTTTGGCTAACCACTTTATTGAGATACAATTTACAAACTATACAATTTGCCATCGAATGTTAACGGAATTTAGAGTTGTATAACCTTTACCATAATCAATTTTAGAACATGATCATCATCCCCAAAGAAACCCCATACCTTTAACAGTCACTCCTAATTCCTCTGATTGCTTCTTTCCCCAAGCCTCGGCAACCATTAGTCTACTTTTTGTCTCTACAAATTTCCCTGTTCTGGACACTTTGTATAAATGGTGCCATGCAGAGTGGTCCTTTGCATCTGTCTTCCTTCAATTACCATAATGTTTTCAAGGTTTAGCTCTATTGTAGCATATATCAGTCCTTCATTCCTTTTGATGGTCAAATATTCAATTGTGCAAGCATACCACAGCTCATCTACTCACCAATTGTTTCCATTTTTTTTATTATTATGGGGTGTTGTTATTTGGGTTGTTTCTACTTAATGACATTGTGGTTATTATTAATAATTCTCCAACAAATATTCATGTACAAGTTTTTGTGTGGACATATGTTCCATTTCTTTTTTTCTTTTTTTTTGAGACAGAGTCTCGCTCTGTCGCCCAGGCTGGAGTGCAGTGGCGTGGTCTCAGCTCACTGTAAGCCCTGCCTCCCGGGTTCACACCATTCTCCTGCCTCAGCCTCCCAAGTAGCCGGGACTACAGGCACCCGCCACCACGCCCAGCTAATTTTTTGTATTTTTAGTAGAGACAGGGTTTCACCATGTTAGCGAGGATGACCTCATGATCCTCCTGCCTCAGCCTCCCAAAGTGCTGGGATTACAGGTGTGAGTCACCGCGCCCGGCCTCCGTTTCTTATTTGTATTTTTTTGCCCTAGGATATAGATCCTGAATGTTTCATTTCTTTTGGATACATACCTAGGGGTGGAATTTCTGGGTCATATAATAGATCTAATCTAACATTTTGAGGAACCGCTAGGGTGTTTTCTAAAGTGTCTGTACCATTTTACATTCCCATCAGCAGCATGAAGGTTCCAATTTCTCCACATCCTCATCAACATTTGTCACTATCTCTTTCACTAATGCCATCCCAGTGAGCCTAAACTTGTATCTTATTGTGGTTTTGACTTGCATTTTTTAATGACTAATGGAAAGCATCCCTTCGTGTGCTTATTGGCCATTTGCATATCTTGCTGATAGTTTATTTGTGTTTTTATTATTGAGTTGTAAGTATTCTTTACATATTTTAGAGATAATCTCCTTTTTGATATACAATTTTTAAGCATTTTCTCCCATTCTATAGGTTGTCTGTTTACTTTCTTGATGGTTTCCTTTGCAGCACAAGTTTTTAATTTTGATGCAGTCCAATTTATCTATTTTTGTTGTTGTTGCTTATGCTTTTGTTGTTATATCTAAGAAGCCATTTCCTAATCCAAGCCATGAAAATTTACACCTATATTTTTTTCCAATAGTTTTATATATTGAGCTCTTAAATTTAGTTCTCTGATTCATTTTATTTTTTCGTATGTGGTGTAAAGGGTCCAACTTCCTTTTTTGGAAGTTGTCCTGCATCACTTGTTTAAAAGACTATTCTTCCCCCATTGAATGGTTTCTCAACCTTATACAAAAACAATTGAGATATATATATATGGGTTTATCTCTGGACTCAATTCAATTTCATTGATCTATATGTCCATCCTATGTCAGTACCATACTATCTTGATTACTGTAGCTTTTTGGTAAGTTTTGAAATCAGAAGTCTGAGTCCTGCAACTTTGTTCCTTTTCAAAATTGTTTTGGTTATTCTGTGTCTCTTCTATATCCACATGAATTTTAGGATCAGACTGTCAATGTCTGCAAAGAAACCAGATAAAATTTTGATAGCGATCACATTGAATTTGTAGATAAATTTCAAGAGTATTGTGTTACTAGTAATAATAAGTCTTACAGCTTTCCATTTATTTAGATCTTCTTTAGTTTCTTTGAAAAATATTTTGTAGTTTTATATCTTCTATTTTTAAAACAATGTTTTCTCCTATGATTAACTGCCTTTAAATGTTAAAGTCAATCTGGTCCGTTTCTGAGCTCTGATTATACACCATAACCTGTGTCTCTTCTGCACTAATGCTGTACTATTTTACTCATGACAGTTTTGCATCATGCTCTGACATAGGATGAGGAAAGTCTCTCTATACCTCCAATACTTTTTTAAAATAAAAATTTATGTCTTTATTGTCATATTATCTCCCATGTGAATGCCAGAATTATCTTTAATTCCACAAAAAGTTCTACTATGATGTTAATAGGAATTGTATTACGTGCATATATTCATTTAAGGAAATCGACATCTTCGTAGTACTGAGATTTTCCATTCAGGAGTATAATAAGTCTTTTATTTGCTCAACTTTTATGTGTTTCAATAATGTGTTATATTTTTATTTATGGGTTCCTACACATTAAACTTTTTCCTAAGTATTTTTATTATAACATTATCAAAGGTGGCATTTGGGATGAAGATTCTGAGGCTTTTGTGCAGATACCACTAATGTTCCCCTCCTCATTTTCCTGAAGGCTACTTTTATTCTTACTGCCCTAAACTGGTCTAACTTGGAGCTTCTGTTATGGCATCACTGCATTCAAAGAACCCAAACTTGGTTCACTTTTGTACTGGAAGACAGAGATACTATGATTTCTAAATGTAAACCTTGAGGTCAAAGACATACATTCATTTCAGAGACCAGTCAGATTCCTGCCCCCCGCCCCAAAAGTAGTTTATTGGAAACAAGGTGATTATTATCACACTATCTGTGTGGACAGATAGTGCTGTCCACAAACTAGATGTGTTAGCTTTACCCGGTTCCCTGGTTCCCACTGAACACATGGATGACCAAAACATGGTTTTCTTCCCAGAGGCCGGTCTTTAGGGGCACATGCTCTTGGAGACACCACCTGCACAGTTCCATTGGCTTTTGTCCGCTTGCACGTCACCTGCCGACTGTGGTATCCTTCACCGCAAGACACAGAGCACTGTGACCACACACTTGTGAACCACCTAGGAACAAAAACTACAGGACTTTAGTAAGGACTGGTATGCCAGATCTTAGAGGGGGCGTCTCATCAAAGGAAAAAGCTGATCCCAACACCATGGCTATCTTAGGCTGTCACATGTCTCTATGGGAATGGGAAGCAGCACAGATGACTCCCAGCCTTTTTCTCAGACCTTCTTTAACTCGGGAGAAACAGTGTCATCATGTAGAGATGACTACTTTAGGAATGGGGTACAGCTGTCTTCAGGTTTATGAAGAGCTGTTACTTGTGTGGCCCTAGAGGGTAAAGCTGGGGCAAATTTAGGAGGAAATTTCCAAAAGGTGGAGTTCAACTCACTGAAACTAAAATGAAGAAAATATATTTCCAGCATCTAAGTGTTGTTTACCCTGCAAGATACTTACATGTTAGCTTGTATAATTCTCATGTTATTCCCATTCTTGTAGAAAAGAAACGGATGTCCACTGAACTGAATAACTTAGCTATGACCACATGACTAACCTGCCAGCAGAGCTGGGATTGGATTCTAGATTTATCTGACTCTAAAGTTCATGCTTTAATGATTATAGGAGACTGAACTTGGAGCTGGACACCTTTGAGATATTGAGTGCTTTGTCTGTTGGGACAAAGATGCTGTTGGGAGACTGCAGAGCAGGGGTTTCTAACATGATGTCCATGGTTATCCAAGGAAACCACATACTTGGATGGAAAAAGAATTCCGTCTTCATTGTCACTAAGCTCTAACTGAAATTTAATATTTCCTTCAATTATAGAAACATAGGCCACAAGTACAGTAGCATTAATAATACCTGTGATTTTGTTACCAATAGAAATCATAGATATTTACACATTACATTATGACAGGTATCTCAAAATATCATTTATATTCATCACCATATTAAAATTAAAGCACAACTATATCTTGTTATTTTTTGTGTTAATAGAGAAGTAAATCTATATCAGATCTTGTATGTTTGTTTGTTTGTTGTGAGACGGAGTCTCATTCTGTCGCCCAGGCTGGAGTGCAGTGGCGCAACCTCGGCTCACTCCAACCATTGCCTCCCGGGTTCACGCCATTCTCCTGCCTCAGCCTCCCGAGTAGCTGGGACTACAGGTGCCTGCCACCATGGCCGGCTGATTTTTTTGTATTTTTAGTAGGGACGGGGTTTCACCGTGTTAGCCAAGATGTTCTTGATCTCCTGACCTCGTGATCCGCCCGCCTCGGCCTCCCAAAGTGCTGAGATTACAGGCGTGAGCCACTGCGCCCGGCGATATATCAGATCTTTAAAAATATTTCACTAAGTGAACTTCAATATAATTGGTTTCCATTGTAATCAAATGTATTTTATTTTACATATTCAAAAACCTGGTTCTGAGACGGTATCCACAGGCTTCTCCAAACCACCAGAGGGAGCTGTGGCACAGAAATGATGAGAAGCCTTGATGTAGAGGGATCTGGGATTAGATGATCTCTATGGTCTCTTCTAGGTATGAAAGTGTGGGACTGTTTATCCTAGGAGTGTGCAAAGGTTTTAGAATATTCGAGAAACAAGACTGCTGACAGATTTCCCAATGTGGATTCTCTCCGCGTTTTGAAAATCAAGAAATGCCATAAAACAGCTTTCTCAATCAGGTTACTCCAAGTTACTGAAGCATGAGTTTGCTGCTTTCTGAGGGATGACCTTAACATGAGATCTTCCTTTTGAGAATTACAAAGGGTACTGGAAGACCTATCAGTTAGGGTGCCTGCAATATTGATAACCCTCCTAAGAACATGTCCTAAGGAACCTATTTTGCTTTACACTGTGACCCTGCCTCCCACTCTCCTCCAAGGCACTCTTAGAGACTGGATCTAGTGTGGACATCTGCCCAAGGGCAGTGAGCTATATAACATTAAACATTTCTCCAGTTTCTCATCAGTAAAATGTTAGTATCTTCTTCATTGGTTTGTACTCAACAAATGCTTTTTTATTTGTTAATTGTTTTTACTATGGATTTTGGTACTATTTGGTCAACTATCTGCTAGGGTCTGTGTTGTAATCATTCATTCATTGATTTCATAAATATTTATAGGGAGTATATGATGCAGCAGACATTGTGCTAAGTGCTAGGAATAAATTATTGAGCAAAATACCTGTGGATTTACTCCCCATAGAATTTACGGTCTAGTGGGAGAGCAAGACAGACAATTGTGGTAAGAATTATGAAGAATGATAAGGACATATAAAAATCATATAACATAAGGCGTGATTTACTTTGGAGGGCTAAGTTCAGGGATGGTTTCCCTGAGCATGTATTGAGGTATATATAGATGAACAGAAATGATTAAGTGAAGAGAGAGGGGACAGTGTCCTAGGCAGAGGGAGAAGTATGCACAAAGCCTCTGAGTCAGGAAACAGAATAGTATATCTAAGGGACAAAAAAAGACCAGCATGGAAGGAGATCAAATAACCAGTGTGGGAGAGACAAGCGATAAAAGAGATAGCCCAAGGCCCAAATATGAAGGGACTTCAATTCTTCCACTCATTTACTCAGTCAGTCAGCAAATATTTACTAAGCACCTACTATTGCTAGGCACTGTTTCAAACATGAGATAAAAAGATGTACAAGATAGTCACAACCCCAGTGCTGGGAATTTTGGCCTTTGTCCTAAGATAAATGTGTAAATTGCACATGGCATCATTTGCAAAGCAAAAATGTAAAATATATTTTTAGTTGGACACTCAGGATTACAGCTTATTTAAAAATAATTTTTTAAAAGTAGATATATTTACTGAGAACCTCCCAGGTGACAGGTACTGAGTTAGACACTTTATAATCAATTTTTCATTTAATTTTCAAGATCATCTTGTGAAGTCGATATTTTTATTTGCAGAGGTAGAAACCTAATGAAACTAAGAGAACCATCATGATGAATTTGTTTCAAATATCTTTATTCTTAGAGAGTGGACAAAGTACTCCAGAGAGGGAGATAAGAACCAGAAGACTCCTGGAGTAGTCCATGTAAGAAAAAATGACGGCTTGGACTTTAGTGGTAACAGTGGAAATGGACAAGAATGGATGGAAGTGAGAGAAAGAGGGGCATCTAGGATGTAGTCATCAAGATCTGAAATACTGGGGATGGAGTAAGTTTGCTGGAGACCATGAATTTGATTTTGGACATTTAAAAATTACTGATTTGTATTACCTATTGCTTAGAAAGCTTATTAATGGTTTTACCTCCAGGGATCAAGTCTAGAGAACTGTGTTTTTCACTAGTGCCTCTGGTGATTCTGGCCCACTGAATTATCTCCTAAGTAAACCCAAGAAATTAGCCTCACTAAAGTCTTAAAGAACTGACAGGATTGTGTGTGCAGGAAGCAGGTTTGGTTAGTGATTGAGAGCAGGGGCTCTAAAATCAGACTATCACCATTTGAATCCTGGTCCTTATAACTGTATGGCCTAGGGGAGTTTCCCCATCTACGAAACAGGAAATTAACAACATCTACCTCACAGGACACTGTGATCCATGTAAAGCACTTAGCAGGATGCCTAGTATACAGTAAGTGATAAAAAAAACTTAGCTATTGAATTATTATGTCCAAATCACTGCACCTTTCAAAACAAACAAAAACTTGGTGTTGATGAGATACAAAGAGTGACTTCACTTACCTCGCTGGGCAGTCCCGGATGTTACAGGGCTCAAACCCAGCCAGTGGCTTCTGGAGGTGATCACACAGGGCCTCACTCACTTCCTGCCCATTGGCCATCACACACTGGGGTCTCTGAATGCGGGCTCCCAAATGACCACAGGTGGCAGAACAATGTGACCAGTTACCAGGCTCCCAAAAAGGCTCTGCAGAAAGAAAACAAAATATCATGCCAGCCCCAAAAGAGAAATGACGACGAGCTGGAGAAGACATGGCCAAAAACCACCATGAGATGTTTTTTGGTTCTTTAAGTAGCATATGGAGAGAAAGCCATCTCATAGTGCAAGGGAGTCCTCTAAATCTTATTTTCCCTCAACTAATTTACTGTAATAACTGGTGAGAATGGCGGCCAGAATGGGGTCCTTGGACCACAGTCTGGAGAGGGACTATCATCGGCCAGCTGGGTCTGCCAGAAAAATCCCAGAGAGAGAGGAGGCACTCTCAGCAGTGGGCTGCCTCCTCAGTGTTCTCTAACCACAGCCAACAGGACAAGAGAGGAGGGCCTCTCTAGGGGATGCCCTAACGGGTTCAATTTCTCAAAAGTGGATCAGGCAGAGAAATGAAAGATGATTTAGCAGGAGGAACAGGGACTAGGGATTAAGCAGTAAGGTTAAAGATGCATTTGAGTTCTGTTCTTATTTTTCCATTAATTCTTAATCTAAACTTCAGATTGATCCTGTGACTGCATAAATAATTTGTCACAGAGACATCTGAAGAGATAAATGTAGGAGTTTCCTTTACAAGAGTAGAAGCCGACCACCTCCAGTAATCCCAGCTTTTTAAAAATTTTAATCCCTATTCCAAACAGCCTTTCCCTTCCCTGCTGACACTCAGCAAAAGATGAGGTAGGACATGATGATGATGGATTTGTGTGTGATCACAGAAGGTGCCAGATTTTCCTGTAATAATTACAAGTAATTAATAGCTACCAGCTGTGTCCACAGGCTCTCTCACATAGCAGAGTGATTTCTTTCACTTGTTTTCCACTTTTTCCTTCTGATTTTTGAAGTTCGTTTTAAGTTGTACATGGCATCATTTGCAAAGCAAAAATGTAAAATACATTTTTAGTTGGACACTCAGGAATACAGTTTATTTAAAAATAATTTTTTAAAAGTAGATACGTTTACTGAGAACCTCCCAGGTGACAGGAACTGAGTTAGACACTTTATAATCAATTTTTCATTTAATTTTCAAGATCATCTTGTGAAGTTGATATTTTTATTTGCAGAGGTGGAAACTGAATGAAACTGAGTACCTTGCCCAAGGTCTGTCACCTGTTAGCCGGACTGGATCCCAAGTGTGTCTGACTCTATTATGCCACATTTCACAAAGACACCTTGGCAGTTCAAGGCAGGACATGTGCATTTCTTTTAAAATGTGTGTGTTTTTTTAATTGAGGTATAATTCATACACAATAAATTGATTATATCTCAGGTGTGCAGTTTTACAAGGTTTCACAATTGTAAGCACTTACGTAACCATGATCCAAAGCAAGGGATGTAATATTTTCATCATCCCCCTCTTGTCTCTTTCCAATCAATTGCTCTCCCCTCCCAGGCAGCAACTCGTCCATTTCTATCAGTATACATTAGTTTTACTTATTCTTGTACTTCATATAATATGTACTCTTGTGTATTTGGTTTCTTTTTTTTTTTTTTTTTTTGAGACAGAGTCTCACTCTGTCACCCAGGCTGGAGTGTGGTGGCATGATCTCAGCTCAGTGCTGCCTCTGCCTCCCCAGGTTCAAGCGATTCTCCTGCCTCAGCCTCCTGAGAAGCTGGGATTACAGGTGTGCACCACCGCGCCGGGCTCATTTTTGTATTTTCAGTAGAGATGGGGTTTCATCATGTTGGCCAGGCTGGTCTCGAACCCCTGACCTTGTGGTCCACCCGCTTCTGCCTCCCAAAGTGCTGGGATTACAGGTGTGAGCCACTGCGCCCGGCCTTTGGTTTCCTACGTTGCTTAGCATAAGGTTTTTGAGATTCACTCATATCATTGTGCATATCAGTAGTTCATTTCATTTCTTCTATTGCTGAATAATGTTCCCATTGTATAAATCTACCATAGTTTTTAATCTATTCTCCTGTCAATGACTATTATCAATAAGTTGAACATTCATGAACAAAGCTTTTTGTGAACATTTTTTTTTTCGGGTAAATACCTGTGAGTGAAACTGCTAGGTCGAGGGTAGGTGTGCGCTTAACTTTTTTAGGAGCTGCTAAATCGTCTTCCAAAGTGGTCTAAACATTTTACACACTAAGCAATGCATGAGCGTTTCAGTTGCTTCACACTCTTGCCAAAATTTGGCATTGTCAGTCTTTTTGTTTTTAGCTACCCTACTGGGTATGAAATTGTATGTCACTGAGGTTTTAATTTCCATTTCCCTGATGCCATCTATATATCATCTTTTGTGAAACGTCTGTTCAAGTCTGTTGCCCACTGTGTGTGTGTGTGTGTGTGTGTGTGTGTGTGTGTGTGTATGTGTGTGTGGTGGGGGATATTCATTGATAACTTGTGGGAGTTCTTTATATATTCTAGATATAAGTTCTTCATCAGACATATGTTCTGCCAATATTTTTCCCAGTCTATGGCTTATGTATTCATTATTCTTATTGGTGTCTTTGATAAGGAGATCTTTAAAATTTTGATGCGGTCAGTCCAATTTGATAATTTGTTTTTGTTTTCTACTTAGTGCTTTTTGACACAAATGCATTTGAAAAGCAGATCATGCCATATCACTACCATATAAGACTCCTCAATGACCTCCCATGTTTTAGGAGTAAACTCTTGAGTCTTTACCTTGGACCTCAAAGCTCTGAATGATTTGGTCCTCAGCCACTCTCCAACCTCATCTCATATCCCTCTCCCTCTCCCTCAACTGTACCCTAGTCACATGAATCTTATTTCCATTCTGAGGCCACATTAACCTTATTCCAATTTTATGGTCTTTGCTTCTTTCTCATTTTTCTGCACAAATGGTTTCACCTCATCCTTTAGGTCTGGGCTCAAATATAACCTCTTAGAAGGCCCATCCCGACTGTCTTCACTAAAGTGGCTTCCTCCTATCACTGTGTATCTCATAGCCCTTACCACTGAGAAATATCTTAAATACTTATTTGTTTACTGGTTTCTTGTGCATCTTTCCTACTGGAATGTCAAGACCATAAACACCACCCTGTCCAACACTAGGACAGGGTATGTGAAATATTAGCCATGCAAGCAGTATTTGTTAAATTAATAAAGGAGTCTCTTTGAAATGCTAAGCTAAGGATCCTTTGAAGGGCTGGGACATTCCACAATGTGTGTGTGTGTGATTGTATATTTGGGCATGTGTTTGTGTGTGTCTGTGTAGGAGGTGGCAGAACAATGCAAGTAGTCCCAATAAACCAAGAGTTTGACTATTCCAAAGGCTTCACCTTCACCAATAGCTTCAGCCTCACACATATCCTTTTTGTTTTTCATTAATTTATTTTAGGCAGTTCTTTTGATCTTCATGTTCCATGCCACATGCAACACACCATGGTTTCTCTGACTGGAATTTCCTCTTTCCTCTTCCCAGAACAAACATCATGACCTACATGAAAACTCAGTTGACTTCTCTAGAGAGAGGTAGGGCCCCTTCCTCAGTGCTACCATTGTACTTTGGTCATCTTTTTATTATGGAACTTGTCCCAGTGCTTTACAGTATCTGTTTACGTGACTGCCTCCCTCTTCAGACTGTGAGCTTCTCAAGGAGGAGGTCATCTGCAACCCCAGACCTGGGAGGAGTAAGCACTGGGCAATATTTGTTGAATGTCCAATAAATGGATATTTGGGTATACAATAATGTTAGTATTATGTTTAAAAGAGGAGAAGAAATGTGTCATACAAATACTATAAGAGAATGATGTCATAAGTAACGTGATGGATTGCTGATTGGCAGCTCAACACTGTTTTCCCCTTCTGTGCTCTCTCTTGCACCTCAGGAGGTGAAAGCCTAGAAACTACATTTCTTAAAATCTCTACCGGTAGAGTTATATTCTGCATGATACATTATGCAAATGAGAGGCACTTCTCAAGATTTAAAAGGTGAAAATGACGTGGCCATTATTGTTCCTATATAACGAGTACAACATGAGGTTTAAAAGGAGTTTCTTTGTGGCCGGGCACAGTGGCTCACGCCTGTAATCTCAGCACTTTGGGAGGCCAAGGTGGGCGGATCACGAGGTCAGGAGATCGAGATCATCCTGGCTAACACGGTGAAACCTCGTCTCCACTAAAAATACAAAAAATTAGCCGGGCGTGGTGGCGGGTGGCTGTAGTCCCAGCTACTTGGGAGGCTGAGGCAGGAGAATGGCATGAACCTGGGAGGCGGAGCTTGCAGTGAGCTGAGATCACGCCACTGCACTCCAGCCTGGGAGGCAGAGCGAGATTCTGTCTCAAATAAATAAATAAACAAAATAAACAAAATAAAATAACAAAATAATTAAAAAAAGAGTTTGTGTCCTTCTGCGATTTACCCATTTTTGAGCTACAAGGAGCTGAGATGACCAGTAATGGTTTCCTGCGTTTCTAGCATTTCTGATTTTCTTAACTCTGCCTTGATCCCTTGGCCTTCTGCAGAGTTTTATAAGCTTGTAATACTTAGATTAGGTTCTCCTGATTAAGCACTGATGCATAACAAAGTTGGTGTGTATGGAAAACTATGTCTTGAAAAAAGAACAATTAAAAAATCAATTCCAATACTCATAGCAGACTATTAATATCTATTAATATTTACCAAATTGGCAATAGTTTTGAAACTGGAAATCAATATCTATATTATCACAAATAATAGTGCACATTTGAGATATGAGCTCTGTAGGCTTCCTCAGGAGTGGATTTTTCTAAAAAGTGTTTCAATATGGAAAGAATAAGTTGAACCACTAAAGACTGAGGGTCAAGAAAAAGGCTGGCCAAATGCCTAGAAATAATTTTACATATTGCAAAGTGAAAAATACAGATGGTCTTTTAGCTAAATCCTTTTCCTTACACATGCCTCACACATAGCAAATCTGAAAAGGTCAAAATCCCAGACCTTGAGGCGGGGGTTCTCCTGTTGGGTCATTGCTGTTGGTTCTAGTGTTGGTTGCCTGGAGAATGTACTTTTTATGTCCTTGCAGAAATACGATTCTACTCTCTGGCCATCTTCGTTCTGAGGAAAAAAAAAAGTAGCACTTTTACCAGTTAGACATTATCTAATTATTGGTCCAGCTTGGGTGTTCTTAAAGACAGCTATTAGAAAATGAGTCCTCTATAATAATACTGTGCTCCTGGATACTCAAGCTCATGACCACAGGTCTGGGAGGTGTGTATAAGTATGGACGTGTGGGGTGTTATAGAGTTTAGAGTTACTCACTGTGCTAGCATGTGGCATCTCTGCATGTTTCCAGGGTTTCTAGCCTAAATTGCAAGATGAAAAAAATGTATTCAGCAGAATTCCAAAAGGGACTGGAGGAAGCAGATTGGTTGGATAGAGCTCTGCCTCTTAAGAGGAATGCTGGGAGCAAGAGAACGGGCAATGTTCCCTAGGTTTGCATGGTGAGGAGTACGGGCTTTTAGGAAGGTTGTGAAGCTTGCACATAAGAGCAGAGGATGGTGGAGGAATGCCATGATTTGACCTCTCCATCAAGTTACCAAAGTCATGAGCTGCTTGGCTTGAGGGGATTCCTGAGAGAAGAGGTATGCCAGGTAGGAGTGAGACAAGCATGCAGATTCATGAGTGGAAATGGGCAGAAGAAAGAAACAAGGCTGGGGTTTCTCAGGGAGCATGGATAAATCATTCAAGAACCAGACAGGGTTAGCCTAGCCAATCTGTTGCAACTCTTCCATTCGAAGATTTTGGAAGATCACACAGAGGCTTTTTGGAAAGAGCCACGTGGTGGCACACCACTGCCTTTGTCAGTACTAAGAGTCCATGAGGGGTAGCAGGGAGAGCACCAAAAGAGCAGACTACATATTTGGGCACTAGTTCAAACTCTTTATGAGCCCAAGGCTCCTCATAAATACAATGAGATTAAAAAATACCACCCACAACACTGTGCTATCATAAGTATCACAAGAATTAACGCTCATCAAAATGCTTTGTGCATGACAGCTATTCCAACTCCCTGCATTGGCACCCCCTATCTCTTTATATCTCTGGGCTCCTCTAACTGCCCCAAGGAAAGCTATGGAGAAATCTCTTTCATGTTTTTTCCTCTTGGTTTAGCAATGGATTCTATACTCTTATACTAATTTTGCCAATGGTTCAATTTCATTCCTTCATGAAACCATTACTTAACACTAACATCTGACCGGGCGCAGTGGTTCATGCCTGTAACCCCAGCACTTTGGGAGGCCAAGGCGGGCAGATCACGAGGTCAAGAGATTGAGACCATCCTGGCCAACATGGTGAAACCCCATCTCTACTAAAAATACAAAAATTAGCTGGGCATGGTGGTGTGCGCCTATTGTCCCAGCTACTCAGAAGGCTGAGGCAGGAGAATCACTTGAACCCAGGAGGCAGAGGTTGCAGTGAGCCGAGATTGTGCCACTGCACTCCAGCCTGGTGACGGAGCAAGACTCCGTTTAAAAAAAAAAAATCACACACACACACACACAAACACTAACATCTGTGTTAGGTGCTGGGAATACGGGGTGGTAAAATAGGGTGTTAGAATTTAGTGCTCGTTTTTAAGCAGGCAGTGGCAGCAATGGTTAAAACCATCTGATGTCCATCTCGTTCACTCAACTCCAAAATCAACAAAACTGGGGCCTACTTTGTGCATATTACAGGAGGCACTTAAGGAGCAATAAGAATTTGACACTTACCCAGCAAGTGGAGTACAGATGTTGCCACTGCCTTTCCAAGAGCATTGGTGGCTATGCAGACGTAGGTTCCTTCATTTTCAAGGGAAACATTCTGCAACAACAGGGATCCATTGAAAAGCAAGGAAACATTGCCACTCAGAGATCCTCCTCTCTTCAACCAAGTTATATTAGGCTGAGGGACACCTTTGGAACAAAAACAAATATGACAAAGGCAATTCCTTTAAGAACAGGGCCACAGAACCACTTGACAAATACCATTCACTGTTTTGACCGTAAGTCAGCATATGGGTTTAATCATATATAATAGGAAAAATGGCTATTTCTATTTCTATAGCTACTCTATGGCAGATGGAGGATCCTCTTAAAGCAAAGGGCTTTGGTCTACAGGGCATGTGACTGGTTTACACATATAAGTTATGGAATGGAAACCAAGGAGTAGGATTGCTCTGTATTGGGAAGGGAGAGAATTTTGAAGGTGGGTAGGGTAGTGGGAGTGTGGTTGGAAAGAAGGAGTCGGTGAAGCTGGGGGAATGTGGAGGTAGAGACACAGTGAGAAACTCCCAGGGGGTAGGTTGTCACAAGGAAGTCTTTGGAAAACATAAATATTTCCTAGAGGTCTTTAAGTTGTTTGCTGTGCATAAGCAATGAAACATTCCTCCCTCAGGAAGAATATACAACATCCAGGGAAACAGAGTTCATTAATTCTTTGTAAAGGAGGATAACTTCAGGGAGCAAAAGTAAGTGCTGAGTTTCAATTCCGGGTCAATGCAGTGAGATGCAGGGACTGTAAGCAACATTGCAGGAGCCTGGACACAGAGGGGAACATGAGGAATTGAAAGAATTTCTTTCCCCAAGTCTTCAGAAGGCTTAGCATTTTGCTGGGCTTTGGAATTTAAGATTCAGAGGAATAGAGAAATTTCATTTGGTTCTTCTTCTTCTTCTTTGCTTTTTCTTTTTGAGATGGAGGCTCCCTCTGTCACCTAGCCTGGAGTGCAGTGGCACAATCTTGGCTCACTGCAACCTCCTGGGCTCAAGTGACCCTCCCTTCCTCAGCCTCCAAGTAGCTGGGACTACAGGTGCAAGCCATCACACCCAGCTAATTTTTGTAATTTTTGTAAAGACAGGGTTTCATCATGTTCCTCAGGGTCGTCTTGAACTCCTGGGCTCAAGCGATCCCCCGCCTCAGCCTCCCACTGCACCTGACCTCATCTGGCTCTTAAGAGCTGGAATAGCTTCAGATGATGCCAAGATTGCTCTAGACAACTGTTTTGGGGGATGTTTTCTCCTCTTACAGTGCTCTGGTTAGTGAGAATGGAGAAGCCATGGTATGGTTTTCTGACTTAAAAAATAGATGCGACCGCTATTATCATGACATGTGCAACACACCTTACAGTAGGCAAAATGCGTGCTCCATGAACATGGTGACACTTGAATTCTCATAGTTATTCCTATTTCCTGGGAGGCAGTCATTGTTAGCTGTATCTCACAATTGAGGAACCTGGTAAGCCTTTTGACTTCAGGTCCAGTTCTGTCCATTACATCAAGCTGATTATTCAAGTCTCTTAAGGAAGTCATTGTGTGGCTTTGGAGGAAACTGTTATCTAGAAATGCTTAAATTTACTTGTAGAAACCTAAGACTGATATTGGCACTGAAGTATTGCCTGAAAACTCAAGGTGAAAAAAAGACTAAATTTCTATTCAAAGAGGAGGTGGAAATGCATAGGGGGAGCACTATCTTGGCTGGGTTGGGGTGAGGCTTTGTTTTCATTCTCAATAGTTATTAGTTCTGTAGCCTTGGGCAAAGCCCTTTAGATTTCAACTGTGTCGTCTGTGAAAGGAATCTGAAAGAAGAGTAGGAACTTCATTATGTTCAGATATACTATTTGAAGTTTTCAAAATTGGAGTCTGAGATGGTTGCCCTTGGGACTTTTTGTCCTTAATCCTGTGGCTTTGTATGATCCAAGTATGGTAGGCAGAATTCTAAAGACATTGCCCCAAGATTCTCATCCTTTCATTACTCAATCAAATGTCAATCTAGGCACTGGTGTGAAGGAATTTGCAGATGTAATTAAGGTTACTAATCAGTTGGCCTTAAAATGGGGAGATATCTGGTTGGGCCCATTGTAATTCTATAAGTCCCTAAAATCAGAAGAGAAGGACAGAAGCTGTCAGGGACATATGGAGAAAGAGAAAGTAGGAGAGATGAGGCAGAAGAGGAGTTCAGAGAGATTCAAAGTGTCAGAGCAACCTAACCCACCATTGCTAGTTTTAAAGATAAAAGGGACCTGAGCTGGGGAGTGCAGGTGGCCTCTAAAAGCTGAGAGTGGCCTTCAGCTGACAGCTATCAAGAAAATGGGAACTTCAGTTCTAAAATGATAAGGGATTCAGCCAATAACCTGAAGAAGCTTGGAAGCAGATTTATTCCCAGAGCCTCCAAAAAGGAATGCAGCCATGCCACCACCTTGATCTTGGCCTTAGATACTCTAAGTGTAACAGTCAGTTCAGCAATTCTGTGCAACATAGGTGACATAATATATGGGTATTGTTTTAAGCTTCTAAGTTTGTGTTAATTTGTTACAGCAGCAATAGAAAACCAATACACCGAGAGATTTGTTTTAAATATTGTTATAAAAACTAGGCTAGCCCTAAATAGCTGAAGGAATGCTAATCACATGTGCATATATCTTTTTTAGCATTTTCTTCTACACATATACACATACAGAAAGTTTAAGCTTTCTGAAAGGTCACAGCTATTAAACATTGGAGCTGAGATTTATACCAATACAATTTGATTCAGAACCTTTCTTAACCACAACATAGGTAGATGTTATACATCTCTTAATATATTTATTCCAATGCATGTTATAGTTCTTTGTTGTTGCAGTAAACAAGATTTTAAAAAATGTATTTCATAGTTGTTTATTGCCAACACTTAGGAAAGCTATAAGCATCTGCATATTTATCTTGTTTCTAGTCATCTTACTGAACTTTATTATTTTGAATAGTTTTTCTAATTGATTTTCTTGTTTTTTAAGGTAAATAATTATATCATTTGCACATAATGACAATTTTCTCTTCCTTTCCAATATGTATACTTCTGATTTCTTTTTCTTGTCTTATTGTATTAGTGTCTCCAGAACAATGCTGAATAATAACCACTATAGCAGGTACGTTAGACTGAATATTTGTGTCCCTCCCCACCACATCTTGATCTTGGACCTCCTTCAACATGAAAAGCTTAATCTTGGACTTCCCATCCTCCAGAACTGTAAGAAACAAATTTTCTGTTGTTTATAAGCTACTCAGTCTATAGCATTTTTCTTATAGCAGCCCCAGTGGTCTAAGACAGCAGGCATATTTGTCTTGTTTCCAACTTTAATGGGAATATTACTAATGTTTCTTTCTTAAGCATGATGCTTTTTTTGGTATATAAATTTCCTTCTATTTCTAGCCTACAAGAAAATTTCTCAGTCTTTGAGTTTAACATTTAATTTGCTTATTTTAAAGTAAATCATTTAAAGCTGTTAATTTTATTCTGAGTACAGCTTTGGCTACATATCTTATGTTTTGAAATGCAATACAACTATTGCCATTATTTCATTCACTTGAAAAATGTTTATGGAGTGCCTACTCTATGTAAGACTCTGTGGCAATGCTAAGGATATAATGGTAAACTAAGTTCCTCACGGACCTTAATCTAGAGTGGGCCCATGCATCAAAACAGCCAGCTGCAATTCAAAGAGATAAGAGCGTGCAATAAAGGTAAAATACTGGATGCCACTGGAGCACAGAAGCTGTACCTCATGTAGACTGGAGAGAAAGGGAAGATACCTGCAAGGAGGAACATAGAGTGCAGATGTAGGAAAGCATGGGAACAGGAGCAGGAGCCAGACTTTTCATGGTATAGTGCCTTGTTTTTTGATTGAATGTATTACCTGGATCACCTATCCCCAACTTTTAAAAAGTTAATAATGGAGCTCAGAAACAACTTTGATTTAACTTCTTGTTAAATTTTCTCTTGGGGTCCCTTTTAGCTCTAAGATATGTGTGAGATCAATTCATTCATTCATCCATCTATTCTTTCATATATTATTTAATTCACTCTCATTATTCACTCTCTATGACCAGAATTCTTTTATAGCATTATTACTGCATTAATCTCAGTTCTCCACAGCAGATCATGAGTATAGGCCTGGCAAAGATTAGATGTGTGAATGTTTGCTGAATGCATAAATGAATAAACTAGGGAATGCATTTACTAGAAGAAAACCATATTCTATCCCAAAGATACATCAGCGTGACTTTTTTGGTTATTCATACCAATGCTCTCTTCCAAGCAGCAAAGATAATAAAGCACTGACTGTATAGTAAAATCCTCATAAACTCAGACACTATTATTTTGGAATCTATGGTAATTTAGAGAAGGGCTATACTAGCTAGGAAGAGAAAAAAATCTCCTTACATATTTGAGGGCAAAAGTGCAAATCATTTCAGAAATTCCTTCAAATACTTCACTGGCCTCCACAACATATACACAATTGTTATGTGAGTATAAATCGACATTTATAAATTAAAGTGGTTGCCTTTAAGACCCTAAGCAATTCTCGCTTAAATGACTGAACATTTCTAAAAGCAATTCATAGACTTGAAAGCATTTTACAATTCAGGGATGTTTATTAATTCAGACTTGCCTCTTACAATCAGTCCAAATTAGTGAGGTTTTCTCAAGACATAAAGCCTCTTACAGTGAAAGACCCTAAACAATCTCAGATACATTGGCTTATTCATTATTCCTCCACGGTAAGAAGCTGGTAAGCGGTGCTGTCAATTCTACATTGAAACAAGGTTTACCAGAGGCCTTCAGCCAGGCTAAACAAGCTGTGTGGAGATCTCCAGGGAGAGCATTTCCGGCAGAGGGAACAGCAAGTACCTTGGCCCTGAAACGGGGTCCTCAACCCGGGGACCATGAGACTCACGTGGGTCCACAGATAGGATTCAGGAGTCGGTGACCTTTTCACCAACTCTAGTTGAAATGTAGCACTTCTATCAATTATGAATGTAAGCACAGACCAAGGTAGTAGTATCTTTAACTCTCTCACCAATGGAAGTCACAGATATTTTCGTATCACATTACAAGTGTGACCAGCTCTCTCAAAATATTTTTTATGCCAACACTACTTCAAAAATATGGTAACTATTGGACCCAATGCTAGATTTTGAATTTGATGCATTAGTAATGAAGTACATATATTATTCGATCACACATTTGGTTTATTAATATTTTGATACCTATATTTTTATTATAATTGGTTTTCTTTAAATGCAGTATATTTTATTTTATACCTTTGAAAATATTATTTCAGAAGTAGTACCATAGGCTTCATCAGACTGGTCCAGGACACATTCCTCCAATTTTGGAGGAAAGTAAAAGAGCATGTGGCTGCAGGGATGTGAGCCAGGAAAAGAGCAGTAGGTGACAAGGTCAGAGAAGTGGCAGGTGGGGCTCAGGTCATAGCCTGATAGGTCATCGTAAGGCTTTGGTTTCTATTCCAAAGATTTTGAAGAATGGCATGAGCTGACTTGTGTTTCTAAAGGACTGCTTTGACAGCTATGTTGATTGCAGGGGGCAAGGGCAGAGGCAGGGAGACCAGTGAGGAACCTGTCAAGATAATCCAGCCTAGAGATGACGGTGACTTGGACCAGTGTAGTGGCAATGAACGTGGTAAGAGACGGTCAGATTCTGGGCCTATTCTGAAGGTAGAGCAGACAAAATTTGATGGGGGTGGGGTAGTGTGAGAGAGGAAAGCGAGTAAAAACCGACTCCAGGATTTGTGGCTCAAGCAAATTAAATAACTGCCTTGTCATTCACTGAGATGAGGGACACTATGAGAGAAGTAAGTTTGGGAGCAGAACTCAGGAGAGCAGTTTTGGACATGTTAAGTTTGAAATAACTATTACATATCCACGGAGAGATGCTGAGCAGGCATGTGGACATGTTAATCTAGAGCTTAGGGGAAAGGTCTGTGCTGAAAATATAAATTTAACAGTTTCCAGCATACAGATGTCATATTTGAGTCCTTCTGCAGGTATGGGACCAATAGGGAGAGAGTATATATAGAGAAGAGAAAACGTCTGAGGACTGAGGCCTCGGGTAGTTCAACTTAGAGATCAGGGACAAGAGGTGGGACAAAGGAGGCTACACAGGAACAGATACTATGGTAGGTAGAAAACAAAGTGGTTTCCTCAAAGCAGAGAAGGAGGGCGTAGCAACTGTCCAATGCTAGTGTAGTCAAACGAGCAAGTAAGGTAAGGCCTAAGAACTCACCACGGGGCCTGGTGTGGTGGCTCACACCTGTAATCTCAGCATTGTGGGAGGCCGAGGTGGGCAGATCACCTGCGGTCAGGAGTTCGAGGCCAGCCTGGGCAACATGGTGAAACCCTGTCTCTACTAAAAATACAAAAAACATTTAGCCTGTAATCCCAGCTTCTCGGGAGGCTGAGGCAGGAGAATTGCTTGAACCCAGGAGGTAGAGGTTGCAGTGAGCCAAGATCACACCACTGCACTCCAGCCTGGGCAACAGAGTGAGAATCTGTCTCAAAAAACAAACAAACAAACCTGACAACTGAAGTTAGCAATTCACACTTACATGGTAAGCTGTTGGTGACCTTGACAATAGCTATGAAGGTAATGGTATGGAGAATGTTTGGTTGGAGTGGATTCAAGAGAGAATGAAGAGAAATGAAATTGAAGACAGCAAGTATAAACTACTCTTGAGGCACTTTGCTATAAATGGAAATCAAGAACTAAGGCAATAGCTGGAGAGGGAAGTGGAGTCCAGGGCAGGGAATTTAGGGATGGCTTTGCTCACCTGGAATACTTATCTCATCTCCCTATTTCCACCCTTGCCTTCCTTTTACTCTCTGATTTTTTACAGTCTATTTTCAACACAATAGCCATAGTATTTCTTCTAAAAGGTAGCTCAGATCATGACACTCCTTTGCTTAGAATCCTCTAATGGCTTCCATCTCACTTAGAACAAAAAATAAACTGCTTATGATGTTTTATGATCTGCTAACATACATGGTCTTCCCTCAACCCTTGCCCACCAACCACCTCAAAACACAGAAAAAAAACAGAGCCAGAGAGAGATGGATTTTTATTTTTTTAGTGATGGGGTCTCACTGGGCTGGAGTGCAGTGGCTATGCACAGGCATGATCATAGCATACGGAAGCTTCAAACTTCTGGGCTCCAGGGATCCTCCCATCTCAGCCTCCTGAATAGCTGGAACTATAGGTATGCATCATTGTGCCTGGCTAAGGGGTGGATTCTTGACTAAATCATTTAAGTTCCTGAATCCAGATGTATCTAAAATTATGTCCAGAGTGTCTACACTCCAGAACTTTTCGGTTTTATTAGCCAATAGTTCCTCCATTTTTTCTTAAGCCAGTTCGAGGTGGTTCTCTGTTCCACGTGACCATGGGAGTCTAGACTAAAAACTAAGGTATGAAAACAACCAAGATGGCCAAACAGCCATGCCAGCGCAAGCTTCTCAGAACAAACTGACAAAGTTACATTCCAAAAGAAAATGTCAGAAATAGGAAGTTTGAAATGAAGAGCACAGGACCACACCAGAGTACAGGACCAAGTCCTTCCTTCACACTACACACTGTCCCAGGGGCCATTTCATCTACTTTGGGAAATATAGTGATAATTCCTATGCTGAAAACTCCCACATCTACCTATCCAGTCTTAATCTCTCCCTTGAATTCAAGACTCCTGGACATCTCCCATTGGCACAACATGTCCCACAGGCACCTCAAACTCCGTAAGTCCCATAGTGAACTCCAACTCCCTCTCCTACCCCACAGGTCTGTTCAGCACCTAGAAGCATCGTTACACGTGTAAACATTTTCAAAGAACTGAACAGGCCAGAGGAAATTCAGACAGATTTCTTCGCACCACTGCTCTTTATGGTGTTTCAAAATAACACATTTGCTCTGTTGCAACAGCTATAAAACGTCAGAAATAGTTTAAACTTATTTATCTAACCTTAAAGACAGGCTATTTCCCCCAAGACTTGCAGCTCTGATATATTCAACATTCTGTTTCCACAATGCTGAAATTGTTTTGGAAGACAAATGTTGTGGAAAAAAGTTCAGAGCCGGAGGGGCTGTGAAACATGTGTTGCAAAAAGTTTGCACCTCGGGGGTGTCTTTAAACTAGTCAGTGTTTAAAAACAAATTTCCTTCATCCTTGAAAGGCCCATGAAATATTCCACACTATAAATCCCTGGCCTGTTCAGACTGCCCTGAAATGCTGGATCTTTAAATAAATATATATTATACCTATATTTTTTTCTCATGTTTGTTTCTTCCAGCTACTCAAAACTCACTCAGAATTCTGCATTACTTTTTCATATACGACAAATGAAGATTTAAGCTACCATCAGTTATCTCTGGGGAATCATGAAGAAATGATGTTGCCAATTTATAAAAGGCAAATCAAACACAGGATAGACAAAGGGAGTCATCACTAATAAATGAAAGAAAGAAATAAGAGTTCAAGGGTTCAGTGTCAGAGAAAGTATCTCAAAGCTACTAGAATAATGAATGCACTCTTCTTAACTGCAGGGCCAATCTGTGCAGCAGAGTAAATTTTGTAAGGAACGTTCCTCTTCTGAGTTAACTGCATACCCTTTTGTTCTTTTTGAAAAATACGTTATGTATGCTTTTTGGATACAATGGACTATCCATCATTGATGCCATATCCAGAACTGTCTCCAAATAGAGGGCTCTGGCTTTTACTATTTA
Organism: Homo sapiens; assembly: GCF_000001405.40. Classification (NCBI taxonomy): domain Eukaryota; kingdom Metazoa; phylum Chordata; class Mammalia; order Primates; family Hominidae; genus Homo; species Homo sapiens. Next base: position 84,005,912 of record NC_000015.10, on the reverse strand, counting down.
CAGAATTCTCTTGAATAGCTGTTTAAGTACTTTCTTTTCTCTAGTAAACTCATGTTTAGATTGACATAATCTGTTCCCCAATCAATTTGATTTCTGAGGATTTAGAAATCATCTGGGTCATAGTATCTATTCCCAACTCCATCATTAAAAGTCCTTCCCTAAAGGTTTTGAACTGTGTTTCTTCTGACATGGAGAAGAGTGTCAACAAGTCCTCTTCCTGGTGTGGTCATTCTCATCTCTCACGTACCCTGGGCTTCTGCTTTGCGCGAGCCTGGGCAGTTCTTTAACGCCACCAGACATATCTCATGAGCACCACACAGTTCACTGCTGGATATTGTCCTCCAGAGTCTTATTTATAGGCTAGAAAGTGCCAGTGAAAATTATTATATCAAAACCAAAAACCTTCAGTAGTTCCTTGAAGAAGAAAGTCAAGAGTTGGTGCAAATCAAGCATAGCGATACATGCTGGAGCTATGCAAGTGGTGTAAACTACTGATTCCAGTAAAGGGGATAGGAGGAACTCCTAAACAGCAGCTCAAAGGGAGAACCATGGACATTCCTGAGGCCCTTCCTGATAATCAGCAATTCTGGTAATCTATCAAGATAACATTGGGATATAGATGAACAAATAGCTATTAGCCAGTTAAAAATATTAGTTATTTGGAGATCATGCACCAAAATCTCCAAGTGGATTCCACTGCTATCACCAGCAAAACCCCAGAGGACTATGTGTGGGCTGCTGGTGTCTTGGGGTGACATCTCAAGGCCGTGTTGATTCCCCAGGACTCCATTTCCTCTTTCCTTAAACCACTAACTCTTGCCTTTGGTTCTTCTGAGCTGCACCTCTCACTCTATTTCTGGGGGGTCTTTTCTCCTCAGGAATGGTAGGGAGTAAGAGTCAGTTTTCTTAGCTCTATAGCCTTTCCTGTTCTTGGAGGAGAAAAGCACAAAAGCCTTTTCAATTTAGGGGAGTCACTGCTAAGAACAGCTATCCTCCAGCCCGGGAACTGCACTGTTCTCCAAACACACCACACTGGCTGTAAAGCTGTTCTATGTGCTGTTCTCGCCATTGCAGATCATTTGCTATTCCCTTTCACCACCTGGAACATTTCTCCTCATTCTTAAAGACGCATCTCAAAATCACTTCCTTGATCCTCTTGGACATTGACAGCTGATTTCTCCTGTGTGAACCTTTGAACACTGAGGCATCAATTGTTGGCATGCCTGATTCTACCTTCAGAATGAGCCCAGAGCATGGAGCTGGGTTCTACCATTTAGCCCCCGCTTTTAGTTCACTCCCAGTTACCCACTCCTGGTTCACTCCTAATTTGAGTTTACTCCTGTTTACTCACTCCTGGTTAATTCTAGTTTACTCCTGATTACTCACTCCTGGTTCACTCCTGGTTTACTCCTGGTTTACTCCTGGTTCTAGTTGACCTCTGGTTACCCACTAATTCCTGAGGAAGAGTCTCTCATTTTGAGAGGATATTTGAGATAATTTCCAGGGACCTCTTTGGCCCCATTTACTGGCTAAATCAGTGGTTCTTAACCTTGGCTGCACATTAGAATCTTCTGGCGAAGCTTTAAAAATCCTTGGTTCTCAGGACATACTGCCGATGAATTAAATCAGAATCTCTCAGGGCAGGGCTGGGGAGATGTTGTGGTGTCCAGGCCTGAACTGACATTAACCAAAATAATAAAATGACCTGACTGTAGTATGTGTCAGTCATCAAAATGAATAACTGGGTATTGAATTAATAACTAGGGGAAATAAATGAATGAAAAGAAAAAAAACAGGGTTATATAAGTTGGGATGTTACTAGAGAGGCCAAAATTCTACACAGGTCCTATGGGGCTCTTCCCATAAAGGAGTGTTTTTCTTCCATTAACAAGGTCCTGCATGGTTTTCTCAGACTGTACTCAGAAGCTTGCATGCTTTCTTATTTCCGGGGGTTGAATTCCAACAAAATTCCCTTTCCCTCAGTCCCCACCCTGTGTGGGTGCTGTGGGCCTCTCGGTCTTGCTGTGAAGGCATAGTTAGGTCATAGCAGCCGGAATGAACTAGTGGGTCATTCAGGGGCTTCTGACGGTTCCCTGTGTTTTATAATGGATGCTGTTCCATGCTGCACACTTGTCCTGTGCTCTCTGCTGCTGCCTGGGGGTCTCAGCACACAGAACCAAAAGCAGAGAGTCTTGGAGGGCAGAGAGCAAGCAAAGGCATTTCTTACAGTATAAGTAGATTTGAGTGGTATAGGGCATTCAAAACCCTTCACTTTTACTGCCTGGTATGAAAAGCTTCCCAATTGCTATCAAATCTCATACAGGTTTGGGAAACTCCGGACTAGCCACTCTGGCTCCTGCTCTGACACCAATACGAGGAGCCAAGGGAACACAGGCCAGCCAGGAGGCACCACTCAGAGACTCATGGAATTAAAGCAACTCATTTCTTTAGAAGCCTGGACTTCAGAAGATCACTGAGGAAAGAGCTTCTGTCCAAGAGCAGAGGAGGATACGAGGCTCCTGCCCTGTGGATTGTACAGGTGTTTAGTGCACCATCTCACAGGCTCAACAGGACTGATCCAGGGCCATTTTATTAATGTTAAAACTTAGGGGAGCTAAATGAGTCTTAATATCAGAAATATGGTAACCAAGAAAAAGTGGGAGGCCAGGCACCGTGGCTCCCACCTGTAATCTCAGTACTTTGGGAGGCTGAGGTAGGAGGGTTGCTTGAGCCTAGGAGTTCTAAACCAGCCTTGGCAGCACAGCGAGACCTCTGTCTCTACAAGAAAAAAAAAAATTAGTCAGATGTGGTGGTGCATGGCTGTAGTCTCAAGGGGCTAAGGCAGGAGGATCGCCTTAGCACAGGAGTTTGAGGCTGCAGTGAGCTATGATCATGCCACTGCATGGCACTGCAGTGGCACTCCAGCTTGGGCAAGAATGAAGCACTGTCTCTAAGCCAAAAAAAAAAAAAAAAAAAGAAAAGAAAAGAAAAGAAAGAAAAAAGAGAGATTATGGAGGTGAAATCTATTTGAAATCTTAAATAAGATATCATTATGGAGTGTTCATATGTTCTTTTGGCAGTAGGAATCTGCCATGGTCACAGGAATCCATGACTTTCAAACATTAGTATCAGAACAAGTTCTTTAAAATTTTTTTTATAAGAAAGTCCGATTCATAAAATTGCAAAGCATAGAGGTCTTTTGGTTGGGTTATATGTTGGGGGACGGGGAACAGGTAGGGTAGAAGGGGAAGGCTGGGTCCTTGACAAGGCTCCATGGAATCTATAGTCTGAAAACCATTGGTTTACCCATTGGTCTAATGATGGTGCATGGAAGAAAGGTGCATGGTTGTTTGGAGGATAGGGAATGGGTGGGCACACAATGTGGAACTACATGATGACAATATATGGGGCCTTTTGGGTCAGTCTGTTGTTACCATGTGATAGGTTAAACATTAACATGGGGCTGAGTGACTGTGGAGTTTTCAGGACAGAGAAATGTACTGGTGGCACTGAAGACAGGGATGGGGTATAGATTTTGGGGATGAAAGCAGTGTTGTTAACAATAGGACTGGACCATCAAGGCTGTACTTGAATGCTTCAAGACATGGCGACACTCAATACATGTAGACCCATAAGCCAAAGCACAAGGTTTTTTGCAATGAAGTCTGAAATTTGATAGGTGTTTGAAGAGCCCCTCCTGTTTTTTCGTATTGCATATCCAGCTAACTTATTCTAGATTTCTTTCTACTTCTTGATTGTATACAGGCCCATGTTTTCACCACATGAGAAACTGAGATTGATAAAAAATGCAAAGAAAATCATTTTTTCAAGAAGCACTCAAAATAGAGCTTCAGTGAATCTTTAAAGAGCAGATAATTGTTTTATAAATGAGTCTTTTTAATCTGCTAAATCAATAATCCAAATACAAGTCCAAAGAGATTTGGGGCAAATATATTAAGGGTGAGGTGAGGGAGTCCATAGTCACTACCAGACAGTGCATAATTTGCCACATTCTTTCCCACTGCTGCAGTGATGGCAGAAGCATGTGTCAAGGTCATGTGCCTGGTTGAGCACAATGGGCCAACCTTTGGCCTGATACTGGCTGGCATCTTGTGGCCCAGCAAGAGGCCAGGCTCCCAGTGTACTCTCCCTGGATCTCATACCATGGGGCAGTCCTCAGGTGAGGTTGAGCCCTGGAGGTTGAGCCTGTTGCCCACCCCTAAGCCAATGACACTCTGTCACCAGGCTGCAGCACTTCCTAGGTTCTGCCTCACACCTCGCTTTGACAGTCTTCTCTCTGGTCAGACCTCCTGCGTGGTGCCTATTCTGCTGTCTCAAACACAGTTTCATTCTCTGTCTAGCTCCTTTGGAGTCACACAGGATTGGGTTTAAATCTTGGTATACACACTCATTAGGTACATAAACAAAGACAAGTAACTGTGTGTATCTGAGTTTGCTTCCTTATCTGCAAAACAAATATAATATCCACTTTGTATGCTGTTGAAGCCAATACACATTAGGAGCTCAAGTTATTGTTATTTTTGATGATGAGCTTTGATGGTTTTCCAACATGTTATTTATTGACATGCTGCCTATTAGCACATACTCCTCAGCTCTTTGCAATATGGCTGCCCTCCATGCATGACTCTACTTGTCAACACCCTAGCCCTAGCCTCGGGACACCTGTGTCCCACACCCTCAATTAATGACGCATCCGTTGCTAAATGCCAGATATGTCTGCTGACTCCTGGATAAATCAGATACATGTAACGTCAGCTTAATATCTTGAGTGACTGGCAGGCTTTTTGGGGTCCAATAATCCAATCAATGACCATTGATGCAATTTAGTTGCGTTCAATTTACAGCTTTCTGCAGCTTCTTTCTCCTCTAATTTTTCATCCATTTTGAAATACAGATTGGTTCACACCATTACCCTGCTCAAAATGTTTCTTGTCTCCTCTTTGCCAATAAAATGAAGTCCATCGGTTTCAGCATGACATTAAAGCCCTTCACATTCTGGTCCACACTTACACTTCCAAACCTACCTCTTCCCACTCCCCTTCACATCCTCTGCTTTAAGTCACACAGATCTGCTTGTGATGTTGCAAGTAAGCAGGGTGCTTTCATGTTTCCGTGCTTTTGCATATATGCTGCTTTGATTAAAATGCCCTTCCTTTTTGTTACAAGTGGGCTGGTTGCAATTCATCTTTTTAATAAACCTTTTCTGACTCCTTAGTTAGAAGCCTTAATTAGTCTCTCCTTAATGTGTCTGATACACTTCACAAACACTTCTATTTTTGCATTATGACATCATATCATAATTCCTTTGTCTATATAGCTGCAGAAACCAGATTGTATTCATCTCTGCATGCTAAGGAACTAGACTGGGCTTAGTAAATGCTTAGTGAATGCTTGTTGAAGGGAAGAAAAGATGGATGGAATTTCCAACCATCTATGATTGGCTGTTTGACTGAATATAGGGTTAAGAGAGGATAGTGGGAAGATTTCTGTATCATAGACAGAGGAAGGAAAAAAGGGGAAGGGGAGCCTTTTTGAGTAGGGAAAGACATTTTAAATATACATTTCAAAATGACAATTTTAGCTATTTCAAAGATTGTATATGAGTTTTAAAAAGAGATAACAGTATAGAAGAGAGGATATATTTCAAAAACCACAGATCAGGGGAAATAAATTCACTGTAATTTAGAATATAGTCAAAAGCACCAAAATGTCCAGTTCATAAAACAAGAGCAAGCAGATAATCTTAGATTTCTTTTTAAGTCTTCTGAAAAGTATATGCAAAAACTGGTGGGTAAATACATTTTTCTGGAGAGATAGTTCTTTTTTTTTTTTGGCCAAAGGGATTTATGACTTAAAGACATATGAGAATCACTACCATTAAATTCCACCCTATATAATATAAACTAGCAGTTGATAGGGGAAAATAATTGTCAGAGCAATGAGACCATGTTTAGGAATTTAACCACATAATCCTGCTGCACCACAAATATTTTCTCAAGATCCTCCCCTGAAAGGGTAATTGTTAAACCCAGTAAAGAAAGTTAATAATTCGCCTAGACATCAATAAAATTCTTAGGTATATTCCACAGCATTTTATCCCTTAAAAAAAATCCCGATTAAGAAAATCCTTTTAAGTTTATGTGATATGTTTCTTCTGAAACTGACCATCCTCCCATAGATATCAAAGGGCCTCCTTGCCTCCACATACCTCTTGGAGCACCAAGTGCCCTGCTTTGACCCAGTGAGATGCTCACTTCCCATCATTTGTTTGTGCATGCACCGTGTGGAATTAATCAGGAAACTGTAACTTCTACCTACCTTTTCTCATTCTCTCCTATCAATGAGCAGCAACAATGACAGGGGGCGGGTAGGGTTTAAAAATACCCCGCTAGTAGATTCAGACTTCCTAGCTGGCAATTTGGCGATAATGTATTTAGAATTCTAGACATTTTAATTTTAATGCCCTATTTAGTTACAAAAATGTTGAATGTCCTGTGACCTAACAATTCCATTCCTGTTACTCTTTTTTAAAAAAATAATCCAAATGACACAAAAAGTTATATGCATAAGAAGGTTTCTTACACTGCTGTATGGAACTGTAAAGAAGTACAAATGGTTTAAGTTTCCAAAAACAAGAGAAGGGTTTATTTATGCTACATTCACACAATGATACACTGGTGTGGCTATTAAATGATATTTATGAATTTTTAATAACATGAGAAAATTCCATGACTTAGAGAAAGGGTTACAGGAATATAACAAAATAGAAATAATGGTTGTGTCTTTGACAGGATTATGGGAATTTTTTTTTGCCTCATGATACTTTGCTATGCTTTCCAAATATTTTATAATGAGATGTGTTACTTTTTATGAGACAAGAAAACACACAAAAGCAGCATTCAGAACAGAAAGGGCACTAGCTTCAGAGGCAGTAACTGGGTTCGGAACTTGGCCTTGCCATTGTCTAGGCCTGTTACTTTGGTCAAGCCTCTTCTCTGGGGACCTTGTGTGCAAAACAGGGCTGGACTCATGGATTCCTAAGGTCCTTCCATATTTAATTCTCAAGATTTTATTTCAGTAAGATCTTATCTAGTTATCTCAGGGAAAATCTCTTTCCCTGTTTATTCTTCATCCCTTTTTGGAGGCAAGAAGGGGCCTGATCAAGGCTGGGAAACACAGGGCTGTGGCTGGCATCCAGACATCTAGAAAGAGCTGTGCGTTCTGAGGCCATGAGGACATGAACAAGACCTGAGTCATTTCCATCTAAGGCTGTTCAAATCCCCTCAAAGTACCCTTTCTACTTACTTTCCCCCCAGTGAACTTGTTTTACCTTCAACATTAGCTTTTACGTAAGTAAGAGGCTTTTTCAAATTTATCAAATTCTGGTTTCATTGATTTACAGACTCTTTTATTATTTGATTCCTTTCTTTTTTTCCTTTTTTCGAAATGGAGTCTCGCTCTGTCGCCCAGGCTGGAGTGCAGTGGCACTATCTCGGCTCACTGCAACCTCCGCCTCTCGGGTTCAAGCAATTCTTGAACCTCAGCCTCCCGAGTAACTGGGATTACAGGCATGCACCACTATGCCCAGCTAATTTTTGTATTTTTAGTGGAGACACGGTTTTACCATGTTGGCCAGGCTGGTCAACCCCTGACCTCAGGTGATCCGCCCACCTTGGCTTCCCAAAGTGCTGGGATTACAGGTGTCAGCCTATTTAGTTCCTTTCTTTTTACTACAACTATAGTTTTCAAGTCATCATATAGGTAACTGGATTTTTCATGGGCTGATATTGCAGCTCCAAGAACTCCTTTGTAAAGGACATTGTGTCTACGTATTTTGAGAGAGTTTTTTTGTTTTTTTTTTTTCTTCCTAGATTCCCTCCCAATACTAGGTGAGGACTCTTGGCACTCAGTTCTAAGTCCTGACTGGCCAGGTATCTTAGTTCAAGCACTTTTTCTACATTTACTTTTATTTTGTCCCAGATTCCTGCAAAGGACCAATGGTCCAAGATAGAATTTCAGGACTGGAAACAGTCTTCCTGGTCATCCCATCATAATTCCTCATTTTATAACAGAAAACCAAGGAGCAAGGAAACTATGTGATAGGTCCAAGGTCTTACAGGAAACAGGGCTAGGAGGTGAACAACAACAACAACAAAACAATGTAACTGATAACCACATGTCAAAAAAAAGTCCATTCTCCAAAATTAATGGACATTAATAGTTGCTATATTTGCTTAAAAATTAATGGACATTAATATTTGCTATATTTGCTTCAGTTTTGTTTTGTTTTGTTTTGTTTTTTGAGACGGAGTCTTATTCTTGTTGCCCGGGCTGGAGAGCAATGGCACAATCTCAGCTCACTGCAGCCTCTGCCTCCCAGGTTCAAGCGATTCTCCTGCCTCAGCCTCCCAAGTAGCTGGGATTACAGGCATGTGCCACCACACCTGGCTAATTTTTTGTATTTTTAGTAGAGACAGGGTTTCATCATATTGGCCAGGCTGGTCTCAAACTTCTGACCTCAGGTGATCCACCTGCCTCGACTTCCCAAAGTGCTGGGATTACAGGTGTGAGCCACTGTGCCCAGCCGCTTCAGACCTTTTTTAAGCAATAAAGGATTACAGCTAGAGCTAAAGTTCTATCCCCAAACTTTTCTTCTTTTGTCTCCCAGGAGAACCAACAATCCTGACACTGGTATGTATCCTTCTCTCTCTCTGCTTTTACAAACAATGTTACAATGCACTCTTGAAACTCTCTTTGCAAAAACAGGGCTATATCCACAAGTGAAATGTCTGGTTTTGAGCATCTTTGACTTGATCAGATTTTACAAAATTGTTCTCTAAATTGGTTCATTACATATACACTGTGACCAGCAGTGTATGATGTCCTATTTCTCCATGCTCTTGCCAACCCTTGGTAGTGCCAACTTTTGCCCAATAGATATGAAATGGAATCTCACTTCTATTTTAATTTCCTTAGCAGTGAGGACATTTTCCCTACCAGTGTGGAAATGAGAACATTTTCATATGCCATTATTGGCTATTAGGGTTTCACTTTCTGACAATTGCCTGTTCATATCTTTTGCTCTTTTTTTTTTTTTTTTTTTTTTTTTTTGAGGCAGAGTCTCGCTCTGTTGCCCAGGCTGGAGTGCAGTGGTGCAATCTCTGCTCACTGCAACCTCCGCCTCCTGGGTTCACACCATTCTCCTGCCTCAGCCTCCCAAGTAGCTGGGACTACAGGCACCCACCACCACGCCCAGCTAATTTTTTGTATTTTTAGTAGAGACAGGGTTTCACCATGTTAGCCAGGATGGTCTCGATTTCCTGACCTCATGATCTGCCTGCCTCGGCCTCCCAAAGTGCTGGGATTACAGGCATGAGCCACCGCGCCCGGACTGCTCATTTTTATATTGAGTGGTTTATTTGTATTGATTCAGAGAAGCTATTTCTATATTCTGGTACTATATAACAAATATTTTCTGCCAGAAATGTGGCTTGACTTTTAAATTTATTGACAATGTCTTTCAGGGATCAGAACTTTTATATCTTAACAGCAAAGTGTGTCAATGTTTTTTATAACAGCTTATTGAAATATAATTAATAAACCAAAAAGTTCACCCTTTAAAAGTATAACTCTGTAGTTCTAATATATTCACAGAGTTGTGCAACCCCATCATCACTATACAATAGATGTTTTACTTTATGACTTGTATTTTTTGTATCTTTTCCATTCCAAAGTCATAAAGACATCTCTTATATTTTATGATTTTTAAAAATATGTTCATATTTTAGGCACTTAAATCAATTAGAATTTATTTTTGGTTGAGTTTTTTATATTTATAAACAATTATCCTATAACAATTTACTTACTAGTCTGTCCTTTATTGGTTTTTAATTCTACTGCTATTAAATTTTAGTTTCCATATACTGTATGCTTGAATCTGCTGTGGGCTCCGCATTCTGTTCCATTTATTTGTCTATCCCTCTTACACTGCTGTAAGCCCTCAAGCTTTATGCTAAGTCTTTATATTTGATAGAGCAAATCTCACCCACCTTGTTATTCTTAAAAAATGTTTGGGCTATTCTCAGCCATATGTGCTTTCATATTAATTATAGGATCAGTTTGTTCTAGCAATCCTACAGGATTGCTTTTTTTATTGAAATTATTCTGAATGTAGAGATCCAAAACTTTGTATATTTTCTTTGCTTTTAAATGGGGATAATTATATTATCTATAAATAAGAAGAAATTTTTGTAGTTATTTTCTAGTTTTTATATTTCTAGTTTTGTATAATTTTTCTAGTTATCTAGTCTTGGTTTCTAATTTTCTAGTTCTAATTTTTCTATTTATTTTATCTTATTGCACTGGCTAGTGCTAACGCAGTGTTGAACAGATATAGTGATAAAGGGCATCGTATGTTTTTTCCTGACTTTAATGGGACTGTTTGAGTCTCACCATTAAAGTGAGTATGATGCTTACAATAGGTTTCTGACAGGCAAATCAAGGTAGAGATTATCCCTTCTATTACTGGTTTGCCAAGAGGTTTTCATATCATTTTCGTGTTGAAGTTTATCAGATGCTTTGTCTACATCTATTAAGATGATCCTAAATTTTATCTCCTTAAATCTCTGTGGTAGAGATGGAGATGCTCCACCCAAATCAACCTTCAAGGAGGAACTCAGTGTCCCTGCTCCTGGTAGCCTCTGGTTGTTAGTCCCTTCACAATCTGTCTCCGCCGACCCAAGAGCACATATGCCCCTTCCAGAGAGGCCCACAGCCAGTGACTGCAGGAGGCAGGGGCATGAAGGCCTGGCCACTGTGGGTCAGCCTGGGACAACTCTAATAAGTCACATATGTTTCAAGGGGGCTTGGTGAGACTTTGTGGGCCTGCATCACAGTTCTCCTTTGCCCTCTGTCTAATCCTGCTTGCTTCCTCCCTTCCACATATGTTGACAACTAATATACTATACAAAAACTCCTTCCAGGGCCGGATGCCGTGGCTCATGCCTGTAATCCCAACACTTTGGGAGGCTGAGGTGGGTGGATTACTTGAGGTCAGGAGTTCGAGACCAGCCTGGGCAACATGGTGAAACCCCCGTCTCTACTAAAAATGCAAAAAAAAAAAAAAAAAATAGCCAGGCATGGTGGCTTGTACCTGTAATCCCAGCTATTTGGGAGGCTGAGGTAGGAGAATCGTTTGAACCTGGGAGGCAGAGATTGCAGTGAGCTGAGATTGCACCACTGCCCTCCAACCTGGGCAACAGAGTGAGGTTCTGTGTCAAAAAAAAAAAAAAAAAAAAAAAAAAAACGAAAAAACAAAAAAACAGAAACAAACCAACAAAAACATCCTTCCAGAGAGGATTCAACCTGTGATGATCTGTTTAAAGTAGATATTTTTAAGTGTTAAAAAATTTGCATTCCTGGGAAAAACTCTCCTTTAGTCATCCACATGACTAGATTCATTTGGGAATGTGTTAAACTTGATTTATTTGCTTCTGCATTTATTGTTTAAGAGTCTTTTGTATAACCTACATGTACCTAGCTGCCTGGTGGGATGTCAGGTGCCATCCACAGTTGTAGAATTTTTCCTCCTAAAGGAGATGTACACCAGTGTCCTCTAATAGCATTCAAAGATGTTTTTATTCTTTAGCTTAGTTTTAGTTTAGAAGCATCTCTAATCTTTCCAGGCAGTTTGAGTTTGCTCTAAGAAGCAGTTGTCCAGTGCACCTTGTGTTTAAGAAATTTTCTAAGCTTAGGGCTGGGCCATTGATGGCTTTGCCAGTGCCCTTCATTTGGGAATCACCATCTAGCTCAAACTCATTACCATCTGTGGGCCAAGAGAGTTCCTTACAGACTAAAGAGGAGCGTGACACACAACAAAACACTTTAGAGAAGGGACTCACGTCAGCTGCATCTCTGATGAGCTTAAGGAATAACATAAACAACATGTAATACACAACAGAAAATTACAGGATAAGTAATGTTCTTACTATGCATTAACCTGAAAGAAAATAAAACATGCAGCAACTGATATTTTCTGGTGATTTTCCCCAGATGAGCTTTTCTTTCTTACCAGAAGGTGGCAAAAAAGGTGCGCTTTAAATTACCCCCACCCAAATGGACAGAAAAAAACTTTTTTTTAAAGAGCAAGGCAAATAACTCTCGCAAGTTAGAAGTTTTAACCTTTAGAAATAGGCAAATATGTGGACTTTTAGGTTCTGTTATTCAATATAGTTAAAAGAAATATCTCTAAGAATGACTAGGGATAATCCCTATTGATATCCATACCACATGGGTTGACAAAACATGTTTGGCTATAAAAAAAGATGAACTTCTCTAGAAGCTATGAATATGTGTTATGGGGTCTATAAAAATAAGTTCATTACAATTAGTGGGAAATAGTCTAAGGCAACTAAACAAATAAAAAAATTATATATGCCACTGATTTACAGAAATCCCAATTTGCAATATAAAAATGTAATTTGTAAAGCAGAGTTCAATTTTGTAAATTATGTTTTAATGTACTCATCTATAAGATGAAAAACTGAATTGGATGATAACCACAGTCTCTTCTTCTATTAATATAATATATTCCCTGCTTTAGAGATGAGGGAAGAAAGATATATGACTCACCTATGGTTACATACTAGCTAGTGACAAGACTGTCTGTAAAACTCAAGTTTTCTGACCCTTCATCAACTTCACCATCTGTCTTAAAAAAGATGAATTTCCCTAGAAAACTCCATTAGGTATGGCTTCTGCCCATAAGAAAACACTGTAAGTTCACTACAGGTTTGTTTAAAATGGCAAATAACTCAAAATGATTGTGGTGCATTTGGAGGCAGGTTTATTTTTAAAAGGAAAGAACTCATCAGGAGTTCTGGGGTCTGAGTCCATGGGGGAAGACTGCCAGATAAAGAAAGGCCAAATGGGACAATTCCTAGTAAGAGCTGAAAGGTGAGGGAGGAAGGGGAGAGATGAGTACTCCCAGTGCTGAGCTCCATCTAGGCAGCAGTGCTGCAGACCCATGGCCCCACAGCACAGGGCAGGAGGGCTGTGGGGCTGGGGAGGGTCAGAGATAGCCCATGTCTGACTGGGCCTGGATGAGAATAAAACTAGATGAGTTTAATGGTCTTTGCTGGAGGCTTTACTTGCAGTTTCCACCCAATCCAGTCTTTGACTTCCGATAGCAAATAATGCACTCCAATCCTTTTAATGGCTCATCTCCCTGAAAGCCTGATTTTCAAGTATTGTGGAAGTGAAAAATTTAGAAGTCATGTTGAAAGCTGAGGTTTCTCTTAATAGAAGTCAGATCTATTTTTCAGAATCCTCTGCAGGTATAGGGCTGTAGAAACTTTAGACATCTGTGGCTTGGCATCTGCAGAGTTCCGTTCTGCTTTTCTCCTTGCTATGGCCAGAGAATGCCGGCCCTTTCTGTAATGGTGGGTGTATTTTGCCAGAAAACTCACATATTTGTGGGTGGAGTCAGTTGGGAGCCTGGAGCAATTTTTCAAAAGTCTGCATAGGCCAAACACTGCAGGGATTTCCAAGGGGTGAAAAACAATATCTTGGGGGTTAGCAAATTTCCACTGTTTGTAGAGCCAAAGGTGCAGCTTTGGAAACATGGCAAGTAACTGATCATGACAGTGGAGGGAGAGCCTGAAAGCTGGATAAGTGTGTCCTGGGATCCCTCATTACATGCACCCTCACTGCATTTCTAAGAGCAGCAGCAAAAGCTCCTCTGTCACCCTAGGCAATCAGGGTCACAGCCTAGGCAAGACTCATCTTAGGTGGCTGCAACTACAGGTATCTAATTAGAACTTGGAAGCTAGGGAAATCAAAGGCATACGCAAAGTCATCTTAAAAGAGTATATCTCAATTTGGAGGAGTTCATAAGTTTCTCTAAGGAAGCAATAAAACGCTATTCACAAAACCCCCTCACTCCCACCTCTCCTGGCCCCTGTAAAATGTACATGTATATGCAGCATATAATATTTATCTACAGTTCAGAGATGCATGGGCCCAGATGAAGACTTAAGAATCCATGGCTTAATGAGACAGGATGGCCCTAGATTAAGGCAAAGTCAGACTGAAAGTGTCAATTCTGTTAAAGAAAGAGTGTGAACATTAGAAAGGAGGTTTGTCTGCAGTTGTAAACACGGGAGAAAGAGCCACTGAGGAACAGGCTGCTGACACTTACCCAGGGACAATCCAGAAGAGAGCCTAGGCCAGGGGACATTCTAGCTCCCCGATCTGGCTTTGCCAAGTGTAGCTTTTGTCTATCTAGAGGACATGTCTTACAATTTCCCACAAATCCCCTCCTCTGACTTTGTATTCACCAAGTAACCCTCTGACTAAAAGTTGGCCTCTTTTGTAGATCTACCCATAGGGACAGAGTGTTCTGGTCTTGCCAATATGAACATTCCAGTGTGCATGGCAGTCACAGTCCACACTGGAAACAAGTAACTTGGCATTCTGTTTTATACATCGGTCTCATGAGCCAGTATGACCTCACCCTTGAGAGTTAGATCCACTGTCAGTGTGCTGGAAAATCTTTTTTTTAAGCCTATCAGGCTGAGGTCTCGAATACCAAAATGCCAGCTGGTGTTTCCTGGCAACACTGGGATGGCCACACTTACCTCCCACTGAAATGGCCTCCCACTGAAATGACCACACTTACCTTTTACAGGACATCGGATTGTCACGTTTGCTCCAAGGGCTGCCTCCACGATGCCTCCAACCACAACAGACAGATGGTTGTGCTCTGGTTTGGTGATATTTCTTTCAACAGACAAGATGACAGGTGCCTCTTAATTCAAAGGGAGCAGGAAACTATGTTAGGTTCAGGCTTTTGCTCTTTGGTAAAACATATTGCATTTGGTAAGCTTTGTTGAGCCCTTTGAGGGCAGGAGTGGAGTCCTGGTTCTCTCTGTATCCCTCAAGGTGCACCGTGGGGATGTGCACATACATACCTGGAGGTGCTCAGTGGACATACGGACAGATGGATGAATGGATAGATGGTTCGATGAATTCAAAGGTACATTGCAACAACAGTATGTATAGACTATGAGGATATTTTGGTTTTATAACTAAAATTGAGGATAAATTCCTCTTTGATAATTTGAAAAAAAAAGGAATTCAGAAGCTCATAAGAAGCAAAGAAGACAGGCAGAGCAGGAATGATGTCTCTGCAGTGCAGCCATGAATGAATTAATGTAGGGCCAAAACACACTGGGGCTTGGGACTACCTGACTCTTTTTCTGGAAGGAGGGATGTGAGATACTGGGGGAGGGGGTTGATGAAGACAGGACAGAAGGTCCTGATCCATTCTGTTGTCCCTCATTGGGCCCAGCGTAATAAGAGGTTTTTTCCAATGTAAACATTTACCAAGTGTCCACTCTGTGGTCTGCACCTGGGTACAAGATGAGAAATACCTGGGTACAAGATGAGAAGTATCTCCTCTTTCGATAAGCACAAGGTGTAGGGGTGCAGAAGGAGATGTACACAGGCATTTTCAATATAAATGTGGTACCTAATCCTTATAAAGTTTTTCTGAATATGGTGCCACAGCCAGGCTGACATGTGGATGCCAGGATGTAACCACGGTTCAGAGCTCATTCAAAGCTGTACTGGAGAAAGATGAGACAGGTAGGAGGCCACGATTCTTGTTGAGCCTCTTCTAATAAGCTATATGTGTGCTTGGGCAAAATCTTCCCTCTCTGGACTTCAGTTTGAATCCCATTAAAAAAATGATTGGGTTAGAAGATCTCTTCCAACTGCAGTTCCCTCACCCAATGTGTGGTTCAGAGAGGCCCTGTCTGACCCTACTTAAATAAACTCATTTCAATCTAAAATAGAAAAGACTATTTAAAGACCATCAATTGCAAGGAGACCTATTTAAAACATTATTTACATCTCTACACTGCAGAAAGTCTCAAGAGAGAAAATGTCTGACTTCCCACTTTATGAGACCATATGAGGTTATTACAAGTGGAGCAGAACTGTCTGCAAGAAAAATGCAAAGTTAACGTTTAATTAATACGAAGCAAATACATGTATAAAATTTGCATGCAAAAATAATACAAACAAGGTCATAAAGAATCAAACGTCCATTTTAAAATGTTTATTTTCTTTGGATTTTGATATTTAGTTGCCAGATTAATTTATTCACTCACTCAGGAAGCATACTTTGTGCCTGAGCTGGACAATGGCAGTACTAAGTATTAAAAATGTTTCTTTATAATAAAAGCATATTTTAATATCCAAATGACATTGTCCACCTCCCAAGAAGACTCACACTACTTTATAGTTACAACTTCCTGGAGGTGTTTCTCAGGATTGGCAGGTATGCCACTGGGAGGTAATTGCAATCTATAAAAGATAATTATTCTTTTTTGTTGACTGATGGAACTTTAAAAAATGCAAAGTTCATTAATATCAACACTGCCAGTTAAACTCCATCTCATTATTTCCTGATTCTTAGAAAGTGAGTTCCTGAGCAGCTGTTTTCAGTGTGGTCCTCAGACCGGCAGCATTGGCATAACCTGGGCACATGTTGAAAATGCTGATTCTCAGACTCCAACCCAAACCTACTAAGCCAGAACTTCTAGGGGTGGAGTCCAGCAATCTGTATTTTAACAAGCACTCCAGATGATTCTGACAGCTGCTAATGAGAACTGCTGCTCTAGAATTTAATGTTAAAAACAAATAAACAGCCAGGCGCGGTGGCTCACGCCTGTAATCCCAGCACTCTGGGAGGCCAAGGCGGGTGGATCACGAGGTCAGGAGATCGAGACCATCCTGGCTAACATGGTGAAACCCCGTCTCTACTAAAAATACAAAAAATTAGCCGGGCGTGGTGGCGGGCGCCTGTAGTCCCCAGCTACTCGGGAGGCTGAGGCTGGAGAATGGCGTGAACCCGGGAGGCGGAGCTTACAGTGAGCCGAGATCACGCCACTGCACTCCAGCCTGGGCGACAGAGCGAGACTCTGTCTCAAAAAAAAAAAATAAATAAATAAATAAATAAAAATAAAAAATAAAGAACCAGGCATTCTAGATTTCAACAGTGGGCATTACCTGCATACAGCACAGAAGAACTTTCCACATCTGAACCAAGATGATTAGCTACAGAACATTCATATATGCCTTGTTCTTTCCTTGTAGGATTCTGTATCTGTATCTTCCCAGTTCCATCCAAAATTATTCTGTAGAACAGTTAGAAAGACGACACATTCATATAACAATTTAACTGACCTAGGGCTACAGTGAGTTGCAGAGAAAGAAGACTGCACCATTACAGGCTTTGGGCTGGCAAAGCTCACAAAGGATAATTTTGTCCAGCATCCTGCCTATAAGCAGAGAACTATATAGACCAGGAGGGTGGAGTGTTTCCTCTTGCTATAGGTTAACAGCAACGTTAGAGCTCAACAGTGCTTAGAGATCCAGTCTTCCCATCCCACTTTACATGAGAAAAGACTTTTCTGGTGAACTCAATGCTTAATCTGCCACATTTTAAAAAAAGACAACCTAGCAAACCTATTCATTTGCTGGATGTTAAACACTCCTTTTCTGCCCGAATCCTTCCTAACAAACTGCAGGTGTGGATTTTCTGTTTGGATTTTCATGCTGGAGGTGATTGGGCTTTGGCTAAGGCTGCTTTGCAATGGATTATGGTCTCATTATTCCTGTATGAAGAAGTCGATTGAGGTCATCATGCTAAGTCTGTGGCATACACTGGATTTGGACCATGCTGTTAAGAATTAGGGCTAACCTGCATGAGTTCATTATGGTTTCCCAATTACTGATATTCCTAAAATCCTGTGTGTAAATACCGCTTTGAGAATCAGAGTTGGTCAGGTGTAGCCTAACCAATTAGATAATAATTCAGAGATTCAGAAAATATATCTAAAGGTGAGAAGAACCTTTGTTAGGAAGGGAAGAGTGCTTGTTCTTTTATTTTATTTTATTCTTAATAATTTGAATCTGCTTCTAAATCACCCGGATCAGTGGTTTATATACTATTTTTCCCCTGCCCCATCTCACTTCATAGATCTTAGCAATATGGACTATTCTGCCCTCTAAATACTGTATGTTTCATCATGAAATGAACTGTGCCACTTCTTTATTTCCTGTCACTTCATGTCGTTCGCTCTATGCTTCAGTCATAATGAACCTTAACTGTTTCCAGAACATTCCATGATCTTTCATTACTGTGAGCTTTTGCATATGTTGTTCACTTCATTTGAAATGCCCTTCCTCCTTTCTGGCAAACTCAGACCCGCCCACTGAGTCCTGGATCAAATGTAATTTCCCCTGTAAAGTTTTCCCCAATACTCCTAGAGTTATCTTCTGTCTCCTCTGGGCTCCTTCTTCTCTGGTTCATATATTTATTTGATGAAATATCTATTTCTTCCCACTAGACTGTGATCTTTTCAAGGGCAGGAACCAAATCTTATTCACAGCTGTGCATACTCACTGCTTAGACTTTTATATAGCAAGTTCTCAAAAATCTTTGATGACTAAATGTATGAATGATTAGAATAGTATGAAATAATGGCACAGAGCAATAGTACCAAGAGCATACAAGCCCTGCTGCAGCACACATAAGAAATATACAAAAGCTGGCAGAAGTCAAAACAGCGAAAGTGTCTCAGAGCAACAAGAGTATGGCAGACCTCGCTGTTAGTAAGGCAAGATTTTCAGTGTCAAATCCTGATGGAGGAGAAATAGTTGGTTAAAAGCAAAAGTCTAACCAGTGACTACACATGAAAAATAAACATATTAAATCATTTTCTTAAATTATTTCATATATATGTTTGCATGATTTAGGAATTCTCAAATAATGCCTTTGTTTTGTAGGTTTCAGGTAACAGTCCAGTGAGAAATCATTGAGATCAGAAATAGCTGAGCATGCGTGAACCTTACATGACAGGTGGGGCCACTGGGTACCTAGCCTGGATCTGTCCTTGGGCTGGAGAACCACCAGGTTGAATTCTGTAACACATATGACCTTGGCCTCTGCTGCGTAATCTTACTCTTAACTTGAAGTAATAACAAAGTTGATCTTTCTATAGGCACCATCTCTAATTGATACACCCACAAACTTCTCTTCCTAGTTGAGATTTCTTACTCAATTGTCATCCGAACAGTACTCCATGCCTACACAGTTTCTCTCATTGAATGAGGCTTTCAGGAACATAATTCCATTTCTCAATTACTTCAACTGAAAAGATTTGTAAGATTCAGAAAGTATATTTAAAGATGAGAACATTTGTTATGTAAAGGGAATTAAACATAAATTGAACAAATTAATTGGGTAGGTTTTGGAGGAAAAATAGAAATGAAAATGGATCTTATTATCTTAAAAATTAAAAACAAAACCTTTTATTAGACATATGAAATTGCTTCTGTTTTGAATGGCTGATCTTTAAAGGATGCAGAAACACATCTAAGGAGGATGTACCATGTCAAAACTTCTTTATACAAGCTCCAGGGGTCTCAGCCTGATAAACTTATGTTAACGCCATTCCATCAAGTCAATCTATTTAAAATGAACTCAAATAAATATTTATTTAAACTGACCAGGCTCCTCTATATCATTGTAGTACTTATATGGCCATAGGTCAACAGATCACTTCAACCTTGTCAGCCTCTCTTTCCTTACAATTTATAAAATGGATTATTGAACCAAGTTAGCAGTCTTCAAAGCATAGTCCATGAACCCCCCAGAAGTCTATGAAGTCAAAGCTAGTTTTATAATAATACGAAGCCATTAATTAGCCTTTTTAAAAACGGTATTGACCTTTGCACTGAGAGTGCAAAGGCAGTGTTGGTAAGACTGCTGGCACCTTAGCATGAACCAAGACAGTGATATTGAAGTGTACCAGTAATTACTGTATTCTTGACTACTATGTTTTACTTGCAGAAAAAAAAAAAATGCCAGTTTCCCTTAAGAATGTCCTTAACGGCCAGGCGTGGCGACTCATGCCTGTAATCCCAGCACTTTGGGAGGCCGAGGTGGGTGGATCACTTGAGGTCAGGAGTTCAAGACCAACCTGGCCAACATGGTGAAACCCTATCTCTACTAAAAATACAATTAGCTGGGGGTGGTGGTGTTCACCTGTAATCCCAGTTACTTGGGAGGCTGAAGCAGGAGAATCACTTGAAACGAGGAGGCAGAGGTTGCAGTAAGCTGAGATGCCACCACTGCACTCCAGCCTGGGTGACAAAGCGAGACTGTCTCAATAAAGAAAAGAAAAAAAAAGAAATGTCTTTAATGAAGTAGTAAAAGGTATTAATCTTACTAAATCTTGACCCTTGGGTCCATACGTTTTTCATATCCCATACGACACAATGGGAAGTACACACAAAGCACTTCCACTGCATGCTGAAGAACTGGTGGCTTCTTTCATGGAATATGATTTTTACTTGAAAGAATGACCAATAAACTATGACAAAAAAGTCCACACTATGATTTAAAGTTGGGTATTTGGTAGATATATATATATATATTTTTTAAATGAGCTGGCCAATTCAATGACACAACTGACAGTATTTGTTGCCAATGATGAAAAAGGTTTGATGTGAAAATTAGAATTTTGGAAAACTGGTATCCACCACTGTAAGTCTGACAGCTTCCCAAAACTTAAAGACTTTTTTTTTTATGAGATACACGGTGATTTTTTTAAATGTGTATTTTTTTTACATTGCATAATGAAATGCACCAACATTTGGAAGGCCTGTATCACTCAGTGAGCCAATATTTTCCAAATGACCAATGTATGGTGTTAAAAAATCTTGTATGGGTAAAAAGTCTATTCAAAATGCAAGAAAAAAACAGCAGATTTCATTAAACAGAGTACCAACATTTCATTAATATAGTTTCAGATTGCACATTTCAACTAACCTTTGAGAAATGACCCTTTGTCTAGTTTTAGTGTAGAATTAAAGAGTATCCACAATTATCTGAAAAGATATTAAAATATTCTTTCTCTTCCAGCTAACACATTTGTATAGCACACATTTATTTTCTCCATATACTTTAACTAAAACAACATTTCACAACAGATGTGGAAAAAGAATCCAGCTGTCTTCTTTTATTATACCAGACATTAAAGAGATCTGCAAAGATGGAAAGCAATTCCACTGTTATCAGTAATTTTGGTGGCAGGGGGAGGGTTTTCAAAAAATATGTTATTTGTATGAACATGTTATAGGCCCATTATTTTTTCTAAATAGATTAATGGAGATATTTTCAATGTTTCTTGGTTTTAATTTCTAGTGAGGTAAACAGCAATAGATACAACTCACATTTACAAAAGCTCTTTAGGCTCCTCAATCATTTTTAAATTTTAAAGAGTCTAAAACCAAAAGCTCTGAGAACTGCTATGTTTTAAGGTTTATTCTACTTCTAAAATTTCATTGTACTCTTGTGTTCATAGTTCTAGCATTAAAAATTCAAAAATTAGATTTTTTCTACCTTTTTAAGATATAGCCTAATAGTTTATTATTTTAAAAAACTGAATTTTACCTAAGTTTTTTCTGATGTTTCACATACGAGGCTCAATGCACAAAGGACATGATAAAAGTAAAACTTGCATTTTGAAAGTACCTTGTGATATGCAAAACAGTTTCACATCTGCTGTGTTATTTGTGTCTCTTAACGATCTCTAAAGGCAGATAAGGTAGAGCTGGAGCTCTTACATGTGAATCAAAAGAAGGCACAATGTCTATAGTACTTTGTATACAAACAGCAAGATTTGAAGGCAATAAAGAATGCAAAAGTAAATTAGTATCTGTTATGTAAAATAAAGGAAATGTGACATTTTTACACTGGCATAGAGATCAGAATAATATGTGACTTAATACTGTGTTTTGAACATCTCAAAACACTATGATTCTTATTTTTGGATTGTATGACATTTAAAAATTGCATGATAATAGAAAACTACTTCAGATACCCAAGCTTTTGACAAGGCTACGTATTTGTGTGATACTCAAATACCACTGGTGGGTATTCAAGAGATACGGCCCTTGGTTCTGATTGGCCATGAAGTAGTCATGGGATTCTGCTTCTCAATTACCTCATCAGAAAGGTTAACCCCTGCCCTGCCAATCTCATGGGGCTGATGTGAGCTCAAATAAGATACCACATCTCCTAGACATGGAAGAGCTCTGTAAATTCTGATTTGCAGTTCCAACATAATGTAGGATTACTATTAATAAGCTTACTTTTAAAATGGCCTTATATTGATTTTATTTTTAAATGCCAAGTGCTGAGTAAAGGGGGAGTGTATATATGCTTAAACTTATTCTTGCTGGATCCAGTCATATCACACCTCTACGACAGTGATTGGGATGATATGGCGGTTGAATTTAAAAATTCCAACGTATATGTGAAAAACACATCTT
Organism: Homo sapiens; assembly: GCF_000001405.40. Taxonomy (NCBI): domain Eukaryota; kingdom Metazoa; phylum Chordata; class Mammalia; order Primates; family Hominidae; genus Homo; species Homo sapiens. The sequence goes on along the minus strand of NC_000015.10, from coordinate 83,983,484 downwards.
AACATTTTTTAGTTTCTTTCCTAAAGAATCCTGTTGGAAACACATGCTTAGGAGAGGAATTTGAAAATATTTTCAAGAAAACTGGAATAGCCATTAAGAAGGTAGTGCAAAAATGAATACTGCATTTTTATTTTACTTACTTTACTGAGGGCTGTAACAAGGTTCCATCCTTGGTCCATGTATATGTGGCCTCACTGGGGGTAATAAGGTCACACAGTATATTGATGACCTCTGTCCTTTTTGTAATGTATACTGTATTTCCAATCCTGGAATTTATTGTTTTATTAAATGAAATTGAGGGAGGTTGGCTTTGCCTCATGAGAACAGGTCCTTTCGGCTTGAATGTCAGCTTGCCTGAGTTTTTTGCATGCGAGCTTTGGGACACACTCCCTGTTTCCCCTCTGAGCTGAGCAGCAGGAGGTGTCTCTTCCTGGATGCCCCGCCACTGCATGTGTGTTGGCTGTGCCTTGGCTAATTCGGCCACCAGCTGATATATCAGCTGGGACGCAAGATCATCGCTGACCTCTCCGGTTTCCATGAGCTGACTCATGTTTCTTATCAGCTCATCAAACTGGGCTGTATCCATGCTATATGCTCCTTGTTTAACTGCTGCTTCAAACTGCTTATTCTTCAACTCCCAGGAGTTGGTGCTTCCTGCAGAATTGCTGCAGTGGCCTAACAGAGCTCTCAAGAAAGGCTGGTTACTAATGTGGTCATCATCCAGATAAAGGTCATTTTTGTTATTCCACATTTGCCTCATTTTGTGCCATGTGACTCCCAAACTATTGGCTTCGCTGTGGTCCATCCCAGGATATTCCCTCATAGGCTCCCTGAGGGCTGGGCGTGCGATGAGCCGGTTGTCAGTACCAATGAGCTTGAGCACAACTGTTTCCTGTGCAGAGCCTGCAATGCACCGGTACACGCCGATGTCGGGGGCAGCAAGACCATGGATTTTTAGTGAGCCTGACTTGGTGATGCCAAGCCGTTTGGAGTTCTGCAGGCAACGGCCATCCTTCTCCCACTGGATCAGAGATTTCTGGAATCGTCGCACGGGGCACTTAATAATCACGGATGTGTTGGGCAGCAAATAGGCTCTGCTACCAATGGTCAGGTTAATACGCTTCTCTTCCCTTGTCTGAATGTAGACTCTCTGGACACTGAGGATCTGCGGACCCTGCTCACCAAGTTTTGTCTTCATCTCTGATTTGATTTCTCCAAGAAAAAAAAAAAGAAAGAAAAGAAAATACGAATAAACATCTCAAAAATACAGACTTTTTGACAGTAATCTTTCAAGGCTGATACAGGCTAACAAACGTATCTTTTTTACTATTTTAAAACATTCAAGAATAAAACCATGAATAACATTATACATCCACAGATTGGGGTAAATTTCACAACTATCTAGTACTTTAGTGGCAAAGAATGCAAGTGTGAATGAGGTGCATGAAAATGTGTAAGTGATTTGATAAAACCCTGGTTTGGGGAGGCATGAGGTTAAATGATTTGGTGAAATGTAGGGAATAGTTATTTCTAGATTTGAGGAATATTTGTTCTAGGCCATGCTCATATAATGGCTCCATAAATACCCAGCCTCTGGGTACATGTTTCCATCAATAAGGGTCTGATATGTCAGGTCTCTACTATCTGGCAGAGAGGCCCTCTGGCTTAGAGCCATGGGTACCCCAAATCTGAGGGAGGAAGTGAGAGTGGGAATGTGAGCAAATGTATTTGAAGGGTCTGAAAGGAGGCTGAGGTTGGCCAGCTGCAGAATATAACCCAAATATGTCGATTAAATTGGCATGGGGGTCTGAAGAAGCAATGGGTAGCCGTGATCAAAAAAGAACAGGTGGCATAGGCAGTTTGAAGTCAGATAAACCTGAGTTTGAATCTTAGCTCTGCCACTTGGACAAATTCTTTCATCTCTCTGAGCCTCAGTTTCCTCACCTGTGAAATGTGAATAATGTTAGTGCTTTCAATGGGAGGGAAGTAAAAATTAAGTCAGATTGTTTATATCAAGTGCACAGCACAGTAGCGGGCACATAATGAGCTCTCATATATAACTGCTGCCACCACTGATCTGGTGACAAGGGCAGGTGCAGCCAATGCACAGCAGGGAAGACTAAGAGGGAACAGAGATGGGGTTGGCTTTGACTTGTTCCTGGGCATCGATCGGCTCCTCTTAATGGGCTAGGCCCAAAGACAATACTTCTCAGATCCTGTCCCCAAGAGAAGTATTTCTCTCCCTTGTTTCACCTGAGAGAAGGCTCAATGTGTTCTGGGGTGATTCTGAGGTAGGCATGGGAGAAGGACAGTGATATGGGTGGAAGTCTGGATCCTCTTTGATGATGTATTTAGGTTCCTGAGCAGATTGTGGAGTGTAGGATGGATGGCTTGGAAGCACTAGTGAGTGGCAGAAGAGATACTGGACTAACATCAAGAATACCTCTGGATTTAGAAGGTCATGCAATGGGGACCTAATTTACCTTGGGGGACCCCAGTTACAGGTCCTCCTTGTTGTAGCACACGCTGGGAGAAGAAGCAGATTGAGACTTCTCTTTCATAGCCTTCTCAGGCCCTTGGCGCTGGCTACAGTGTGTTTACTGGTACCCTGAGAACTGAGAATAACTGAAGTCCTCTTGCACGCCTCATGAGCCCTTTGAAGTCTGGCTGCCTACTGGGGTTTCGTGGTGTCAACAGGTTCAGGGAAACAATGGAGGTGAACCCATAATTTCTGTGGTAGAGAATGTTCTCAGTGAAGGACATACATAATTTGTTTGTATACAAATTCCATACAGATGCAATTGGTAGGTCAGGCCTATTGATCTCAGGATGGGTCCAGGGTTCTGCTTGAAAATGCTCTGTCACATCATCTCTAAGTGGAGCTGGATGAACTGCCACATACATACTTTTACTTTTTGGGAGACAGAGTATCTACAAAGTATGTCAAATGGCCCAGCCAGTTAAGCCATGTAAATTTCCCCTAATTTGGCTAGAATACAATTTTGAACTTTCTACTGTTCAACAATCAAAAGCTGAAAAACATGTATGGAAGACTCCCTGGTAAATTTATAGTCAATCCATTACTATAGATAATATAGATGGTGTTCAAAATACTAAATCTTCACAGCAAGGGCTCAATCAACAGAATGTGTCTGGCCATAGCACTGGAATAGGGTCTTGGAGGCCTACTATGGTACGAAGTGTTAACCCCATAGTTGTTCGATTATGGACAAGTCAGGCGGTTACTGGCAGAGTGGCCTGAGCAGGTGAGAAATGCTCATGGGGTTCCAGCAGAGGCTGTTTACTAATTCTTTTTTTTCTGACCATATTTCTGACCATGTCCATACTGGTATGTGCAGGTTCAATATCAACTCTGACCACAGATGCTCTAAAAAAAATGGCTCTCAAATTTTGCTATTTGTTAGAATCACCTGTTATTGTTAGTATTCACTAATCTCAGTATCCTGGGTCCCATCCCCAGAAATTCTGACTTACGGGGTGCAGCCAGGACATCAGAATTTTTTAAAGTTCCCCAGTTGACTGAAATGTGCAGCAAAGTTCGAGGACCATTACCCCAGCATGTACCATGAATTAAGCCAAAGCACTAGAGAAAGGCATTCCTGACCCAGTTTCTTTCACTGAAAGACAATTTGACAGGAAGCTGCTGGTCAAGAGGGAAGGGAAAATAGGAAGCAGCATCTGTGTTGTCTATGAGCACATTCTAGTCTTCACAATATCCAGTGTCTTCTGCAAGAGGATCATGGGAGGATTTCTTTCTGGTTTTAGCATCAGAAATCATTATACTTTACTCTGAGTAATTAGCTCATTTCCTATCTAATGAATTCCTAAACTGCAATTGGCAAGGTTGCCTTTTTCAAGATGGCTGTTAAAGCAAGTTTGGAGCCAAATTAGTGCCTACATGTAAAAGGAATATAAAATTCAAGACACAATCACATATTAACGTTGTTTGTTCTCCTTTTTTTATTACTCACCTGCTTCTATTTTTACTAATTGGATTGCATGTTATGAATACTTAGAAGTAGCCTATTGTAACAAGGCAAGGTATGCCTACCCGTGTAAGTATCATTTTTATTTAAAAAGATCCAGGTGGACACTGTCTGGCTATGGGCCTTTCAGTGGTGGACAATATAAAAGATGGATGTGCACATGGATGGTTTTGTAACTCACTTCTTTGCAAGCAGAGCATAAACTGTGTTCAGTCAAACTTTTGAATTAATACAACTAAGGAATATGTGGAGATCGATTGTTTCAAGGTAGCAGTGGCTGCTACAGATCGGGTGGAAGCTTGAATGTTCTTGCTCTCACTGGGATGGTGCGGAAGCACACATGGGGAAACGTCTGGCTAAACAGCTCAAGCTGGGGATGACCTGATTCTAACATGAAACCCACAAAGCATCCTGGTGCCCTGGGACCAGCAGGAAAGTGGGTTCCAGTGATGCTCATTTCCACTGGTACCACATGTCCCTCAGCTGAGCTTGGGGCTTAAAGTTGATGGGATTCTGACTCCTTCTAAGGGAGGCCATGAAGCCTCAGGTGGTGGGCAGGGCATAGCCTTGGTGAAGAGCCTGCCCAAATGGTGGGGTGAACACAGAAGAAGCCCAGCTGCTCCCTGTGGCTGCATGCCCATTTACTGGAAGGCAGGCCTTGTGGCCCCAGATGGTCCCTTTCCCAACTCTGCTTTGGCCATTGCTCACACTGGGGTATGGGGCATTTTGACTGGCAGGTGTGCCTGGGGAGTAAACGGGGATTCCAGCCAGAGATCGGAATTCATGGGCTCTGCCAGGCTGCCAGGTTCCACAGTTTGAGCCACTTCCTTTCTTGGGGCTCCTGTGAGTTCCTTGAGAGCAATGCCTGGAACGTGGCATCATCAAACATAGTTCTTGGGCAAGAAACCGGTCTGGTTTGGGGTGACCTTCCTCTCTCATCTGGAGATGCCCCAAAACAGCAACACTGGCCAAGCCTGATTAGGCAGGGGCATCATGCACTCTGCAGACAGTGGCCAGGTACCAACTGCAGCACCCTCCTGAAGGGGCTGCTGGGCTGTGCAAGAGCATTAACCCATCCCTCCACCTCTCCCACTGTGCTAAATGTGAGAAATGCCACATTCTAGAAAATGAAATGAGCTTTCTTCTGTAACTCCTCTCTCTGGGTCTTTGTGCAGTCTGCCACACCCAGTCAAGGCCAGTTCTGGGTGCCCAAGGCCATCTATGGCAATGACCTCAGCTCCTTGCTTACTGGGTCCTGCCTTTACTCCAGTCATATCCCTGGCATGGCTTCAAGTCCTGGTGCCAGGCCAGGTTTCTACCCCAAGCCATCTGGCTGGATATTTCTGCATGGTCTTGGCAGCATTTGCTCTGGCCATGACACAGCATCAATACCTTCCTATTACCCTGCTGGAACCCTGGCCTCTCAGGAACCAGCCCTGAATATGGCTGCTGGGCTGGTGCTGGTTTCCACTCCTCCCAATAGGAGTAAAGATCTGAGAAGCTCATTTGAAGCTGTACCAAGAACCTGGGCAGATACTTTGGATTCTCTTCAGGCTTCTCTGAACACAGTGGGCTGAGAGGAGGCCACCAGGGATGCTGTGGGTGGATTCTGAAATGAGCAGTGGAGGCCCCTGAGGCCCATGGAGGCCCGGCTACAGTAAATTCAGGTTGCTTCTGTGTTACTCTTCCACCAATTTCAGTCTGGCTTCTGCTCCCAACACCACATTAAATGTTACTTGGAAGAGACAACCAAGGGCCCCCTAGTGACAAATTCAGTGCCTTCTCTTCAGTATTCTTACTTGACCGTCTTAGGGCATGTGGTAACTTTAATCACTCACTTCATGAAGAAGTCTCTCCTCCCCAAGATTTTTTTTTTACCTTTTTTTTTCTGGTCCTTTCTGACCACCATTGCCAGTACCCAGCTGGCTGTTTCTACCCCTCAGGTGCCAATGCACAGCCACTATCTCTCTTGCTCTATGCTTTTCCTTGGATGATTTTGTAGTTTTAACTAACAACTCTAGGTTAATGCCTTCAAGTTTATCTGTCTAGCCTAGATCTCTTTCTGGAACTTCAGACCTAATTATCCACTTCTTACTGGAAATCTCTTCCAGGTCCCTCAAGTTTAAATGATCATAATCTAAACCAGCAGTCCCCAACCTTTCTGGCACCAGGTACTGGTTTCATAGAAAACAGTTTTTCCACAAACCAGTTGTCGGGGTGGGGATTGGGGGCTAGATGGTTTTGGGATGAAACTGTTCCACCTCAGATCATCAGGCATTAGATTTTCATAAGGAGCTGCAACCTAGATCCCTCGCATGCGCAGTTCACAATAGGGTTTGTGTTCCCATGAGAAGCTAATGCCGCTGCTGATCTGACAGAAGGCAGAGCTCAGGTGGTAATGCCTGCTTGCCTCCCGCTCACCTCCTATTGTGCAGCTCAGTTCCCAACAGGCTATGGACCAGTATCCGTCCATGGCTTGGGGGTTGGGGACCCCTGATCTCAACATGTTATATGCCCCCTACCCTATCCCATCCCAATTATTCTCCTCTTCTTATATTCCCCAAGTTAATGGCGTCAACTTCTGCCAATTTACTCAAGCCAGAAACCAGGGAATCATCTAGATCATGGGTCCCCAACCACCGAACCCCCTGTTAGGAATCAGGCCTCACAGCAGGAGGTGAGTAAGGCCAGTGAGCGAAGCTTCATCTGTATTTACAGCCGTTCCCCATCACTGCCATTACTGCCTGAACTCCGCCTCCTGTCAGATGAGTGGTGGCATTAGATTCTCATAGGAACACAAACCCTACTGTGAACTGTGCACGTGAGGGATCTAGGTTGCGGGCTCCTTATGAGAATCTAATGCCTAATGATGTGTCTCTGTCTCTCATCAACCCCGGATGGGACCATCTAGTTGCAGGAAAACAAGCTCAGGACTCTCACTGATTCTACATCATGGTGAGTTATATAACTATTCCATTACACATTACAATGTAATAATAATATAAAGAAAGTACACAATACATTTAATGTGCTAGAATCATCCCAAAACCATCCCCTACGACTGGTCCGTGGAAAAACTGTCTTCCATGAAACTGGTCCCTGGTGCCAAAATGGCTGTAGACCACTGATCTAGATTTCCTCCTGTCCAGTGGTGTGCTGGCCCTGCCTCTCCCTGAAACACAAGTCAATGAGACTGCTAGCAACTATTCCCAACTCTGCATTCAATGACATCACATTGGTAGCTGGAAAACAGCTACAATGGGAGTATTTACACTATGGAAATAGGCGACCACAACAAATGATAGCTACCTCTCCCCACTCACCACCCTACTACCGAAGCCAGCTGTTCAATATTCACAAACCCACCACCGTCTCTGTCCTATAGCTCCCAACTCTCATCAGGCATCGGGAATTTAGAGGACACATGTGAAACATCATTAGAATTCATCCCCATTGCTTCTACTCTCATGCTCTCTCACCAAGATATTGTCATATCCCCTTCACTAGACTCCCAGCCATACTCTCATATTTCCCCAATATATCTATATAGCTCTTAGAGTAAATGAACTAAAATAAAACCTGACCAAGTCACTTCCTTCTTGGATACAATTTTAACTCCTTCACATGGAGTTCAAGAGTCTCTATAGCTAACTTTGCAAGCTCTCTCTTGAACCTATGTTCTAGTCCTATGGAATCTGCTGAAGTTCCCCCAAACTTACCACTCCATTTGACACCCCCTACTTTTATCCACACTGCTCTCCTTCCTCACATTCTTCTGTATCTACCCACATGTGGGCCCGATGAACAGACATGTCATTCAGAAGTCTGCTCAAGAGTTCCTCCTCTGTGAATTTCTTCCTGACCTCTAACCACCCAGTGTCACTGACCACTGCCTTCTGTTTGTTGAATGAATTAAGGCAATGAATGAGTAAAAGAAAAAGTAACACGTACGTCCTGGGACCCTGCAGGAAGTGCCGCCAGCCCAAGAGGGTGCTGGTGAGGTAGGCCTCTGCCTGGCTGGGTCTCTACGACTGTAGCTATGACAAGCAGGGATGGGTGTTACTGGAAGCAGCCAGAACTAGCAAAGCTAGAGGAGGAGTTAGAGCAGGGGAGACCATATTCTAATGGTAAAGTCCAAGAGGTGTGTAGGAGGCTGGAGAACTAAAGACGCAGGCTGGCCAGGTGCAGTGGCTCACGCCTGTAATCCCAGCACTTTGGGAGGCCAAGGTGGGTGGATCACAAGGTCAGGAGATCAAGACCATCCTGGCTAACATGGTGAAACCCCGTCTCTACTAAAAATACAAAAAAATTAGCCGGGCATGGTAGCAGGTGCCTGTAGTCCCAGCTACTCAGGAGGCTGAGGCAGGAGAATGGCGTGAACCCGGGAGGCAGAGCTTGCAGTGAGCTGAGATCGCGCCACTGCACTCCAGCCTAGGCGAGAGCGAGACTCCGTCTCAAAAAAAAAAAAAAAAAAAAAAAGACGCAGGCTGTGTGCCAGTACAAGGAGAGAGACCACAGGCGGGAGAGATGAGAGTAGATTTGAGATAGCCCTGGGAAGGGGCTGAGGCATATTTTTCTTGACATTTCAATAAAATAGGGCATGCCTGGGTTCCTCTTCCCTAATCCATCCTGATCTCAGTACTTTGGGGAAAAATAAAAATTCTTCTTTACCAAAGCTCAGGAACCCTAAAAGTCATAATTTAAAAAATCTAAAATCAAACACTACATATTTCTGTTATCCTTCTTTTCTACAGATGCCTGATTGGAAACCAAGATAGGTAGATTTCTAACAGCACTTTGAGAATGAACCACATCTAACATATTTAAAAAGAATGTCCATGAATACAATTCATTCTGATAAACATGTTGGGGGATTATATAGAAAAAGACAAAACAGAATATCCAGAGGTGCTGTGTACCTACCCCATACAAGCTCATACCCTAATAGGCCAGAATATACAACACAACTTACTTATTACATTTTATCCTGTGTTAAATCTATAATAGAAATGAGATAAAAAGACCTTAAAAATAATCAATATTTTTGAGCTTTTAGTGTGTGCCTGGCATTGATTCGAAGCACTTTATAGGTATTAATTCATGATTCTCAGAATGGTCCCGTGAGGTAGGTATAAAGACTATTCTCATTTTACAGATGAGAAAACTGAGACCCACATAGGTTAAATAACTTGCTCAGTGTCACATGATGAGGTACTGGAAGAACTAGGATTTGAACTCAGGTGAGTTAGCTCAACCACAATGTCATATTATCCTTCAGACATTAAGTGCGACTGAGAAAGCTTACTGGGGAAGGTAGGGTTTGTGTTGACCCTTCAGGAGCAGGAAGAACTTCAGTCACTAGCTATGGGGACAGAAAGAATTTGAACAAGGGGACTGTGCAGGGATTGTTTGGGGAGAAGCAGGCGGTGGGTGTCATTGGACTATAGGGTATGCTGTTGGCCTCTAGGGGGAGCAGAAGACATCTTTCCCACCTGACTTGGACCTGCTGCACACCAAAAGGGTCAGAGCCAAGAAAAATTACCCCTCCAAAGAGGATGGGTTTTACTTAAACCCAAGGCACCGATTAGGCCACATTTTCTAGAATTGAAACCTTGGTAGAAAATAAAGTTCACAGCACTACTGGGCCTGATTTTCTTGTCTACGGACCCCCTTCCATAATGGATGGAGTAGATCATACATTTCTAATCTGAGGAGGAGAGGGGGTAGATTTGAGGTGAAACAGAGAGGAAAATCACGACATTATGCCACTTTAGCCTTGATATTCCTAATGGAATGAAAGACAAGTTCATTGATAGAGAAATGGGTCAGTACAGTAGTTAGGAAATAGTTGCTATGGTGAATTTCTAGGGCATTCTTAGAAAATAGGGCACAAAGCCATTATTGCCCCTCTAAAATAGCATAAATATGAAACATATCAAATTAGCACGGTGATATTATTTTCTTTAGGAAATCCTGGTGGCTCAGGCTAGGGAACCAACCCACCAACAAACAAATCACTTGAAAGGTAATACCAGGGTTGAAGCTGAGCAGGGGTCAGTACAGGAGGTTAATGAAAGGTATAAAGATTTGGCGATAGAGTTGGTTAAGTGGAGACCTAAGGAATGCCGGCTAAGGTTTCTAGTGCAAGAGCAGAAACTGGGGATAATAAGGAGATATGGAAGAACCAGAGGTCATGGTGAGGCACTAACTAAATAAGCAGGAGTGAGTTGAGGGTAAGGCAGAACAAGAAGCTAATTCTGAGTGCCAAGTAGTGAGGAAGTCTAAGGGGTTACCATGCCAAGGTGATGGGGTCAGTGGAATTGATGAGGTTGGGAAATTGGGATATCAGGTGTTAGAAAGGTCATCATCACAGATATTGGTTGTCTTGGATGTTAGGAAACGTTGGAGAGAAATCATGGTCCTGGTGGTGGTGTGTCCTGAAGAAGGGTGAAGAGTGTCTTGTAGGGTCTGCACATGGTGCCTTTGAAGGTATGAGACGGGGCAATCTACGTGCTAAGTGTGTGAAGACAGCAGGGAAACGGTGTAGAGAGGATAAGAGAATGCCAACCTCATCTCTTGCTCTGTCATATGGTGGTGAAGAGGATGCTATGTGAAAGTGTAGAAGCAGAACCTACATTTCAGCAAGCAAGGGCTAGTGATCAAAGATTATGGAGTGAGGCGAGGCTACAGCTGAAGTGGGGGCCCAACTCAGGGTGCGTTGGCTGTGCTGGGAGCATGCATTCCTGTCTCTTGTCTACCTTCATGACCTACATGTTTGGCAGGCAGGAGTGGGGTGGAGTAAAGAAAAAATATTACTGTCTTTTTTTCTTGTGTTTTTTCTTTCTCCCTACAACTTGTAATTTTCTCTGCTCCTCAATGCATGCCAAAATAATTTATAATTTCATCTTGTACCACATTGGATGCCATAATAACCACGTTGTATTTCCACATGCTATTCTGTTATTATTTTAGAGGAAGCTGCCAGTATCACTTTAATTTCACTCTCCTCTAAGGCAGTTTTTACAGTCTAGCCACACTGCTATGCAACCATCCGCAATTAATAAAAATCAGATAGAGAGGCAACTTGAACGAAGCATGATAGTACGCCATATGCTACAGACACTCCTGAATTCCAGGAGACTTTACAACTTGGAATCTCAAGTTTTTGGACTCAAGATTTTGGAAATGTGTTCCTCAGGAAAAAAATGTTAATGTTGTCCATGAATCAGCATAGAGAGGCAGCTAAAAACGTGGGCTAAAGAATCAGACAGACTTGTGGTCAAGCAGTTCAGCTGGCAGCCAGGGAGCCTTAGGCAAGTCTCATGCCTTTTCTATGGCTTGGGTTTCTCATCTCCAGATGGAGATAGTATCTGCCTCACAATGTTGTTCAGGGGACTAAATGAGATAATGCATGCAAAGAACTCCACATAGTAATTGCTCAATAAATGTCACTACTTAAAAAAAACTTAATTATTTGTCTTATTTTGTTTTGTGAGTTTCTCCAGGAAAGGTGTTGGTAAATTGAAGTTTTATATATATGTTATATATCATATATATATAACATATATATAAAACATATATATAAAAGACATATATATATATATGTTTTCCTCTCCTAAGCAGCATTAAAATAAGAATAGTTCATTTTTAATTTTTTTCCTTACCAAACGTTCAGGAGGGTAACTGATATAATAAATGTTATTTCACAGGTGAGTAATTAAAGATAGTGAAAAAGTGGTAAATGAACTCCAAAGCTGTTATTTCCACTATGCCTGTTCCCTACCTCCCTTCCCAACCTCCTCACCACCACTCTGCTGCCTGCTTTTCAATTGCTGTCATGGCTGTCATGGCCGCCCTCGGCTTACATGTTTTAACACACAACTCTTTTTTTCTTTCTTTCTTTTTTTTTTTTTTTTTTTGAGACAGAGTCTCACACTCTGTCGCCCAGGCTGGAGTGCAATGGTGCGATCTCGACTCACTGCAACCTCCGCCTCCCAGGTTCAAGTGATTCTCCTGCCTCAGCCTCTCGAGTAGCTGGGACTACAGGAGTGTGCCACCAAGCCCGGCTAATTTTTTGTATTTTTAGTAGAGACGGGGTTTAACCATGTTAGCCAGGATGGTCTTGATCTCCTGACCTCATGATCCACCCACCTCAGTCTCTCAAAGTGCTAGGATTACAGGCGTGAGCCACTGCGCCTGGCCCACATAACTCTTATATGAAACATACATATTCATGTGTAAAAATATATTCTATCATGTACACTGAAAATACAGATGAATGCTACATGCATATTAGCTTTGGCTATAATGAAGCCATAATATGAACTCTTTATAGTAAGCTCATTATTCATAATTAATTGAGGTGTACAAACTGCCATTTTTAAATCAAAGTTCTTTCATGTTTTTATCCTTGCCAATTTTAGATTATACACAAGAAAAAATACTTGAATGCTTAAAAATACGTAGCTCTTCTACTTTTAATTAAGTCCAAATGCAATCCTAGCAAAGTGAACCAGGAGGTATTTTGGCTTAACTTCTACATGGAACACTCCTGAACTCTAAGCAGAAGGAATTATGGTAAAGTAGAGGACATAAATCCAAATGAGGAAGCCTAAAAGATGCATTTGTTAAGTGGGCGGACATTTCTTAAAACAGACTTTTCTTAGAACTATATCTTGGTCTTCCACGTTCTACTGATCGCTGCCGAAAACAACACTGAGTACAGCTTGAGTTGCCTTACCCACAGATTAGAAATCTGTTGACGTATGGAAAATAAAGACATCGGGACAAAATGAACAGAATCAGCATATCTTGGTGAAGCGCGGACACCGCATACTTACTACTGCACTCAGGCATCTGGCAAGATCTTACAAGAGGGAGCCCTGGTAGATCCCTGCACATCATCTCACTGAGGGGGATGCGCCGACCTTTGGCTGCCAGCCTTTGACACACCTGCTTTCTTCTCTGGATTCCAACACCACAACTGACAGAACACTGAAATGAGAGTTGTGCAACAGAGTCAAATGGAGCATGAGCAGGCAGACCCAGCCAACAACAGCAAAGTCTCCAAGGGTGAAACAAGAGGAAATTTTCAGTACGGATGTGCCAAGAAGAAAGCCATTTCCTAGGCTTGAACATCTTTTATGTCATGGAGAGTTTCTTCCTCCTCTCCTCCCCTTCCCTCCCCTCCCTTCTCTTCCTTTCTTTCTTTCTCTTTTTCCTTCAGTCATGTCCTCTCTACCGCCCTCCCCCTCCTTCCATCTCACTCTTTCTTTTGGAGATAGTAATTTCCAGTAATTTATTATCGTGGGATTTTTTTGGCATTGCAATTAATATCTAATTTATTTTTTAGCCATTCATTTTTTATTTTCATTTTTAAAATTTGACCCTTTTAATAGTTTTGTTGAGGTATAATTGATATACAAAGAACTACACATGTCTAATGTGTACAATGTGATGGGTTTGGGCTTAATGCAAACACCATATGACACCATTACCACAATCGGAGTAACAGACATATCCAACACTTTCCGAAGTTCCCTTTTGTTTTTTGTTGCCTGTTTGTTTTGTTTTGTTTATTTATGACTAGAACACTTCACATAAGATCTACCTTCTTAATAAATTTTGAATTGCACACTATCTATTGTTAACTGTGCCTATAGGCACTATGTTTTTCCGCAGATCTCTAGAACTTATTCAGCTAGTATAATTGAAACTTTATAACCATTTAACAACTCCCCATTTTCCCCATTCCCCCAGTATGGGGAAACCACTATTGTATTCTATGCTTCTATGAGTTTGACAATTTTAGATACCTTATGTAATGGAATCATGCAACATTTGTTTTTCCCTAACTGGCTTATTTCACTTAGCATAATGTCCTCTAGGTTCATCCATCTTGCAACAAATGGCAGAGTTTCCTACATTTTTAAGGCTGTAAAATATTTCATTGTATGTATATACAGTACCATATTTTCTTTATCCATTCATCTGCCTATGGGCATGTCCATTGTTTGTTTGTTTGTTTTTTGAGATGGATTCTTGCTCTGTCACCCAGGCTAGATAGAGTGCAGTGGCATGATCTCAGCTCACTGGAATCTCTGCCTCTCAGATTCAAGCGATTCTCCTGCCTCAGCCTCCCAAGTAGCTGGGATTTCAGGCGCCCACCACTGCACCCTGCTACTTTTTGTATTTTTAGTAGAGATGGGGTTTTATCATCTTGGCCAGGCTGGTCTCAAACTCCTGACCTCGTGATCCACCTGCCTCGGCCTCCCAAAGTGCTGGGATTATAGGCGTGAGAAGCCACGGCCGGCCTTTTTAAAATTATTATACTTTAAGTTCTGGGATACATGTGTAGAATGTGCAGGTTTGTTATACAGGTCCACATGTGCCATGGTGGTTTGCTGCACCCATCAACCCGTCATCTACATTAGGTATTTCTTCTAATGCTATCCCTTCCCTAGCCCCCCACCCCCTGACAGGCCCCAGTGTGTGATGTTCCCCTTCCTGCGTCCATGTGTTCTCATTGTTCAACTCCCACTTAAGAGTGAGAACGTGCAGTGTTTGGTTTTCTGTTCCTGTGTTAGTTTGCTGAGAATGATGGTCTCCAGTTCCATCCATGTCCCGACAAAGGACATGAACTCATCCTTTTTTGTGGCTGCATAGTACTCCATGGTGTTCCACATTTTCTTTATCCAGTCTATTATTGATGGGCATTTGGGTTGGTTCCAAGTCTTTGCTATTGTGAACAGTGTTGCAATAAACATATGTGTGCATGTGTCATAGTAGAATGATTTCCAATCCTTTGGGTATATACCCAGTTATGGGATTGCTGGATCAAATGGTATTTCTGATTCTAGATCCTTGAGGAATTGCCACACTGACTTCCACAATGGTTGAACTAATTTACACTCCCACCAACAGTGTAAAAGCATTCCTATTTCTCCATATCCTCTCCAGCATCTGTTGTTTCCTGGCTTCTTAATGATCGCCATTCTAACTGGTGTGAGATGGTATCTCATTGTGGTTTTGATTTGCATTTCTCTAATGAGCTTTTTTCCATATGTTTGTTGGCCGCATAAATGTCTCCTTTGGAGAAGTATCTGTTCATATCCTTCACCCACTTTTTGATGGGGTTTTTTCTTGTAAATTTGTTTAAGTTCCTTGTAGATTCTGGATATTAGCCCTTTGACAGATGGATAGATTGCAAAATTTTTCTCCCATTCTGTAGGTTGCCTGTTAGTCTGATGATAGTTTCTTTTGCTGTGCAGAAGCTCTTCAGTTTAATTAGATCCCATTTGTCAATTTTGGCTTTTGTTGCCATTGTTTTTGGTATTTTAGTCATGAAGTCTTTGCCCATGTCTATGTCCTGAATGGCACTGCCTAGTTTTTCTTATAGGGTTTTTATGGTTTTAGGTCTTATGTTTAAGTCTTTAATACATCTTGAGTTAATTTTTGTATAAGGTGTAAGGAAGGGGTCCAGTTTCAGTTTTCCGCATATGGATAGCCAGTTATCCCAATACCATTTATTAAATAGGGAATCTTTTCCCCATTGCTTGTTTCTGTCATGTTTGTCAAAGATCAGATGGTTGTAGATGTGTGGCATGATTTCTGAGGCCTCTGTTCTGTTCCATTGGTCTATATATCTGTTTTGGTACCAGTACCATACTGTTTTGGTTTCTGTAGCCTTGTAGTATAGTTTGAAGTCAGGTAGCATGATGCCTCCAGCTTTGTTCTTTTTGCTTAGGATTTTCTTGGCTATACAGGCTCTTTTTTGGTTCCATATGAAATTTAAAGTACTTTTTTCTAATTCTGTGAAGAAAGTCAAAGGTAGCTTGATGGAGATACCATTGAATCTATAAATTACTTTCAGCAGTATGGCCATTTTCACAATATTGATTCTTCATATCCATGAACATGGAATGTTTTTCCATTTGTTTGTGTCCTCTCTTATTTCCTTGAGCAGTGGTTTGTATGTAGTTCTCCTTGAAGAGGTCCTTCACATCCTTGTAAGCTGTATTCCTAGGTACTTTATTCTCTTTGTAGCAATTGTGAATGGGAGCTCACTCATGATTTGACTTTCTGTTTGTCTATTATTGTTGTATAGGAATGCTTGTGATTTTTGCACATTGATTTTGTATCCTGAGACTTTGCTGAAGTTGCTTATCAGCATAAGGAGATTTTGGGCTAAGATGATGGGGTTTTCTAAATATATAATTATGTCATCTGCAAACAGAGACAATTTGACTTCCTCTCTTCCTATTTGAATACCATTTATTACTTTCTCTTGCCTGGTTGCCCTGGCCAGAATTTCCAATACTATGTTAAATAAGAGTGGTGAGAGAGGGCATCCTTGTCCTGTGCCAGTTTTCAAAGGGAATGCTTCCAGCTTTTGCCCATTCAGTATATTGGCTGTGGGTTTGTCATAAATAGCTCTTATTATTTTGAGATACATTTCATCAATACCTAGTTTATTGAGAGTTTTTAGCATGAAGGGGTGTTGAATTTTATCAAAGGCCTTTTCTGCATCTATTGAGATAATCATGTGGTTTTTGTAATTGGTTCTGTTTATGTGATGGATTATGTTTATTGATTTTCGTATGTTGAACCAGCCTTGCATCCCAGGGAGGAAGCTGACTTGATCGTGGTGGATAATCTTTTTGATGTGCTGCTGGATTCAGTTTGCCAATATTTTATTGAAGATTTTCGCATTGATGTTCATCAGGGATATTGGCCTGAAATTTTCTTTTTTTTTGTTGTGTTTCTGCCAGGTTTTGGTATCAGGATGATGCTGTCCTCATAAAATGAGTTAGGGAGGAGTCCTTCTTTTTCTATTGTTTGGAATAGTTTCAGAAGGAATGGTACCAAGCTCCTCTTTGTACCTCTGGTGGAATTCAGCTGTGAATCTGTCTGATCCTGGGCTTTTTGTGGTTGGTAGGCTATTAATTACTGTCTCAATTTCAGAACTTGTTATTGGTCTATTCAGGAATTTGACTTCTTCCTGGTTTAGTCTTGGGAGGGTGTATGTGTCCAGGAATTTATCCATTTCTTCTAAATTTTCTAGCTTATTTGCGTAGAGGTGTTTATAGTATTCTCTGATGATAGTTTGTATTTCTGTGGGATCAATGGTGATTTTATCATTTTTTATTGTGTCTATTTGATTGTGTCCTCTTTTCTTCTTTATTAGTCTGGCTAGCTGTCTATGTATTTTGCGAATCTTTTCAAAATACCAGCTCTGGGATTCATTGATATTTTTGAAGAGTTTTTCATGTCTCTATCTCTCTCAGTTCTGCTCTGATCTTAGTTATTTCTTGTCTTCTGCTAGCTTTTGAATTTGTTTGCTCTTGCTTCTCTAGTTCTTTTAATTGTGATGTTAGGGTGTCAATTTTAGACTTTTCTGCTTTCTCCTATGGCCATTTAGTGCTATAAATTTCTCTCTAAACACTGCTTTAGCTGTGTCCCAGAGATTCTGGTACATTGTGTCTTTGTTCTTATTGGTTTCAAATAACGTATTTATTTCTGCCTTAATTTTGTTATTCACCCAGTAGTCATTCAGGAGCAGGTTCTTCAGTTTCCATGTAGTTGTGCAGTTTTGAGTGAGTGTCTTAATCGTGAGTTCTAATTTGACTGCACTGTGGTCTGAGAGACTGTTTGTTAAAATTTCCACTCTTTTGTATTTGCTGAGGAGTGTTTTACTTCCAAGTATGTGGTCAATTTCAGAATAAGTGTGATATGGTGCTGAGAAGAATGTATATTCTGTTGATTTGGGGTGGAGAGTTCTGTAGACGTCTATTAGGTCCACTTGGTCCAGAGCTGAGTTCAAGTCCTGAATATCCTTGTTAATTTTCTGTCTGTTGATCTGTCTAATGTTGACAGTAGGGTGTTAAAGTCTCCCACTATTATTGTGTGGGAGTCCAAGTCTCTTTGTAGGTCTCTAAGAACTTGCTTTATGAATCTGGGTGCTCCTGTATTGGGTGCATGTATATTTAGGACAGTTAGCTCTTCTTGTTGCATTGATCTCTTTACCATTATGTAATACCCTTCTTTGTATTTTTTGATCTTTGTTGGTTTAAAGTCTGTTTTATCAGAGACTAGGACTGCAACCCCTGCTTTTTTTTTTTTTTTTTTTGCTTTCCATTTGCTTGGTAAATATTCCTCCATCCCTTTATTTTGAGCTTATGTGTGTCTTTGCACATGAGATGGGTCTCCTGAATACAGCACACCTATGGGTCTTAACTCTTGATCCAATTTGCCAGTCTCTGTCTTTTAATTGGGGCATTTAGCCCATTTACATTTAATGTTAACATTGTTATGTGTGAATTTAATCCTGTCATGATGATGCTAGCTGGTTATTTTGACTGTTAGTTGATGCAGTTTCTTCATAGTGTTGACAGTCTTTACAATTTGGTATGTTTTTGCAGTGGCTGGTACCGGTTGTTCCTTTCCATGTTTAGTGCTTCCTTCAGGAGCTCTTGTAAGGCAGGCCTGGTGGTGACAAAATCTCTCAGCATTTGCTTGCCTGTAAAGGATTTTATTTCTCCTTCGCTTATGAAGCTTAGGTTGGCTGGATATGAAATTCTGGGTTGAAAATTCTTTTCTTTAAGAATGTTGAATATTGGCCCCATTCTATTCTGGCTTGTAGGGTTTCTGCAGAGAGATCCACTGTTAGTCTGATGGGCTTCCCTTTGTGGGTAACCCAATCTTTCTCTCTGGCTGCCCTTAACATTTTTTCCTTCATTTCAATCATGGTAAATCTGACGATTATGTGTCTTGGGGTTGTTCTTCTAGAGGAGTATCTTTGTGGTATTCTCTGTATTTCCTGAATTTGAATGTTGGCCTTTCTTGCTATGTTGGAGAAGTTCTCCTTGATAATATCCTGAAGAGTGTTTTCCAACTTGGTTCCATTCTCCCCTCACTTTCAGGTACACCAAACAAACGTAGGTTTGGTCTTTCCACATAGTCCCATATTTCTTGGAGGCTTTGTTTTTTCCTTTTCATTCTTTTTTCTCTAATCTTCTCTTCATGCTTATTTCATTAAGTTCATCTTCAATCTCTGATATCCTTGTTCTGCTTGAGCAATTTGGCTATTGATACTTGTGTATGCTTCATGAAGTTCTCGTGCTGTTTTTTTCAGCTCCATTAGGTCATTTTTGTTCTTCTCTAAACTGGTTATTCTAGTTAGCAATTCCTCTAACCCTTTTTCAAGGTTCTTAGCTTCCTTGCATTGGGTTAGAACATGCTCCTTTAACTTGGAGGAGTTTGTTATTACTGACCTTCTGAAGCCTACTTCTGTCAATTTGTCAAATTCCTTCTCTGTCCAGTTTTGTTCCCTTGCTGGCAAGGAGTTGTGACACTTTGCAGGTGAAGAGGTGTTCTGGTTTTTGGAATTTTCAGCCTTTTTGTGCTGGTTTTTCCACATCTTTGTGAATTTATCTACCTCTGGTCTTTGATGGTCTTTTGATGACCTTCAAGTGGGGTTTCCGGGGTTTCTGTGTGGACATCCTTTTTGTTGATGTTGATGTTATTCCTCTCTGTTTGTTAATTTTCCTTCTAATAGTCAGGCTCCTCTGCTGCAGGTCTGCTGGAGTTTGCTGGATGTCCACTCCAGGCCTGGTTTGCCTGAGTATCACCAGCAGATGCTGCAGAACAGCAAAGATTGCTGCCTGTTCCTTCCTCTGGAAGCTTCATCCCAGAGGGGCACCTGCCAGATGCCAGCCAGAACTCTCCTGTATGAAGTGTCTGTCAGCCCCTACTGAGAGGTGTCTCCCCATCAGGAGGTGCAGGGGTCAGGGACCCACTTGAGGAGACAGTCTATCCCTTAGCAGAGCTTGAGCACTGTGCTGGGAGATCTGCTGCTCTCTTCAGAGCCAGCAGGCAGGAACATTTAAGTCTGCTGAAGCTGCACCCACAGCTGCCCCTTCCCCCAGGTACTCTGTCCCAGGGAGATGGGAGTTTTATCTATAAGACCCTGACTGTGGCTGCTGCCTTGCTTTCAGAGATGCCCTGCCAGAAGGGAGGAATCTAGAGAAGCAGTCTGGCTACAGTGGCTTTGCCAAGCTGTGGTGGGCTCCACCCAGTTTGAACTTCCCAGAGGCTTTGTTTACACTGTGAGGGGTAAGCTGCCTACTCAAGCCTCAGTAATGGTGGACGCCCCTTCCCCCACCAAGCTGGAGCATCCCAGGTCAACTTCGCACTGCTGTACTGGCAGCGAGAATTTCAAGCCAGTAGATCTTAGCTTGCTGGGCTCTGTGGGGGTGGGATCTGCTGAGCTAGGCCTGGCTTCAGCCCCCTTTCCAGGGAAGTGAACGGTTCTGTCTCACTGGTGTTACAGGCACCACTGAGGTATGAAAAAAACCTCCTGCAGCTAGCTTGATGTCTGCCCAAATGGCTGTCCAGTTTCGTGCTTGAAACCCATGGGCCCTGGTGGTGTAGGCACCCGGGGGAATCTCCTGGTTTGTGGGTTGTAAAGACCATGGGAAAAGTGTAGTACCTGGGCTAGATTGCACCATTCCTCACAGCACAGTCCCTCACGGCTTCCCTTGGCTAGGGGAGGGAGTTCCCTGACCTCTTGCACTTCCCAGGTAAGGAGACACCCCACCATGCTTCAGCTGGCCCTCCATGGGCTGCACCCTCTGTCTAACCAGTCCCAATGAGATGAGCCAGTACCTCTGTTGGACATACAGAAATCACCTGCCTTCTGTGTTGATCTCACTGGGAGCTGCAGACCAGAGCTGTTCCTATTTGGCCATCTTGCCAGCCATGGCTGATTTTGATTTTATGATACTCATTACCAAGTATCCAAGAAATACAAATGTATAAAAAGGAAAGTTTTTAAAAAATCACCCAAACTGCCATATATAGAGTAACATGAATAGTAATAATCAGTGTGTATACATGCAATTTCAACTTAAAAATTTAATGCAATTTTATTAGATATATTAGAAAAAAAGACATTAAAGTAAAATTAGAGTTGTTGAATGTTTGATATTTTTTAAACCATGATTAATTCCCGAAAGAACACTCTAAAGTTAATAAAGAAGATTAAATAAACCAACAAGAGATTTGGATAGTTATTTTTAATGACAATTTGACTTAGGAGAGTATTTATTGACTTGCTACTAAGAAGGATGAGGAAATAAGCACACTTACATTTCCTCTACTGTATTAGTCCAATCTTATGTTGTTAATAAAGACATACCCAAGACTGGGTAAGTTATAAAGGAAAGAGGTTTAATAGACTCAGTTCCACGTGGCTAGGGAAGCCTCACAATCATGGCAGAAGACAAAGGAAGGGCAAAGGGACGTCTTACATGGCAGCAGGCAAGAGAGAATGAGAGCCAAGCGAAAAGGGAAACCCCTTATAAAACCATCAGATCTCGTGAGACTCATTTACCACCACGAGAACAGTATGAGGGAAACTGCCCCCATGATTCAATTATCTCCAACTGAGTCCCTCCCACAACACATGGGAATTATGGGAACTACAATTCAAGATGAGATTTGGGTGGGGACACAGCCAAACTATATCATCTACCTCATCTCTCCAAATCTCAATTAGTTTTCATTTTATTATTTAGATAATGTCAAGATTTCTGATATTTATGTTATGTTCTATAATATAATTGTTAGTTGATTAGTCTTAATCCTACACAAATGAATTTATTACTCATCTCCCACCTTTTTTACCAGGATCTATGCATTCCTGGATTCTCTGTTTTGAGTCATCTCTGTATCTCATCTTGGCCCTACAGCTTTTTCAAGGGCTTATCAGACAGTATTCTCTGACTGCCTCTCTGCTGTCTCTCTACATGAAGAACACAGGATGAAGAGGAAATCCTTGAGTCATGCTTGCTTTTCTTTAGAATTGTGTAGATCCTGCTCCATTGTCCTCTTGCATTGAATGCTCCTATGAAGATGAGAATTTTTAGTTTATTTGGTTGACTTTCTGTTCAAAGGGGGTTTTGCTTTATCCACGAGGTTCAGCATCTTACACAGGCTTAGTGGCGCATGCTGTGCTATTATGACTTGCAGATAAAAGCTTTTATTAAAGGGAATTAATTCCCCTTATTTTGTCTCTGAATACTTTTCTGTTCCATGTGTTTTGTTCTTCTCAACAAATACCAATTGTGTTTATGTTTGATCTCCTTTGTCCGTCTTCCATATCCCTTATGGCCACTAAAAACCAATTTTACATCTTTGTTCTTTTCCATATAATTTTATATGACTTATTCCAGTCTGTATCCCATCTCCCTTTATTTCCAGTCATTTCCTTTATTTTCTTAAGTTGTTGCTTGTAATGTAAGTTTTGTGTTTGCTATTTTTGTATCTGCCATTTAAAAATTTTTCTTTTTTCCTGACTGTTGCAGTTGTCTTTCCATCTCCTTCTGTTGTCTTATAGTCTCTTTTTTGAACTCAAACCTCACTTTAAAGCCACTTTTTCCCTAGACATCAAGACTATAACTTCCTTGGAAGTATAGAACCTATCTGTCTCAACTTTTCTCTGGGGAAAATCTTATGTTATCCATGTGACTCTTGCTTTATGCTCCATTCCCCCATCCCATGACTTCCTCCCTCCCTTTTGATTTTTCCCCCTAGTTTTGGTGCATAGATATTATGCTGGTGCTTTGAATACAGCTGGCTGTTTGTGAGTAACACGGGTGGGAGAAACGAGCTAGGAGACTTTACATCCATTTGTTGTCTTCAACATTCTGTCACCAAATCTCTTATTTCCTCTACCCACATCTCCTTTCAGATTTTCGAATTTGAATAGTTGATGAGACAAATAAAAGAGCCTCTTAAATAACTGGCTTACTGTGTAATAATCCAACAATTGCTGCCCCTCCCCCCTCCTTCTTTCATACCACTTCATCTCTGGCAGCCTTCCTTGGCAAGGAGGCATAAAAATATGCCTTCTCCCTCAGCTATGTCTCCCATCATGGTTCTGCAAGGGACATCCTCAGTTTTTTTTCCGAGGTACTTCATGATCCAGGATCTAGTCTCTGTCATCAAAGAACTAGAACAGGCCTTTCAGGACTGCCACATTTACTCCTAGGGAAATCTATACCCTGCTCGGCG
Source organism: Homo sapiens (assembly GCF_000001405.40). NCBI lineage: Eukaryota > Metazoa > Chordata > Mammalia > Primates > Hominidae > Homo > Homo sapiens. The sequence goes on along the minus strand of NC_000015.10, from coordinate 83,960,403 downwards.
CCTGAGGAAATATTTGTCAGCTCTCAGCCTTCCCCCTCATTCTGGTCCAGATTTTATGGTCTTTGGCAGGTGTGTTTCTTAATTTATAGTTTGGGATTGTGGCCATTTCATTGTTCATTGAAGACACAGTGTTCCTTCTCTTTCATTCTTTTAGTGGGTTTTTTGTTGGGTTTCAAAGGAGGAAAATGGAATTTTTAAAAATGCCTTTAGTGACATCTTTTAACAGAAAGCCCTAATTATTATTATTTTTCAGTATAGACAAAAGCTTTTTGTAAGCTTTTGAATAAATATTTTTAAATTACCATTACCATATTATCACTTTTTTAACAAGTCAAAACATCATCTAGGAGTTTCTCACATAATAAAAATGAATGTCAGCTTTTTATTAAACTACTATGTGAGTTACTTTTGTTCATATAAAAGTGGTTAAATAACTGCCAATGGCTACTCAGAAGACATTTTTAATGATACATATTTGACTTTTTCTCCCCATCCTGAATGGAAGGATGGTTTGTAAACCCTTTTTTCTGGAGCAAAGTCTTCTGTGACTGTGTGTCTGCTAAGTTAAAGTAAGCATGCCATCAGAGAATGTCCACAACTCACAGAGAGAGGAGATGTCATAATCAGTGCCATTAATTATCATTCACAAAGCAGCAACTTTATGCCAAAGCTTGTCATGGTTTCCTCTATAGACATCTCGTGGATTCCTCAGGAATTGCTCATGGGAACAATATAGATTGAGTTCTTGCATCTTCAAAACTATTTGCCTGTGGCCTTTAAACTTGAAAGTCAGTTTGGCAGGATATAAAATCTTTGGCTCACACTTTCTTTCCTTCAGTATCTTAAATATGTGGCTCCACTGTTTTCTAGTATGAAGTGGTATTGTTGAGAAGTCTAGCGTCAGTTTGATTTTCTTTCCCTAATAAATGACTTGATTCTTTTGCATAGATGCACAAATATATTTTTATCTTTTAGTAGAATATGTCCTTTTTTTGAGATGGATTCTTGCTCTGTTGGCACAATCTCAGCTCATTGCAAACTCTGCCTCCTGGGTTCAAGTGATTCTCCTGCCTCAGCCTCCCGAGTAACTGAGATTACAGGAGTGTGCCATTAAGCCCAGCTAATTTTTGTATATTTTTTAGTACAGACAGGGTTTCACCATGTTGGCCAGGCTGGTCTTGAACTCCTGGCCTCAAGTGATCCACCCACCTTGGCCTCCCAAAGTGTTGGGATTACAGGCTTGAGCCACTGCACCCAGCTGAGTATGTCTTGATATTGACCATTCTGGGTCAGTTTTCCCAGGTATATAGAGTGCCCTTTCAATATGGCAATTTGAGCCATTAAGTTTTGTTCTGTTATGATTTTTGGTGGTTTTCTTTTCCTGGGACTCTATATTCATTGAATTTTATTTCCTTGTCTTTTATATATATTATCTGCACTTGAATCTTTTTTTATTTCTCTTTGATTCTTGTCATTTCCCTCCTTTTATTTTGCTTATTACACTTTCTCTGCCCAGTCATTCTTGAGTTTCTTCTAGTGTTTAGTCTACATTCTGAGAAATTTACCCTTAGTTTTAAAAATTCTTTTCTAAACCGTCAGCTATCATTTTACATTCTCCTGTTATTTATTCATCTCATTTCTTGAATTTTCTATTTCTGATTTGTTTCTACAGTTTTCTTTTTGTTTCTCTTAGCTCATTTTGTAACACTGAGTATATTTTCATCTGTTTAAAGGCCAAATTTTCATTATGTTGGTATGCTATTGATACTTTTATCTTACTGTATCTTTTTGGAGGTTTGCAGATGTTCTTATTAAATGAATTAGATTGTTTTCTGTACTTTTAGGGAAAGAGAGTGTAAGCAGGAGGGAATATTTCAGGATAGTTATCTTCACTGTTAAGAGCTTCCTCCTCTGGTGTTAAAAGGAAGTATTATATGCAACAATTTGGCCACAATTCTGGGATTTGTATCTCTGGACTCCCCAACTCCCAAGGATCTGAACATCTCTTTCCTTTACCTCTTGTGTTCCTTCTCCACTTGGATTATAATTCTGACAACTTTTCTTGGGCACTTCTTAAGCCCTTTAGTGGTTCTGCACAATCTTTCTTGCATCCAATCACACTCTGGAACCAATCACACTCTGGAGTCCTTCCTCAATTTGGCTGATTGGTCTCAGACCTATTTGCTGAGGGTTCTACTCAGAGTAGGATCATTTTCTTGTCATGCTATTTATTCGTGACATCTGTGTTCCACAACTCTTGGCCCTGTCTCTCCTCTTTTTTATCGCTGCCCAGCTGCTAATTCTGCCATTTCTGAACAGTGTCTGCACTGTGTGGTTTGGCCTCACCTACTTATATTACTTTTGTTAAAATTACCTCTGTTGTTTTTCCTTTCCTTCTGCATTCCTAATTGCTCTGCTTTTTGTTTTTTAATGAGGGATTTGGGAATAGTAACTATGCTACTACCATGATTTTGCTTCACTAGAAGCCTTCAAATAATTTTTAAAGGGACTACTGTCAATAATATACTTTTAGATATCATGGTAGTCATCTTCCATGGTTTCAACTACCACATATGTGTTGATGATTCACGCAATTATAACTTTAATGTAGATCTTTTCTGAGCTGTAATTCTTTACTGATACCTTTATAGACTCTCAAACTACATGTATGTCTAAAATAAGCCATTTTTCTCTCCCTTTCAAGTCACTTTCTGAATATGCTTCTTCTTTCTAATTAATTTTAAAATTAATGTCGTCTCATTCATTAGCTTCCCAGGACAAAAATACAAAACACTCCTCTTTTTTGCTCATGTCCTGTCAATTCAATTGCCAAATATGTCAGTTAAATCTCCTACATATTGTTCAAAACCACTTACTACTCTCTATCCCAACTGCTTCTTCATTCTCTCTTGTTGATTTTATTCCAATCACCATCTAACAAGGTTTTTCAAGCTTCAATTCCTTCTTCCTCTAATACCTTATCCATAGTGCAGCCAGAATTATATGTCTAAAACCTTACATTTTACTTCCCCATTCAAACACCTTCCAACATGCTCTCAATGACTGTAGGGATAAATCCAATACCCTAAAGCCTTCACAATCCAGCTGTAATCTCTCCTTTCCATCTCACCTACCAGCACTTACTCAGTGCATCCTGTTCTCAAGCCACACAAGACTGATAAACTCTCCCAAATCTGTGCCTTTATATACACGCTTGTCACTCTAGAACACCCCTCTGTCTCATTTCCACACAGTTTGCACTCATCTCTTAAGACGCAACTCCAAAGCTGCATCTTATGCAACACTTTCCAGTGACCCAGGCAGACTTAAACGTTTCCCTTCAATTTTCACGTAGCTCTGTAGACAGAACACCTTTATTGGGCATTTTTTACATGGTTGTAAATGTCATTTCTTCTGCCTGCCTTTTTAAACAGTGAGCTCACTGAAAACTATTCTTAGTTGTCTCTGGTTCCTGGTGCCTAGGGTAATCAACATAGCAATGCTCAGTAAATGTTGATTAAATGAGTGAGTTTGTAAGGCTATGGAAATAGGCCTATTTAGAGTAGAAGAAGCTTTTATAAATCTTTATACTTCAGCCAAAAAGTGTTTACCAAGCACCAAGTGGGATACAAACATGTGCAGAAATGGGTCTTCCCCTCTGGCAGTTACTTTGGGTCAGGAAAATAAAGTGTATTCAGGTTATGTGTGTGTGTGTGTGTGTGTGCCTGTGCGGTGTGTGTGTGTAACTTAAAACACATGGAACAGATAGAACTACATGAATTTGAATCCACTGGGCATATTTTGGATGGGTCATAATATAAGAGTAAACTGTCAGATTCAGTCTAAAAAGACACTATTATTCCAGTAGAAGAGTGCTTAGCAAAAAGGGCAGAGCAAGATGGCAGAATAGAAGGCTACATTGATCATCCCCCTACTCCCACTACCACAGGAAAACTAAATTTAAACAATTATCTGTGAACAAAAAAGCACCTTCATAAGAACTAAAAATTGGGTGAGCCATCACAGTACTTGTTTTTAATTTCTTATCACTGAAAGAGGCACTGAAGAAGGCAGAAAAGATGGCCTTAAATCACCAACACCACCCCTTCCCCATTCCCTGGCAGTGGCTGCATGGCACGGAGAGAGAATCTGTGCACTTCAGGGAGGGAGAGCACAGCAACTGGGGGACTTTGCATTGAACTCAGTGCTGCCCTGTCACAGTGGGAAGTGAAACCATGTTGAACTCAGCTGATACCCACAGAGACAGCATTTGGACCAGCCCTAGCCAGAGGGGAAGTGCCTATTCCAGTGGCCGGAGCCTGAGTTTCAGCAGTCTCACCACCATGGGCTAAGGTGCTGTGGGGTCCTAAGTGAACTTGAAAGGCAGTCTAGGAAGGACTCAGATTCTTAGGCAAGTCTGATGGTGTTCTGGGGTTAGAGCCAGTGGACTGGGGCAGTGTGTGACCTAGTGACACACCAGATGGGGCAGCTGGGGAAGTACCTGCACTACCCCTCCCTCAACCCCAAGCAGCACAGCTTGTAGCAATGAAAGCAACTCCTTCCTTCTGCTTGAGGAGAGGAGAGAGACCAGTCAAGAGGACTTTGTACTTTGTCTTGCATCTTGGATACAAGCTCAGCCACAGACAGTGCACTGGGCAGAGTCGTGAAGCCCCCATGCCAGGTCCTAGCTCCTGGGTGACATTTCTAGACACACCCTGGGCCAGAAGGGAACCCACTGCCTTGAAGAGAAAGACCAAGTCCTGGCAGCATTAATTATCTGCTAACTAAAGAGCCCTTGGGCCCTGAATAACCAAAAGTGATATCCAGGTAGTATGCCATGGGCCTTGGATGAGACTTTGAGATATGCTGGCTTCGGGTAACAGCTCAGCACAGTGGATAGAGTATCTAGTGGGCTTCAGGGGTCCCTGAGTTCAGGCCTAGGCTTTCGGACAGCATTTCTGCACCTTCCCTGGGCCAGAGGTGGGAGCCTACTACCCTGAAGGGTGAATCCCAGGTTTGGCAGCATTCACAAGCTGGCTGAAGAGCCCCTAGGCATTAAGTGATCAGCAATGGTAGCCTGGCAGAACTCTCTACGGACTGCTGATGATGATGGCCATGGGGAGAGCTCCTCTGCCTGTGGAAAGGGGAGGGAAGAGGGGGAAGGATTTTGTTGTATGGTTTCAGTGGCAGCTTAGCCACAGGGTAATAGAATACCAGGTAGATTTCTAAGGTTTTTGACTTAAATCCCTGGCTCTCAGAAAGTATCTCTGGACATGCCCAGGGCCTGAAAGAACTTGCCTCCCTGAAGGGAAGAACATAAGCCTGAAGGGAAGGACATAAGCCTGGATGGCTTCAACTCTTGCTGACTGTAGCCCTAGGGCCTTGAGTGAACATAGGCAGTAACCAGATAGTGGCTGCAGTGGGTCTTGGGTGAAACCCAGTGCTATTCTGGCTTCAGGTCTGACCCAGGGCAGTTCCAGTGTTGGTGGCCATAGGGGTGCTTGCATCACCCCAATCCCAGCTCCAGGTGGCTCAGCAGAGAGAGAGAGAGAGACAGAGACAGAGGCAGAGAGATGCTGTTTGTTTGGGAGAAAGTAAAGGAAGAGAACAAGAGTCTCTTCCTGGTAATCCAGAGAATGCTTCTGGATCTTATCCAAGACCACCAAAGTGATATCTCTATGAGTGTGCATGAAGCACAGTGTTACTGGGCTTGGGGCCCAAGTCCCTTTGAATACTTGGAAAGGCTTCCCAAGAAGGACAGGCATAGACTGTAAAGCCCAGATTGTGAAGACTACAATAAATACATAATTATTCAATGCCCAGACACCAAAGGACATCTACAGGAAAACATGACTTCACCAAATGAACTACATCAGGCACCAGGGACCAATCCTGGAGTGACAGAGATACATGACAGAGAATTCAAAATAGCCATTTTGAGGAAACTCAAACAAATTCAAGACAATATAGAAAAGGAATTCAGAATTCTATCAGATAAATTTAACAAAGAGATTAATTTTTAAAATCAAGCAGAAATTCTAGATTTAAAAAATACAATTGACATACTGAAGAATGTATCAGAGTCTCTTGGCAGCAGAACTGATCAACCAGAAGAAAGAACTGGTGAGCCTGAAAACAGGGTATTTTAAAATACAGTTAGAGGAGACAAAAGAAAAAAGAATAAAAAATAATGAAGCATGCCTACAAGATTTAGAAAATAACCCTGAAGGGGCAAATCTAAGAGTTATTAGTCTTAAAGGGGAGGTAGAGAAAGCGATAGGGGTAGAAAAATTATTCAAAGGGATATCAGAGAACTTCCCAAACCTAGAGAAAGATATTAACATTCAAGTGCAAGAAGGTTATATAATACCAAGCATACTTAGTGCAAAGAGGACTACCTCAAGGAATTTAATAGTCAAACTCCCAAAGGTCAAGGGTAAATACCATAAAAGCAAAAAGAGAAAAGAAACAAATAACACACAATGGGGTTCTAATAAGTCTGGAAACAGACTTTTCAGTGGAAACCTTAAAGGCCAGGAGAGAGTGGCATGACATATTTAAAGTGCTGAAGGAACAAAACTTTTACCCTAGAATAGTATATCCAGTGAAAATATCCTTCAAGCATTAAGGAGAAATAAAGGTCTTCCCAGACAAACAAAAGCTGAGGGATTTTATTAACACCAGACCTGTCCTATAAGAAATGCTAAAGGGAGCTCTTCAGTCTGAAATAAAAGGATATTAATAAGCAAGAAGAAATCACCTGAAGGTACAAAACTCACTGGTAATAGTAAGTACACAGAAAATCATGGAATATTATAACACTGTGATTGTGGTGTCAAAACTAATCTTAAGTAGAAAGTCTAAATGATGAACCAATCAAAAAATAATAAATACAACAACTTTCAAGCCAGGATAGCACAATAAAACATAAAGAGAAACAAAAAGTTAATAAGTGAGAGGACAAAGTAAAAGTATAGAGTTTTCATTAGTTTTCTTTTTGTGTGTTTGTTTACACAATGTGTTAAGTTGTCATCAGTTTAATATAATGGGATATAAGATAGTATGTGCAAGCCTCATGGTAATCTCAAATCAAAAACCATACGATGGATACAGAAAAAATAAAAAGCAAGAAATTAAGTCATACCACCAGAAAAAAATCACCTGTACTAAAAAGAAAACAGGAAGGAAGGAAAGAAGAAAGAGAAGACTGCAAAACAAACGGAAAACAAATAACAAAATGGCAGGAGAAAGTCCCTACTTATCAACAGTAACACTTAATGTAAATGGACTAAACTCCCCAATCAAAAGGCACAGAAAGGCTGAATGGATGAAAAAACAAGAGCCATTGATCTGTTGCCTACCTACAAGAAGCACATTTCACCTGTAAAGATACACATAGACTGAAAATAAAGGGATGGAGTTAGATGTTCCATGCCAACGGAACCCCAAAAACAGCAGTAGTGCTATGCTTATATCAGACAAAATAGATTTCAAGGCAAAAACTGTAAGAACAGGCAAAGAATGTCATTGTTTAATTTATAGAGGGGTCAGTTCAGCAAGGGGATATAACAATGTTTTTTTCTTTTTTTTTTTTTTTTGAGGTGGAATCTTACTCTGTCGCCCAGGCTGGAGTGCAGTGGCACGATCTTGGCTCACTACAACCACCACCTTCCAGGTTCAAGTGATTCTCTCGCCTCAACCTCCCAAGTAGCTGGGATTACAGGTGCTTGCTACCACGCCTGGCGGGATATGACAATTGTAAACATATATGCACTAAACACTGGAGCACTCAGATATATAAAACAAATATTATCAAAGCCATATAGAGATATAGGCCTCAATACAATGATAGCTTGAGTCTTCAACATCCCACTTTAAACACTGGACAGATCTTCCAGGCCGAAAACCAACAAAGAACCATCCAATTTAATCTACACTATAGGGCAATAGATACAGAACATTCCATTCAGTGGCTGCAGAATACACATTCTTCTCTTCAGCACATGGATTATTCTCAAAAACAGACCATATGTTCAGCCCTACAGAAGTCTTAAAACACTCAAAAAACTGAAATGACATCAAGCACCTTTTCTGACCACAATGGAATGAAATTAGAAATCAATAACAAGAGAAATTTTGGAAAATGTACAAATACACGGAATTTAAACAATATGCTCCTGAATGACAAGTGGGTCAATAAAGAAATTAAGAAGGAAATTGAAAATTTTCTTAAAACAAATGATAATGGAAGCACAACATACCAAAACCTATGAGATACAGTGAAAGCAACACTAAGAGGGACATTTATAGCTATAAATGCCTACATCAAAAAAGAAGAAAAACTTCAAGTAAACAACCTAACAATACATCTTAGCTAGAAAATCAAGAGCAAAACAACCCAAAATTAGTAGAAGAAATACGATACAAACGATCAATGAACCAAAAAGTTGGTTTTTTGAAAACATAAATAAAATCGACAAAACTCTTGCCAGACTAAGAAAACAAGAGAGAACACCCCAATAAATTAAATCAGAGATGGAAAAGAAGACATTAGAACTGATACTGCAAAATTCAAGGGATCATTAGTTGCTACTATGGCAATTACATATCAATAAATTAGAAAATTTAGAAGAAATGGCTAAATTCCTAGACACATACAACCTACCCAGATTGAACCATGAAAAAATCCAAAACCTGAACAGACCAATAACAAGCTAACAAGATCAAAGCCATAATAAAATGTCTCCCAGTAAAGAAAAGCCTGAGATCCAATGACTTCACTGATGGTTTCTACCAACATTTAAAGAACTAAGACCAATCTTACTCGAACTGTTCTGAAAGATAGTGGAGGATAGAATACTTCCAAACTCATTCTATCAGGCCAGTATTAATCTGATACCAAAACCAGACAAAAACACATCAAAAAGAGAAAAAGAAAACTACAGGGCCTGATGAACACTGATGCAAAAATTCTCAACAAAATATCAGCATAGTGATTTCAACAACACAGTAAAAGATCATTCATCATGACCAAGTGGGATTTATCCCAGGGATGCAAGGATGGCTTAACACATGCAAATCAATCAATGTAATACATCATATCAACAGAATGAAGAACAAAACCATATGATCATTTTAATTAATGCCAAACAAGCACGTGATAAAATTTAACATCCCTTCATGACAAAAATCCTAAAAAAAAGGAGTATAGAAGAAACATACCTCAACACAATGAAAGCCATGTATGACAGACCCACAGCTAGTATCATACTGAATGGGGAAAAACTGAAGGCTTTTCCTGTAATATCTGGAAAAAGACAAGGATGCTCACTTTCGCCACTGTTATTCAACATAGTCCTAGTAGTCCTAGTTAGAGGAATCAGGTGAAAAAAAAAAAAAAGAAAAGAAAAGAAATAAAGGGCATCCAAATTGGAAACGAAGAAGTCAAATTATCTCTGTTCCCAGATGATATGATCTTACATTTGGAAAAACCTAAAGACTCCACCAAAAAACTATTAGAACTGATAAACAAATTCAGTAAAGTTGCAGGATACAAAATTAACATACAAATATCAGTAGCATTTCTATAAGCCAACAGCGAACAATCAAAAAAATCAAGAAAGTAGTCCCATTTACAATAGCTACAAATAAAATGAAATACCAAGTAATCAACTTAACCAAAGAAGTGAGAGATCTCTATAATGAAAACTATAAAACATTGATGAAAGAAATTGAAGAGGACTATAAAAAATGGAAAGATATTCCATGTTCATGGGTTGGAAGAATCAATACTGTTGCAATGTCCATACTACCCAAAGCGATCTACAGATTCAATGCAATCCCTATCAAAATATCAATGACATTTTTCACAGAAATAAAAAAATCCTAAAATTTATAAAGAACAACAAAAGACCCAGAATAGCCCAAGCTATCCTGACTAAAAAGAACAAAACTGGAGGAATCACATTATCTGACTTCAAATTATACTACAGAGATAATAGTAACCAAAACAGCATAGTACTGGTATAAAAACAGACACATAGACCAATGGAACAGAGTAGAGATCCCAGAGATAAATCCATAGATCTACAGTGAACTCATTTTTGACAATGGTGCCAAGATCATACATTGGGGAAAGGACAATCTCTTCAATAAATGATGCTGGGAAAACTGGATATCCATATGCAGAAGAGTAAAACTAGACCCCTCTCTCTTAATATATACAAAAATCAAATCAAAATGGATTAAAGCCTTAAGTTTAAGACCTCAACTAAGAAACTGCTACAAGAAAACGTTGGGGAAACTTTTCAGGACACTGCTCTGGGCAAATATTTCTTGATTAATACCCCACGAGCACAGGCAAAGTAAAAATGGACAAATGGGATCACATGAAGTTAAAAAGCTTCTACACGGCAAATAAAACAATCAACAAAGTAGACACAACCCACAGAATTGGAGAAAATATCTGAAGATTACCCATCTGACAAAGGTTTAAGAACCAGAACATATAAGGGGCTCACACAACTCTATAGGAAAAAAAAATCTAATAATCCAGTTTAAAAATGGGAAAAGATCTGAATAGACATTTACCAAAGAAGACAAACAAAGGGCAAGCAGGCATATGACAAGGTGATCAACATCAATGATCACCAGAGAAATGCGAATCAGAACTACAATGAGATACCATCTCACTCCAGTTAAAATGGCTGTTATCTAAAAGACAGGCAATAACAAATGTTGGCAGGGATGTGGAGAAAAGGGAACCCTTGTACATTGTTGGTGGGAATGTTAATTAAAACAACTACTATGGAGAACAGTTTGGAGGTTCCTCAAAAAACTAAAAATAGAGCTACCATATGATCTAGAAATCTCACTCCTAGGTATATACCAAAAAGAAAGGAAAATCAGATACTAAAGAGCTATCTATAATCCCATGTATACCACAGCCGTATTCACAATAGCCAAGATATGGAAACAACCTAAGTGTCCGTCAGCAGACTAATGGATAAAGAAAAGGTGGTACATATACACAATGGAGTACTATTCAGCCATAAAAAAGAATGAGATCCTATCATCTGCAACAACATGGATGGAACTGAAGGTCATTATGTTAAGTTAAATAAGCCAGGCACAGAAAGACAAACATCACATGTTCTCACTTATTTGTGGGAGCTAAAAATTAAAATAATTGAACTCATGGAGATAGAGAGTAGAAGGATGGTTATCAAAGGCTGGGTAGGGTAGTTGGGCAGGGATGTGGGGATGGTTAATGAGTACAAAAAATAGTTAGAAAGAATCAGTAAGACCTAGTATTTGCTAGCACAACAGGGAGACTATATCCAAAAACAATTCAATTGCATTTTTAAAATAATTAAAATAATATAATTTGGATTGTTTATTATACAAAGGATAAATGCTTGAGGGGATGGATACCCCATTCTCCATTTTGTGATTCTTACACATTGCATAACTGTTTCAAAGTATCTCATGTACCCCATAAAATATATATTTACTATATACCCACAAAAATTAAAAATAAAAAAATTCAAAAAGAATTGTTATCTGCCTAGTGATTCATAATAAAAAACTCATAATTAATAACACATAATAAAAATGAGTAAAAGAAGAGTTTTATAATAAACCTTAAGAGCTGAACTGGTCTTTTATTCACAGAAAGAATATCTGAACATACAGTTAATGCATTTAGATCAACAACCTTCGATCAAGACCAAATTAAATCTGTAGGATAATGATTCATAGAATGTATCTTCACCCAGAGGTCTGATATTTCCTGGCCCCAAGAAACACCAGTTATGAAGATAAAGATAAAAAATGTCTTAAGGAAGCCCAACCAAGTTTCTTAGACTTTGTATCAAAGAGCTCAGAGATGGGAGCTTCTTGAGGGCACTTCCATCCTAAGCACCATCGATAAGCTGAAAGTGTTTCATTCATAACTCTGTGTGTGTGTGTGTGTGTGTGTGTGTGTGTGTGTAAATAAGCTTTTGTGCACTTGTGTGCTGGTAAATGTTTCAAAACATGTTCTTGGAGGAAATAGCCATGATGGTTTTGCCAGTTTCTGTGGTGTAAATACTCCCATCATGGCTGATTTCCAGCTATCAACCCTATGTGACTGAGCACAAGTTGGGATGAGATCATAAGTGGTTCTCACTGGCCAGTAAGAACTGACTTCAACACACTACTTCCTTCACGAGTTGTAATTCATAGTTCTATGGAAAATCGGGGAATGCCATATTTTAAAATCCATGTATCCTGGACATATCTTGGGTTGTTCTTTATAACATTTTTCAGTTATAGAGATATTTTCCTTTTTACTTAGCATATTAGATATATTAATAGTTCAAGAGTTGAAGAGTTGGCAGATACGAATAACAATATAGGAGGTGAAGAACTCAGAGATGATCATAAGTGTTGGAAGACAGTGGTACATGGACAGAGACAGGAAGTGGGGAGAACTGGTTGGGAGAGAGTGAAGAGGCTGTCCCTTTGCTTTCCCACGATGAGGATATAAACTAGATGGAGAGCTGGAGACGTGGTTAGAAGGTTAGAGACTTTCTGGAGATTGAAAATCATCCATGGGAGTTAAAGAATTCAGGACACAGAATCAACCACAGTGGAAAAGTGTAGCAATGGAAAAGGATCAAATATTGGGCTTTTTGAGATTTGGAAGAAGAGAAGCCAACAGAAAAGACATAGTCAGATAAGTAGAAAAAATAAAAACACCAAGAAACATGATGAAGGAAAAAGGTGAAGATAAACAAAATAATCAAATGTTCCATCAAAGTACAGAAAATAAAGGAGGCTATTTCAGCCAAGAGGTGGGACACAAAACAGGCTACAAGGGGTATGTGGATCACAGAAATTCACCATTTGGGAAGATTGCCTGATATGAGTCAATGCTCCTTTCTTATAACTTCAAAAGCAGTGTAAGAACTGAAGGCTCCTTTCTGCCTAAGGCTTGGTCCAGATCTAAGGAACCAAGGCAAACTCATAAGCCAATGAATGGACAGAGCTTAAACATATCATGAATAGAGCTAGTGTCGGGGAAGAGGAAGATTCTGGCTGCAAGCCAGAGGCCTGGCTCCGTGAAGAATGGAAATTCTGGCGTGGCTGCTCAGCCTTTCTGTGTCCAGGGTTAGTGGCCAGTTTCAACGTGGAAGGACCTTATCCAGAACCACAAAATGGATGGCTGCCCCCAAGTGAGCCATCCCATGGCAGAAGGACTAGTTTGGCAGGAAGCTTTAAGAAGGGTGGCAATTTGGTATCAGAGTCTCTGCCAAAAAAAAGCAACTCTGATGAGAAGAAATTTTAACTAACAGGAGAAAGCTCCATCCAGTAGAAAACTAAAATTTCTGTGCAACAGGTTGTGTGCCTGACTGCGCTCAAGCCTCACCAATGGCTTTTGGTGTCACAGGCTGAGGCTGCCTCTGTTTTCTTGTGCGTGTATATACGCTTGCCCTTCCTCCCAGATAGGGGCTTCCTAGATGTGAGGTCATGACTGGAAGCCAGAGTGTCTTGTTTGAGTTTGGGCTGACCTCTTGGAGCACAGAAGAGCTTGCTCTTTGCCCTGATGAATGGTTGCCTATGAAACTAAACAGCCTCCAGTCCAAACCAGCTCACATGGGTAGCCTCCTCTTAAGTTTCCTTTTCTTCTTTGTCTCAACAAAAACCCCTCCAATGAACGATCTGCCTCTCCTGTGTTAGCAGACCTGAGCTCTTCTAAAGATCACTATTTCAACACCACTTTGGATTTTCTCTGACTTTGCAAAGACTGTTGAGGAATAGTATTTACTTGCTTAGAGCTCTGAACAACTGGAGGACCTGTTGGCAATCCCATGGCCACTGGCCTCAAGGACAATATAAACCAGATGGGAAGACCATGTGGATGCTCAGGAAATAGCTACCATTGCAAAACAGTAAAAATTAGGGTCACTGTGATTTAAAAGTCGGAAATGCTGGGTGACTTTAGGAAGTGGAAAACTTCACAGAAGAGGAAAGCTCACAGTTGGACCAAGGATTTGAAAGCCACAAGAGCAAAGACACACAAGTGGGCCCACATAGATGTGCAATGGTGTTACTTTAGTGATACGCAACTGGCAACTGTAAATTCAGTTATTCACTGAGAGAGCGGACACGGAGGAAAGTGGTGATGTCACCACTAGCCTCCACTCTAAGACACCAGTGACAACCGTTTGTTCCACCAGGCAGGATATAACTGTGAAGGCCTGTTTGTTCTTAGAGGAAAGAAGCAAGGACAGAAGCAAAGTGGGGTATTTTAGAGCTTGGCAGTGGTTCTAGGTGCTCCCTCGCTGCATCCAGAAACAAGCTGTCTGGTTTCTCCTCCTCAATATCTGCCCCTTTGCTGTTCTTCCCTTTTCTTGCCTCCTCCCTTTAGGTTAGGGCAGCACTTGATCAAAGAAGTCACTACCCAGGGCCATTCCTACCTTGGACACATGTAAGGGCTAACTCACCCAAACAAGAATGAGAGGCAGGTAAGGAAACACTTCTCACACTGCAAGTGTATCATTACAACACCCAGGGATCTTGTTGAAATGCAGACTCTGATTCCTTAGGTCTGGGTGGGACTTGAGATTCCTCATTTCTTATAAGTTCCCTGCTGATGTCAATTTGACTAGTCCTTGGGCCACACTAAGTGTAGCAAGGAGAATCACGCATCACAATGCCAAGATTCTCCCCACAAAATTGTGGCCCTTCCTTCTGTCCCTAACTTTATGGAAACAGTAACTGGAACCTTCATCTCTCCTGACAATGGGGCAAGGTAAGACTTCACTCTTGGGGCTTAGCTGGGTGATGGAATAAATACTGCCTACACACTAGCCCACCCAGGCTACCCACCTCTCTAACACCTTTGCCCAGCCCCCACTGCCTGACCTAGTCTCAAAGGAATTCCCAAAAGAATGATTCTCCCTTGGGCCGTCTATTGTTCCTTGTGCAAGTAGGAGGAAAATTAAGCAAACCCACTTTTGCACACAAAGCTCTCCAGACAGACCTTCTACCTGTCCTTCCCACCCTCCTTTGGGGTGGTGGTCTCACCTGGATCAGTCCTTTCTCTTTGTTTAGGACCTGACTGCAGGAGGGACTCCTGTCCCTCAAGTCATTGACCTATAGTATGGCAACTTTCCGGGGAGAGCTGTGGCCACTGGCACTGTCTCCAGCTGCTTGTGAGTTGGATAGAGGAAGTGGGTATTGGTGGCTGGATCCTAGGGCAACTCCTGCTCTGTAGACCCTGGAGAGATGGGTTCATCTCTTTCCTTGGGCCTCTTCTGAGGTTTCAGGGAAAGTTTATGTAGACCTTCAGTGGCCTTGATTGAGGATAATGACCTGTAGGTTTTCAGTTAAGACAGTTTTAAAATACTAGCACTTAACAAAACTACACGGTTAAAACAGGAAAAATCCCAATCTGGATATATGTACAGAAATACTGTTAATCCAACCTACAGCCAGAAATGTGGACCTTCTATCAAGGGCAATGGGAAGAGCCTACTCTACTAGACATTGCCATGTCAAATATCTTATGTTATCCTCACAAGAACCATTGCATTTAGCGAAAGTAAACGGAAGCTCAGAGAGGTTAGGTGTATTTAACAAGGCCACCCAGATTTAGGCTTTAGAGCTGGGGTACCAGCATGGGTCTGTTGGACTCAAAAGCCTTTTCTCTTGCATAAAAGACAGGAGTGTATACATGTGTAATAATTTTGGGTCACACAGGCCTGGGTTTGAATCTATCTCTGTCCTTGGGCAAGTTACTTAATCTGAATGAACCTCTGTTTTTCTCATCTATAAAAAGGGAGACAACGTCTGCTTCTGGGGCTATCGTAGGATGATATGAGAGGAGCAGGTCATGACTATGCCTGGCACTGAACCTAGGACTCAGAGCAGGTTGTGAATGTCACTCACTGTCCTTCCTTATTTCTTGAGGTTAGTTCTGATGTTGGGGTTGGGTCTCCACTCCAAGAAGATACCTACCAGTTAGCAGTGACTGAAGGTTACAAGACACTGATAACATAACTAATTATGTGTTTTGGAATCTGTGCTAAAATCTCAGCCTGCAGATGTTAAGGATGCAGCAAGACTGGAGCAAAGGGCTGGAAGAAGAATAAGGACTGGAGTAAGAGAGCCATGAGTGCAAGAAAGGCCCTACCAGCTATTCTGGGGAACATATACAATAGTCCCTTCTTATCCACGGTTTCGCTTTCCACAGTTAACTGTGGTCCAAAAATATTAAATAGAACATTCCAGAAATAAACAATTTGTAAGTTTTAGTTTGCATGACGTTCTGAGTAGTGTGATGAAATCTCTCACCATCTCGCTCCATCTGCCCAGGACATGAATCATTCCATCCATGCTACCTGCCTATTAGTCACTTAAGTAGTCTTCTCAGTTATCAGATAAAAAAAAACATAGGATATATAAAATTCAGTATGATCCACAGTTTCAGGCATCCACTGGGGTCTTGGACTGTATTCCCTGTGAATAAACTGGGACTACTGTACTTGATTTTGCAAGCAATCAGACTTATGGAAGATTCTGAACAAGCTGGAGACTTGATGGACACAGTGATGGGAACACTATGGGATGTTAGCTAGTCTGGAGATGGGAGAGTAATACAGAAAGATCAAGTGGGCAGTGTAATATAACAGAAAGAACTCTTGGAATAAAGTCAAAACAAGTGGATTCTGCTACTTTTCCAGCTGTGGAGCTTAGGCAGCTTACTTCAGCTATTGGGATTTAATTTCCCCCACCTGAAAAATAAGGCTTCATTACTAGACTGGGTCAAGCCCTGCCAGCACTGAAACGATCTACTAGAATTCTACTCACTGCACTAATTCAAGCTTGCCATGATGAAGGGTAAAATTAACAGCATAAGTGACAGAACACAGAGGAAGTTAAGGCATGGAAGATGTTCAAAATGTTGGAATGACGGGGCTTAATGAATGATTCCACATGGGAGGACACAAGGAAGAGAGGAACCAAAGTGATTCTGAGTTTATCCTGGGATACTATGATCCTGGTAGTTCCAAAAGAAGGGGCTGGTTTGGGAGAATGATGATGATAACACTTTGAATAATATTGAGTAAAAACTGGAAATGAATCATTGTGTGCAGGCCTGGACTACGGAACTTGCACAAACCCGAGAGTGAGTGAGCACCTCCTTAAATGTGGCCCCCTAGGACCCATACTCATCTCACAGTAGTTCCAGCCTGATCTTGTGGAAATATTTAGAAGCTGAAACAAAGGAGGGGCAGAAAAGAAGGGACTATAAAGTTGAGCCTGGCCCTTACCTTCGACCAGTCTCCCACAGCTAAATGTGGAGGACAGTCTGTCCTGGCACAGGACTTGTGAGACGATGCCTTGGGTCCTTGGCACAATTCATCTGAGAGATTCAAAAAGCTGCCATCCGTTAGCAGCTGCCGACAGGTGACTCTTCTGTTCTGAGTTCCCCCGCCACAAGTCCTGGAACACTAAGAAGACAAGAGGGGGTGAGGCGGCAGGCTTGGCCCACTCTATGTTAGTGCAGTGCAGGGCCTCTCACAGTCATAATCACAGAGGGCCCTGGAGTGGCCAGTCTGCCCTACCTGCTGCCATTCTTCAATGTGCCAGCCAGGAGGGCAGTCAAACTGATTGCATGCTTGTAAAGCATGGGGCTTTTCATCTCGGCACTCCTCAGGAGGGGCAGGGGTCTCCCCTGGGTGCAGGCAGTACACATCTCGGGTCTGAATTCCAACTCCACAGGTAGCTGAGCAGGGCCCCCAAGAGCCCACATGCCACCTAAAACAGAAAACAAGTGGGGAAAGTTGAACAGTCCAATAAACCAACGTGCAACCATCAGAGCATGAACAACGTGAAGCTCTCCTCTGGGCTTCCAGACTTCACACCCTGTATACAGATTCTACAGTCACAGCATCTCCATCAATATACGCAATTAAAACACAGAAATATAGTATTTAAAGGCAAGAAATGTCAGGAAAGTGTTTAAAGATCTTTCCCATTTGGGAAAGTCCAGAGTAAAAAGCAGCAGATCTGTTCCCATCCTGTCCTACCACTATATATCAAAAATAAAATCCTGGTTCTGTTTTGAATGGAGCCCCAAGGCAATGATGATTTATATAGGTGTCAAAAGAAATTTTAAATGTTTAAAAGCACACTTCAGGAAATCTTCAGGGCACCTGGCTTCATTATTTGGAATATCCCTAAGAAAATTCTTTAATGTTAGGATTGGATTTACAACATATATATAATGTGATTCCTTTCCAATAAGATCTTGGAAAAATCAGGTTTTCTCATAAAACATCTGTAAAAATGAAAAACCAGGGCAGCTGCTTTCGACACATATTTCCAAGTTGCCTTCAAGGAAGATTCTCCCAATTTACACTCCCACCAGAAGCATTTGAGAGCACCTAGTTGCCCACACCCCTAACCACATTGGAGAATATCATTGAGAAAAGTCTCTGCCCATCTGATGGCTGAAAAATTACACATTATGGTTATTTTAATTTGTGGATATTTAATTAGCAAACATGAATTCTTCACTAGTTACTGTAGAGATACATCATGAGGAAACCATTTTTAAATGTTTAAAATGTTCATAAAAGGATGCTGGCTCCAGGGTAGTGTGTAATAACAGCACACACACAAAAATTAAATTGAATTACATTTTACAAAATGGAAGGAAATCATATAAATGTTTAACAATATAGCAGAAAATAACTGTCCATTCATACAGCACAATGCTAGCAGCCATTAAAATAATAAAGTAGATGTATAGTTATTAACATAGAAATACAGTCATGATATATTTTTAATAGAAAAGAAAAGGTCATAAAATAATTTGTAGAGTATAATCCTATTTTATGCATTTATAAATGCATGCAGAAAAAAATCTGAATAATTATTCATTAAAATGTTGCCAGTGATGATATCTAACTATAGGATTTTTATTTTCTTTATTCTTGCTGATTTTTTCTCTGATTTTTATTAAAATAAGCACTCATATTGGAAAAAATATTATTTCTCTGAAAAAATTAATTAGTATTTAATCTAAAAATGATTCTCAGTTTTTCTCTTTTCTAATTTTCTATTATAAACACCTCCTACTTGTATAAATAAAAATAAAATGAAAAGTAGTATTTAATGCAGATATAATAGGACAAAAGAATAAAAGTTTTATTTATGAAGGAAAAATTTCACAATGAAGATATAATCATACAAGTATGGAGATTAAATATAAAACATAAACTTGTAAAAAGCATGAGCTATGAAGTATAGGAAAAATGGACAAAAAAAATTAAAAAATTTAAAATATTTAAAATACTTTGCTAAACCCTTGGCATATTAACAAGGCAGACATTAATAAGAATATAGGAGATTTAATAATATATTTGAAAATATGGGTAAAATAGATAACTTTCTAAGGAATTACAAAAGTTCCATTCAAGAAAGGGACTGGACCTCACTAGTTTTGTGGTCAAGTCCTACAAATTTTCAAGAAACAGGTGAATTCCCATATTATCTTAAATGTTCCAAAATAAGAAGATGAAAATATTTTATTTTATGCATATTATAAAGCTAGAAAAAATCTGAACACAAAAGCTGACAAATATATATAAAGCAAACTTTTGCATGTGGTTATATATCCTGAATCCTAAATGAAAGTATAAATTCTAAATAAAAAAGAAGCAAATTAATCAACAGATTAAAACAATACAGGGTCTGTGATGTGGTCTGAAGGTTTGTGTCACCAACAAATTCAAATGTTGAAGCCCTAAACCCCAGCATGATGGTATTTAGAGATGGGACCTTTGAGAGGTAATTAGGGTTAGATGGGGACATGAGAGTGGAGCCCTCATGATGGGATTAGTGCCTTTGTAAAAAGAGACACCAGGGAGCTTGCTCTCTCTCCACCATGTGAGGACACAGCAAGACATCTGCTGTCTGCAAGTCAGGAAGAGAGCCCTCACCAAAAACTGAACCCTTTAGTCTTGGACTTTCCAGCCTCCAGACTGTGAGAAAATACAGTTCTGTCTTCGAAGCCACCCTTACGGTATTTTGTTATGGCAGTGTGAGGTGACTAATTCAGTATATTTTCTGACCACAGTGGAACTAAATTAGATAAAGCCCAAATACTTAGAAAGTACGCTGTAATCTTCTAAATTGCGCATGGGCCAAAGAAGAAATCACAAGGGAAAGTAAATAGTATTTTTAAATGCACACTAATAGAAATATCAAATGTCAAAGTTTGTGGAATTTAGCTAAAGCCATGATTAGAAGAAAATCAATAGCCTTAAATGATATATTAAAAAAGTTTGACAATAATAATCTAAGTAACCATTTCAAGAGGTTAAAAAAAGAATAGCAATTACATCCCAAAAAAAGTAGAAGAAAGGAAGCAATAAACATGAGAATAAAATGAATGAATTAGAAAATGAAACAAAAAGTTGGTCCTGGCGGGGTGCGGTGGCTCATGCCTGTAATCCCATCACTTTGGGAGGCTGAGGTGGGCAGGTCACCTGAGGTCAGGAGTTCAAGACCAGCCTGGCCAACATGGTGAAACCCCATCGCCACTGAAAACACAAAAATTTGCTGGGTGTGGTGGTGCACGCCTGTAATCCCAGCTACTTGGTAGGCTGAGGCATGAGAACTGGTTGAACCCAGGAGGCGGAGCTTTCAGTGAGCTGAGATCAGGCCACTGCACTCCAGCCTGGGTGACAGAGCAAGACTCTGTCTAAAAAAAAAAAAAAAGTTGGTCCTTCAAAAGACCAACAAGATTAATAAATTATTGATAAAATATGGAGAAAAAAGAGAGAAGGCACACATTATAAAATCAGGAATTCAAGAAGGGACATTGTGGCATAAAAAAAGTACAATAAGTAATGAAAAACATTATGTCAATAAATTTGAAAGTTTACATGAACTGAAAAAATTCCTACAAAAACCAACTTATCAAAACTAACACACAAGTGAAGAGAAATCGGAATAGTCTTATATCTATTAAGTTAAATTTGTTATTTAAAGTATCTAAAATAAACTCCATGTCAGATGGCTTCCTTGGTGAAATTCTACTAAACATTTAAGGCATAAACAATTCCAACCTTATATAAACTCTCAAAAAAAAAAGAAGAAGAACTTCCCAACTCATTTAAGCCTATGTCACTCATAAACAGATTTAAAAATCCTAAATAAAATATTAGCAATCAAGTGATAAAGTGAAAAATAATGTTACATGGTGACCAATCTGGGTTTATTCTAGGAAGGCAAAATTGGTTCAACCTTGGAAAATCAATCAGTGTCTACGACATAGCAAACTATAGGAAAAAATTCATATGATCATTTCAATAGAGACAGAAAAACATTTGTAAATGTTA